>NC_000023.11:13046578-13349609 GCF_000001405.40 Homo sapiens
ATACACAAATCATTAAGCCTTTGTAAAGGGAGGAAGTCTATTTGAAGCAACTCTGGGTTGCGGAAACAGGTTTTGTGAACTAACCAAAGCCTTTAGGGCAAACATGGTCACTTCAATTTTTTTTTTTTCCCACTAGAGGTTATCTACAAAGACCACAGGAAATGTTTAAGCAAATTTAAAGGAGATTTCTCAAGAGTTATTAGAATAAGTACTTTAATTTAGAGAATTGGTTTCTAATAACTGGAGGTGTAACCCCCTCCTACCCCCAACACCCTACTCCACCCTATGTGAATTGACTGACAAGTAAGGATAATGCTTCATAACAAATGTAGAAATAACACCAATTTTCAAAGCAGCCCTCACTCTTCTATTGCTGTCATTAAGAACTAACTGAAAGAAATGCACTGCTTGGATTCATAGACAGACAGAGGGACAAACAGATGGCTAGATATGTGATAAGCAACAACAGTATGGCCAGATGTCAATGATAGAATCTAGGTGATGGGAACATGAATGTTTTCCATGAAATTCTTTCAACTTTTCTGTGTATTTGAAATTTCTAATAATAAAATGTTGGAAAACAACATGTATGCTGTGCATACATGTAGAGACATAGGCTCAGACCCTCTCATCAAATGGCAACAACAATTGTTCATTTTGAAAACATCTAGAAATCTAAGATGTGATCACTGGGTTAAAGACTGTATACATCCATACTCTGTAGCCTGAATTAGTGATTTACGCTCTAATAGCCAATCAAATTGCTCATTTATCAGACAGGGCTGGTAGCACAGGAGATGGAAGTTTCTCTGCTGATAATCCTCCAGACGTTTGAGGGCTTCATGTTCATTCACATTTCAGCCTTTTCTCCAATTCTTAGACTCTTAGCAAAAGTTTATACTCGAATGAAGCAGCAAATTCTAGGCTCCAGCTGTTTAAGAATGAATGAAAACATTCATGTCTTTCAGAAAGGCTTATCTGATGTACTCTGCACAAATACCCTCACCTATGATCTTCTCTGTGCAAACTCTATCAGGGCCCTTCTCAGTGGGCTTTTCAAGACTCTCTCCAATTAGATTATAATTCCTTCAAGGGCAGGTCTTTGTCAACTTTGCTTCTCCAGCACTCAGCGCCATGGCTGGCACATGGTGGGCCGTCAGCAAATGCTGTGTTTGCTATACGTGAATTAATGCTGTGCATACATGTAGAGACATAGGCTCAGACCCTCTCATCAAATGGCAAAGTCTACCACCCAGTCCTGAGAATTACATCTCAGCTTAGAGCAGAGGGGCCCCACCCTGGCGTCTCCTGGAATCACTCAGGAAATTTCAAAACACACTGCTGCCTCCATCCTACCCACTAAGTTTCTGATTAACTGTGTTGGAGTTTGGCCTGGGCCTCAGGACGGTGAAATCTCCCCAGATGATAGAAAAGTGCAGGCAGCACTGAGAATTCCAGGGTTTGGACTTTACAAGCCACCAGGTAATTTCATTTTCACTCACCTTCTTTCCTTTGATTCTCAGGACAAGCTACCAGGTCTCCAGGACTGAAGGTTATCATCTAAGTTGGTGTTCTCAACTGGAGGCGATTTACCCCCCACCCAGGAGACAGTTGGCAATGTCTGGAGGTATTTTTGGTTTTTATAGCTGGGGATGGGGGTGCTACTGGAATCTTGTGGGTAGAAGCCAGGGATGCTGCTAAACATCCTACAATGCACAGGACAGCCCCACCACAAAGAATTATCTGGCTCCCAATGCCAACAGTGTTGAGATTGACACACCGTGGTCTATGGTAACTGTTTGATTAGCTAGGGCTTTCTTAGCTAGAGTAATCTCCTTTTTGCACTCTGTGCCCATGCCCTGAGTAAGACAGACAACTGCACAACAATTTATCCCAGAGTACATCTGAGTCAACTGTTGATGTTACATGTTGGATTGGCTCCAGCAAATGAAGAGCTGACATTCAATGAGTGTTCCCTTTGTGCCAGGCACATTATATACATGGCCATATGTTCCTCCCAGCAATCTGGGAGAGGAGAGAGATTCTAAATTTGAAAACTAAACTCATTATACAAGGTCATGCATTTAATTAAGAGTTTGAACCTTTAACAACAAGCCCAAGACAAGGAGTTGCCTCAGATCCTTAATAGGTTGCCTTAATATAAAATTAATAATGCCCTATGTTTCTCAAAACCCCTTGTTTGAGAAACTCAAGCCTAACACATTGTTCATCTTTCCTGCTCTTGCAGAATGGAATTGATGTGCCATACAAGCCTAATCATTAACAAGACATACCAGTACCCTTTCCTTGTAATCCCACCCTCCTCCACCCCACTAAGGATCCACAAAATACCTTTTAAGGTGAAGTTCCAATCACTTTCACATTATTGTAACCATGGCTTATGGCTTATCTTTGTTGTCATGGATAATTGAGGCAACTGTGTGGGAATGGCAACTTATGAATGATCTAACAATAGGCCTATTAATATAGCAGTAAATGTCACAGTTATAATAAAAGGTACCATACTTACACAGAGTATTGCCAGACCTAGCACAATTCCTGGCATAAGGTTTGTGCTTAATAAATGCTTGCTGGATGAACCAATGAAGTAATCAAATGAGTCGGAATAAGATGCAACATATTCAAGAGATTTATAGAATGGAAGATCTATAGTGTTTTTATTTGAGATCGATATGTTCTGTAGTGGTAACCGAAAGAGTAATAGCTGACTTTCACTTTATTATTAAAGCACAAACAGGGCATATCAATATTTATTTTCTCATCCTTATTTTGGTATCTAATAGTGCCACCAAATATTATATTATATGGATAACTATAATTCCGATACTTACATCAACATTTTTAATCTTGTTGGTAGACATTATATTTTTCTTTAAAAGAGAGATAAACAGCTTAACATGGGAAATATTTGACATTATTAGATTTCTTAAAAAGAATTTTTGTGCTTTTATCAGCATCTGACCAATATCTACAGGACTGACTTCTCCTTTAGGCACAGAGTTGAGGGACCACAAAATTACTTCAATTTCTCTTAAAAATAACAAGGGAAAATATTAATATAATTCAGTATGGATTATATTATCTTTATACTAACAGAGTCACAAAATATAATTTTTTAATGTATTATTTTATATATATAATTATTATTTTTTTAGTGGAGGAAAGGCTTCACGAAGGAAAATGCATCTATAGCTTATTAATGTCATGCAGTGGCCCTGGATGTCACCTCTCTACATTCCACTGCCCTACTCTTTTCAAATAGCTTTTTTATTAATTAGTTTCCTTTTTTTTTTTTTTTTTTTTTTTTTGAGGCAGAATGTCATTCTGTCGCCCAGGCTGTAATGCAGTGGTGCGATCTTAGCTCACTGCAACCTCTGCCTCCCAGGTTGAAGCAATTCTCATGCCTCACCCTCCCGAGTAGTTGGGATTACAGGCATGTGCCACCGCATCCGGCTAATTTTTGTATTTTTATTAGAAACAGGGTTTCACCATGTTGGCCAGGCTGGTCTCAAACTCCTGACCTCAAGTGATCTCCCTGCCTCAGCCTCCCAAATTGTTGGGATTACAGGCATGAGCCACCACGCCTGACTATTAATTAGCTTCCGATTTCAATTTTTTAAGAAAACTTTGTTTCATCATCTAAGTGACTATCTGGGTCCTTCAGTGGAGGGAGACTGGTAACTGATGACATTTTACAACCAATTGATGACAAGGGACTGACTCAAGGTGTGGGGGAGGGGTGAGGGAATTGGTGACGTGGGAACATAGCAGTTTGCAGGTCAAAAATGAGGGGTTAAAGATGCCTCCAAGACTCTCAGCTCAGGGACATGGGCAGATGAAGGTGCAGTTAGGCTAGCAATGTCAAGTAAATACCATGAGAGAGGAGATGGTCAATGGCTCTCACGGAGATTGGGACTGGAAAGGGCTAAAGCTGAACCTGGCAGAGATAAAGGAAAAGGAGCCAGCACTACAGACTGAAGAGACAGGAGGACAAGCTGGAGAGTTGAGTCCAGAGACAGAAGAGGACAGAGATTTTAGAGTTGTGGAGAGTTCAGTAAATTCAAAGACCTCAGAGGGATGAAGAAGGTTGAGGCTTGGATGGCCACCATAAGATTTGACCATCACGAGGGTACCCAAGGTCTTTGCCTGGTAGTTTCTGAAGTGTGATGTAGGGAGAAACCAGATTGCAGTGGATAAAAGATATGAAGGCGGGGGCTGGGCGCAGTGGCTCATCCCTGTAATCCCAGCACTTTGGGAGGCCAAGGCGGGCAGATCACCTGAGATTGGGAGTTCCAGACCAGCCTGACTAACACGGAGAAACCCCGTCTCTACTAAAAATACAAAATTAGCCAGGCATGGTGGGACGTGCCTGTAATCCCAGCTACTCAGGAGGCTGGGGCAAGAGAATCGCTTGAACCCAGGAGGTGGAGGTTGCAGTGAGCCAAGATTGTGCCATTGCACTCCGGTCTGGGCAACAAGAACAAAACTCCGTCTCAAAAACAAAACAAAACAAAAAAGATGGAAAGGCAGAGAGGGAGAGAGAGGGTTCCTCCCTCCAGGGCCAGGACATTTTAGAATATAAGTTGAGGAAAAGGAATTGGTGGTCACAGAGAGAGAAAGAACAAGCTGGTGTTTTTTCTTCTCTTCTGTCTCTCAAAATTATGCTTTCACAGAGAGTATGAAGTGTAATCATCTAGACCAGGGGTCAACAAACTACAACCCCTGGGCCAAATCTACATAGCTGCCTATGCTTGTAAATAAAGTTTTATTGAAACACAGCTATGCCTATTTTTTCTCTCTTTTGTCTATGGCTGCTTTTACACTACAGTAGCAGAGTTGAGTAGTTGTAACAGAAACTGCCTGCCCAGCAAAGTAAAAAATATTTACTATCAGGCCCTTTCGAGAAAGTTTGTCAACCACTGTTCTAGGTCAACTCCCTTGATATAAAGATGGAGAAACAGACATTCCATTACATTTCTATGTTCATTTGCTTTCTTGTTCTGACAAAGCAGAAGTGTCTACCGGAATTATTAATTACCTAGTGTATGCGTCATCACCCACTGAATTTTAAGAGCTATGTATACAACTTTCATGCAAAGTGTCACCACTTTCTATTCTCATCAAGGTGAATTTTCCTCCCCATTCTAGCTGCAAAGCAAAACTAAAGCTAAATGCACTTCCATCCTTTATACAGGCCTCATTTCAGCAATGTTTGTTGGGCACATTAATGAGCAGAAATGACTTAGCTTTATAACTGCTTCTGAAAATCTTGAGATTTAAGTGAGAAGGAAATACTTTTGTTTCTGCCTCCATCCTATTTTAGTGTAAATCAAAGTTAACAGCTCATGGTCTGGTTGGCAGTTCACAAGAAAGGGCGAGGTTGCCAGAAAATCAAAATCACACAATTTCCTGTTTTTGAAGATGTATTTCAACAAGATCACTGAGAGCTTCAAAGACAAAAATGGCTGTCTGCCAGGGCCAGACCAGCTCCAAGCGCCTTTGTTTGCTTTATTGTTTGATGCTGAGGGGTCAAAGCACTCTTTCTATTGTGTTGTCTCTGCTCCCCACCCCTGTTATTTTTTTTGTTGTTGTTATTCTATTAAGATTCCTGCTGAAAATTAAATTAAGCTTCCTAAGTTCTTCTTTGTTGATCCTAGCAACTAATTATAGAGAAACCAGAAAAGATTTGCAATACTTGGGCATTTTTTAAGATTGTAATTGGCTACCCACAAAGTTGGTGGAACAATAGTTTTTGGGGAAAAAAAGAGATTCGTACTGATTTTTCAATGAATATTTAAAAATATCTTGGCATCAAAATTCCTCCCATTAACCTCATTTGAACATAAAAAGGTCCCTTTTACTGGTGCTATAATTGACTTTCCCCACCCTATTCTTCCCTGTTCATCCTGACACATCCCCCACACTCCGTTTTAAATTGTGGCATAGGACCCATGTGGCCCCTGTAATCTTCCTTCAAGGCCAAAGCCGACTCCCAGAATACTCAGCATGTCAGTGCCACCTGCTCACAACTTTGGCACTGGCATGGTTGAAAATTCTTCCAAGTAATGTCCAAGAGGGATAGCTTTTTTCTGGGATGAGCTTGCAAAGCCAACTCAGAGGGTCACAGTAGATTGTGATTACATCTTTCAGAGCAGAATGTCGGGGGTGGGGCGGGGGCGGGTGCATCTATGGAACGGTTAGAAAACTCGCTGACTAGAGGGGCTCCCAAGATCACTTTGTGTGAATTCGACTGCTATAGAAACTATGAAATTGGTTCACTGATCTGAACTTTGGGTCAAGACCCATGCAGCCATTCTAGACATGAATGGTTTTGGCCTTCAGTCACAACAATTGAAAATTAGACCCTTGAAGAAGGCAGGAGTCTCTGAAGGGGCTCCTCAGAATGTGAGGGCTTTAGGCCTGGAGTACCTTAAAGGTTTTCTTTAAAAAACATTTGGATATGGTGACCACATTGTCTGATTTTTAAATTCAAGAGGCATCCATAGAGAATTTGAAGTGCTACTTGCCTTCGAGCCAAGATGCGTTATTTACGGTAATGGCATTTCTATAATCTGTCACTCCTGAATCTCCTGTAAGAGAAGCATTTTCTTAGGCCTGATCATTCCTGTCTAGGTTGACTATCAAGAGCTGTACACCTCTGAGAACAGATCTGGGGTGTGAGGTCACACAGGTGGCCTCAAGGGGAAGACAGAGCTCTCTAGTTGTTGTAACTTAAGGTAAAAGGTGTGTAACCCCAGTACTACAATGAGAGGGCCAGCTCACTCTGAAACCTGGTGATATCACCTGAAAGTCCTTGAGCTGAAATGGAGCACCTGCAGTCATTATGGTGATCACACCCCTCATGTCTTGCTAAATATCCCTCAACAGTTTAGTGATATAGGTAGTCATTAACAGGTCCCTAATGAGATTTTATTTTATTGTATTGTATTTCATTTTTGAGACAGAATCTCACTCTGTGGCCCAGGCTGGAGTGTAGTGGTGCTGTTTTGGCTTACTGCAACCTCCGCCTCCCGAGTTCAAGCGATTCTCATGCCTCAATCTTCCGAGTAGCTGGGACGACAGGTGCACGCCAGTACACCCGGCTAATTTTTTGTATTTTTAGTACAGATGGGGTTCGCCGTGTTGGCCAGGCTGTTCTTGAACTCCTGGTCTCAAGGGATCCACCCACTTCAGCCTACCAAAGTGCTGAGATTACAGGCATGAGCCACCCACTGTGCCCGGCCCCTAATGATATTTTAGTTAAGAAGATTTTCTGTATTTATGTAAGGCCATGCCAGAAATGTTTTCTTTAAAGATGCTTTATTCATAGAAGTTTGCTGTCCTCTTTACGGTTTAAAATAATTGATTACTAGTTAGACACTATCAGTGTTTAATATTGAACCATCTCTGAATCACCAGTTTATTCTGTTCAGATTTCAAGTGGGTCAGGATTCACATACACATTTGAAGTTTGAATCCATATTGGTTCCTCAACACAAAAGGAACTGAGACACAGAGATAATCTTTGGCCATTAGTATTCACCATGGAAATTACCAAGATAATCTTAAAACGTCATAAAAATCAAGAAGTTATAGTTTAGTCCCATAAAATCAGAATCATAACGTATTTCAAATCAATATCACTCTAAATCAGTATAATCCGTTCATCACACCATGAGTAACAATTACCCGTTTGAAAGAGCTTCCTGAGTAGCCTGAAGGCTCAAATCAATGTTTTCTACTTAGTACAATCACAACATTTAAAAATTTTTTTATAATTCTAAAAATTATATGAGCTTAGGATAAAGAAATGACAGTTTACCCCTTCTCAGTTTCATTCTTCAGAAGGATGTTAACATTACCTTATGTTAACATGAACAATATGTTCAGAATATTGTTTACTATATTGTACTTACAAAAATATAACTGAAATCGGTTGATTTGCTCCTTAGCAACCCTGTGAGTGGAAGCATATTAACTAATATTTCTGTTTTCAAAAAATAGGATAATAATATACATCTGCACTTGCCTTTTGTCCTAACCTAATGATGTACTTTGGATATCCCTGTCTATTATTAGACATACATCTTCCTCATTTCGTGGTTACACAGTATTCCATTGTATGGAGATATTATATTTTAACCAGTTCCTTCTTGATGGCTATATATGTTGATTCTAGCTTTTTTCCCCCTTGGCTGATATAAACATTGTATTTTTATATCATTGTGCAGTTGTGAAAATGCCTAGAAATAAAATAACTGAATCAACTAGATCCAGTTATTTAAAAATCTTGTGATCTGTTTCTCAATTATTGCCCTCTCCAAAATTGTCCCAGTATATATTTTCACTCACAGGGCATGAAAGCCAATCCTAGTGTTTATGAAGTAAGGCACTTCTGTTAAAAGAGGTGTTACTGTTATAGTCTAGAATAGAGACTTTACGTGCATGCACTCCCTCTCTCTCTTTCTCTCTCCCTTTTTCTTTTATAGACTCTCTGAGCAGATTAGCAGACATTTTGTATTTATAGCACTCAGTGGCAAACTGCATGTGATGATTACTACCAGATTTCATCCTCATCCTTGATTGTGTGACATTGTTCATATACACACTGAACTTTGATTTGTGAAGATGGGCTTGATGATTTCAGGAAAATAGAGAAGACAAGATAAATTCTTAAGATCGCTATTTAGAAAACTTGTGTATTTGCTGATTTGGCATGTAGATATAGAATAATAAACCTTGTTACTGGTATTACAGATACCATGCAAGCCTTTGCCCTATATTATTTTTCTTCAGAACTCAAGCCATTCTACATGTCCATCAGATGATCTTTCTGCAATGACACAGGCTGTCAGAATCATTTATAGAACAGAGTCCAACTCTGGATAACCCAATCAAAAAAAGGAGTTGATTGGAAGGACATAGGCAGTTCATATAATCATTAGAAAAGTGAAAGGTCAGACACAGAAAACAAACAGGAACCAGGGGCAGGCCTGATGACCAAGAACAAAACAATTCACACTGTGCTCTGGTTAAGGCCACACTGCCAGCACCACCACTCCTGGGCCTCCCCACACCTCTGGGCTCCTGACTCCACTACTGCCACCAAGAGTCTCACACCTGTGTCCCTCAACACACAAAGTCCTAGGTGCAACTTTCTCATTGGATGAGCCTAGGTCATGTGCTCAAACCCCAGCCACAGAAAACTCTGGGAGAGGGAATTGTCTGAGGTCCTTTAGCTTCCCCTTTGGAAAATTTATCAACACCTGCACAATGGCGAATTGTCTCCAAATAGAGAGTTCAATGCCTCATACCCAAAACAACTCAAAAACAATAAAGAGGAGAAACAAGAACTGATCACCACCCTGAGGTCTCCACTTCTGTTTCTGGAATGATGTTATAATTTATTTCTGACTTTCTTTATTGGCACCTCCTTAAAAGCAGCAGATCAGCATTTTGTAACCTCATCTAACCTCTCTGCATTGGCTCCCAGCATTATTGTTTTTAAAGATTCTCAGCAATAACAAGAATACCTCATGATCACCTAGTGCGTGCAGGTTCCTAGATGCTTTTCCACATAGGACAGCGTGTGCTCAATAGTCCACTATGTAGTGGGGATAATTCCTCCCTATCTTGTTAACTTTTTGACGTGACTTTTTTTTTTCTAACCCTTCTCTCTCCAGACCCTAACCTGGCCATTCCCACTGCTTTCTCAGCAACATTGGAGAGCACTATATTAATCATCGGAATAAAGACTTAACTTTTATTCTTGGATTTCAGGACCCTCCTTCTCCCATATTGTCCTGTCCATCAAACCACTGCTTACCACCACAAATCATTCATCCAGCCAGCGGGGTCCCTCCTGCTCAATCCTGGGTCTTACCACATGCATTACCCATTGGCCTCAATGGAAATAAGATCCTGTATTTTGAATGAAAAAATGC
Organism: Homo sapiens; assembly: GCF_000001405.40. Taxonomy (NCBI): domain Eukaryota; kingdom Metazoa; phylum Chordata; class Mammalia; order Primates; family Hominidae; genus Homo; species Homo sapiens. Next base: position 13,056,544 of record NC_000023.11, read on the forward strand.
CTTTACTTGTATTATTTTTATTTTTAAAGCCAGCTGTGTGTTCTTTGGAAAAGTAGGGAAGCCTTCTCGACCTAGATTAGTCATCTGAAAGCTGAATGTGGAGCCGGGTGATTTCTGATTTCTTCCTCCACTGTAACCTTCTATATATTTAAAAAATTCCATGAACAGAAGTGGGGTTGATAGAGGAGGGGACTCAAAGTAACATTAAAGGGGGGAACTCCTTCTTTCACTGGCTTTATCTGAAAATGAGAATCATAATTGATATTCTCAAAGTAGCTTGAGGACTCGAGTTCACTGACACCATGTGAGTTAATTGTTGAATGCTCCTTTGAGGTCTTAATACATATGCCCATGGAGATCCTTTTAGCTTTCAAATAAAAACCATAAGCATGAAATGCCTAATTCCTGTCCTGGGCACTTCATGCTTTATTAAAATATAATAGTATTTGTTATTTTCATGTATGATAATGGCATTGTAGTTGTATTTTTAGAAAGTGTCTATCTTTTAGAGCAGGATTTCTCAATCTCAGCGCTACTGACATTTGGAGACGGTTCTTTGTTGGGGCTGGGGGTGTCTGTGCATTATAGAATATTGAGCAGCATCCCTGGCTTCTACCCACTAGATGCCAATAGCACCCCTTCCACAGTTGTGACAATCAAACATGTCCCCAGACATTGCCAAATGTCCCCAGGGGAGCAACTTCACCACCAGTTAAGAACCACTGTTTTAGAGATACATACTAACATATTTTCCAATGAAATAATAAGATATCTGGTAGGGAGTGGTTGAGGATATGGGTGCAGATAGGGCAGAATTGGCCAAGGACTGATGGCTGTTGGATTGGGTGATAAGTACTGGGGCCTCATATTATCTTGACCACTTTTGTGTGTATTCAAGTATCTAAAATCAAAAGTGCAAAAAACATTGTTTTAACACATCAGTGGTATTGATTTTAAATCTGTTCTCAAGGTTGAGCCTGCAGAGCATCTTACCCTGGAAAGATTAGGAGCTGAGGATAGGGGAAGTAGAATATTATTCATGCTCTTGACTAACTGCTTTTGACTATTCTGGGGACATACTAAGTTTTGAGTGGTTAAACTGAACTCTTAATCAGCCTTACTAGTGTCAAGCCATTCTGCACACACCACCATGATTTTTTTCTTCCTGGTCATCTGGATGAGCATTAGCCAAATTGAAGGTTGAGGCTACATTATCTGGGGAAGCCTTCCATCCTCCCCATGGCCAACAGCTCCTTGTTTAGGCCATCTGCTTGAGTGCAACCGTATCCCAGCCTTGCTGCTTTCTGGGCTGATGCTTAAAGGCAGGTTTCCCTTATTACAGCCTCATGGGCACCAATGTACACAGTGAGAAAGGGCCTAGGGGAAGGCTGAGCCTGGCTGGAACTAGAGGAACACCAGCAGGGATCCAATTAACAATACGTAATTACCAGTGGGTCTGACCTTTCTTTAGCCTAGAAACATAACTGGAACTTAGCTTGAGACTGGGCAGAGTAACCCTCAGAACCTTTATTTTGAGGCTGAGTATTGGGTTGGACCATCCAGAATGGAGCAGGAATATGTAAGGATCACTTTGGAGATGATGTTGGGCTCGTGGTAGCAAAGAGGTTGTGCAAATTGGCAGTAGAACATCAAAGTGATTCTTTTCTACGTTTAAGAGGAGTAATCAAAGCTGTCTAGAAAAATTGGCAAATCGTAATTCTCTTCGGCATAGAAAAAATGTAGATGTAATTGATTTAGAGAAGTCCACAGCTACTTTCAATCTTAAAGATAGTAGATGGTGTGACTAAGAGCTGGAACTCCAGCCACACCACCTGGACTTAGACTCCAACTCCACTCCTTATGAGCATCCCATGCTAACCTTTGTAAGGCAAGTTATGGACACTTGCCTCACCTCAGTTTCCTCCTCTGTAAATCCCGGACAACAATCATATGCCTCTCCTAGGGTTATATGAGGATTAAATAAGTTAGTACACTAATGGGTTTAGAATAGGGCCTAGTGCAGAGTAAACAATTGATGTTGGTGATTGTTAGCTAGAACTAGCCTTCTTTATCTTGCCAGACAGTGTAAACATTATGTAGGCAGGACAATTTGAGGGTCGGGGAGAAGAGGCCGCTTCCATAAAATTTAAAACGATCATCAAAGGCCATTTCTTTGGATTAATAAGTTACTTGTTTTTCACATTTTTGGGAGTTGGCACGTAGCATGGGGACATTTATCAAATGCTGTTTCTCTGATAGAGCAGTTCTTAAAAGACAGGAATTTGAATGGGGTGAAGGTGGGAGGAGCAGGGGACATCTGGATTATGGGGGCTCTGCCTTTGAAATGGCAGCTGTGTGGGTCCTGGAGGGACTTTAAACCCTCAGAAGACAGTGGCCACTGATGCTGGGAGATGGGTGAGGGATCCCCCAAAAAGACATGCCATTTGAGAATTGTTTCTGAGCTAAGAATCTCTTGACCTAAAGTAACCATATTAAACTGAATGTGCCCCATATCAAAGGGATCCCATTCTCCGTTCAAATTTGTCTTTTGTACTATTAATGCGTTAAAGACTCCCAAACCCTCTGCCCTTGTTGGGTACTTTGTTTTCAACTCTGTCTCCCAGATGACACACAGACCCTCTCTGGTGTCATTTCAATTCTGGAAGTGAATCTGATAGCTCTCTTTGTTGCCAGAATTTTCTCGCTAAATGAGGTTACAATACTTCATATTTACAGGCTTCTTAATTTCATCTTTGATGTTTTTCTTTTTAGCAAGCAAATTATTCTGGCTTTCTTACAAATACTCCTCAGAATCAGAGCAAGGGCTTCTTACCCCCTTGCAAGGGTGGCCCAATCACTGTCTGCTTTTGATTTGTGTACTCTGTGCCCTCTGTGAACAGTACTGCCACTTGAAACCCGATTCCCAGAGCAGTCCTTGGACCTCTTGTATTAGCATTCTCCAGACTGTGAATTAAAATGGCAGTTTTCTGTTTCAACCCTAGACCTTCTGAATCTGAATTTCTAAAAGTGGGGCCCAGGAAACTGAATTTTTATTAACTATCCCGAGGGATCTGATGTACACTGAAGTGTGGAACTGTGACCTCATATCCTAAACCCACGTTCTCCATTGCAAATCCTTCAGCATCCTTACCTTCTGTCTTACCCACCCAGAAGACTCCCTTCCCAAATATGCATCCTGCATGGTGTCATTGCATTTGCTTTCCTAGGGAGGGATGAAGATAAAATCTTGACATGTGCTTTGTGGTGAGGGGAGAAAGCAGTTTTTATCTGAGGCTGAAAGGTTATATCTTGAGCCTCAGACAGAAAACTTAGGATGAGTCACCCAAGGAAAGGGTCAAGAGGTCAGCTAGCCTGATCTTATAGAGGGAGACAGTCTTGTGAGTCTGACTAAGTTAAACCATGATCTTGGGTCAATAAATATTTGCAGAATGAAACAGACAATTTACTGATATTGAAATGGCCAGGCCACTTGGATGATCTCCCTGAGTACAGTGTCTAACTTTGAGATTTTATACATTATAGTAAAATAGTGGCCAGGCATAGTGGCTCACACCTGTAATTTCAGCACTTTGGGAGGTTGAAGTGGGAGGATTGCTTGAGCCCAGGAGTTGGAGACCAGCCTGAGCAACAAAGCAAGATCCAGTCTGTAAATTTATATGTGTGTGTGTATGTGTGTGTGTGTATAAAATAGCTTGGGCACTCTCCAAGCTGACTGGGACTCGGCCTTGACTCTGACCTTGATTGCTCTTATTCTATGAATAATTCCAAAAAGATTGATTATCTGATTACTCAGGCCACTGCAAACAGGAAGCGCCTGATTAGAAGCAATTTGCAAGAGCAAGAGGAATATGCAAACACAGGCACAGTGAAAGAGGCAAAAATTGACAGAAATTTCTGGAAAATTTGCTTATGTGGAACTTGTTATTCCTTGATGATGACAAATGGATAGGTGAGAACAAAGATAGCTGTAAAAATCGAGCACTTCCAACTTCAAGACTTGACCTTAAGAATCTTCTAGTACTTAAAAAAAGTAGGCCATTGTTGACAAGTATAACACTGACTACTTTGGGATGGAGAAGTAGAGATGATGAGAAGTGAAAAAGGCTTTACACAAGTCATGGAATTGAGTCAGTAATGATCTAGGGGGCTGGAACTAAATCCCAAATAGGTCTCTCTGAATTTATAGATTTGGTTTCATAAAAGGAAATGACAGCCTAGAAACCTCTGTTGAGCTTCTCTTCCATTTGATTGACCTAAATTTCTTTTGGCTGATTACCAAAGCATTACACTAGCAAAATGTTTGCCACTACTATATGGACATTCAAGCTGGAAATACAATACTCAAGTAATTAGAATCAATGTTCCCTATACAAGTATAAGTGATAGCTCAGATGTTTCTCTGCATATAGGGGAGAAATAAAGTCAAGTTCTGGCAGAGTTCTGTAAACATCAGCTAATTTCAGACAATTCCCACAATACCATTATAAGGTACAGGATGTTGAAGTCCAAACTCTAAAATAAAATTGAATAATGTTATGCCTAATTGTGTGACCCTTAAGGTTATGCTAAGAGAATAAACTTAGTGTTTATTTTTATCTGAGGATATTAACTAAATAATTAAGGCAATAACTTGTGTTTGACAGTACAGTGTGTCTATGTGATTTTGTCTTAAGAGGGAAAATATATGTATTAGTCTGTTTTCATGCTGCTGATAAAGACATACCCGAGACTGGGAAATTTACAAAAGAAAGAGGTTTAATGGACTTACAGTTCCATGTGGCTGGGAGGCCTCACAATCATGGTGGAAGGCAAGGAGGAGCAAGTCACATCTTACATGGATGGCAGCAGGCAAAGAGAAAGAGAACTTGTGCAGGGGAACTCCTCTTTATAAAACCATCAGATCTCATGAGACTTATTCACTATTAAGAGAACAGCATGGGAAAGACCTGATCCCATGATTCAATTACCTCCCGCCAGTTCCCTCCCACAACACATGGGAATTCAAGATGAGATTTGGGTGGGGACACAGCCAAACCATATCATTCCACCCCGGCCCCTCCCAAATCTCATGTCCTCACATTTCAAAACAGTGATATGTGTCCCAACAGTCCCCCAAAGCCTTAACTCATTTCAGCATTAACTCGGAAGTCCACAGTCTAAAGTCTCATCTGAGACAAGGCAAGTCCCTCCTGCCTATTAGCCTGTAAAATCAAAAGTAAGTTAGTTACTTCCTAGAGACAATGGGGACACAGGCATTGAGTAAATACAGCCATTCCAAATGGGAGAAATTGGCCAAAGCAAAGGGGCTACAGGCCTCATCCAAGTCTGAAATCCAGCGGGACAGTCAAACCTTAAAGCTCCAAAATGATCTCCTTTGACTCCATGTCTCACATCCAGGTCATGCTGATGCAAGAGGTAGGTTCCCATGGTCTTGGGCAGCTCCACCCCTGTGGCTTTGCAGGGTACAGCCCCTCCCTCCCAGCTGCTTTCATGGGCTGGCATTGAGTGTCTGTGGCTTTTCCAGGCACACAGTGTAGGCTGTTGGTGGATCTACCATTCTGGGGTCTGGAGGATGGTGGCCCTCTTCTCACAGCTCCACAAGGCAGTGCCCCAGGAGGGACTCTGTGTGGGGGCTCTGACTCCACGTTTCCCTTACAAACTGCCCTAGCCGAGGTTCTCCATGAGGGCCCAGCCCCTGCAGCAAACTTCTGCCTTGCCAGCCAGGCATTTTCATACATGCTCTAAAATTTAGGTGGAGGTTCCCAAACCCCAATTCTTGACTTCTGTGCACTGGCAGGCTCAGTACCACATGGAAGCTGCCAAGGCTTGGAGCTTGCACCCTCTGAAGCCATGGCCCAAGCTCTATGTTGGCCCCTTTCAGCCATGGCTGGAGCAGCTCAGATGCAGGGCACCAAGTCCCTAGGCTGCACACAGCATGGGAACCCTGGGCACAGCCCACAAAACCATTTTTTCCTCCTAGGCCTCTGGGCTTGTGATGGTAGAGGCTGCCATGAAGACCTCTGACATGCTCTGGAGACATTTTCCCCATTTTCTTGGGGATTAACATTTGGCTCCTCATTGCTTATGCAAATTTCTGCAGCCAGCTTAAATTTCTCCTCAGAAAATGGTATTTTCTTTTCTATCCAATTGTCAGGCTGCAAATTTTCTGAATTTTTATGCTCTGCTTCCTTTAAAAAACTGAATGCCTTTTATAGCACCCAAGTCACCTCTTGAATGCTTTACTGCTTAGAAATTTCTTCCACCAGATACCCTAAATCATCTCTCTCTCAAGTTCAAAGTTCCACAAATCTCTAGGGCAGTGGCAAAATGCCACCAGTCTCTTTGCTAAAACATAACAAGAGTCACCTTTTCTCCAGTTCCCAACAAGTTCCTCATCTCCATCTGAGACCACCTCAGCCTGGATTTCATTTTCCGTAATATTATCACCATTTTTGTCAAAGCCATTCAACAAGTCTCTAGGGAGTTCCAAACTTTCCCACATTTTCTTGTATTCTTCTGAGCCCTCCAAACTGTTCCAACCTCTGCCTGTAACCCAGTTCCAAAATCCCTTCCACATTTTCAGGTATCTTTTCAGCAGCACCCCACTCTACTGGTACCAATTTACTGTATCAGTCTGTTTTCACGATGCTGATAAAGACATACCTGAGACTGGGAAATTTGCAAAAGAAAGAGATTTAATGGACTTACAGTTCCACATGGCTGGGGAGGCCTCACAATCATGGTGGAAGGTAAGGAGGAGCAAGTCACGTCTTACATGGATGGCAGCAGGCAAAGAGAGAGATAACTTTTGCAGGGGAATTCCTCTTTATAAAACCATCAGCTCTTGTGAGATTTATTCACTATCATGAGAACAGCTCAGGAAAGACTTGCCCCCATGATTCAATGAGCTCCCACTGGATCTGTCCCACAACATGTAGAAATTCAAGATGAGATTCACCATATCAATATACAAAGGAGAAAATGTGGGAATAAGGGCTAGGGAAATTGTTAGCAACAACCATCTGGGTGACCTTCAATTTTATTTTTATTTGTATTTGTTTTCCGTTTTTTTTTTTTTTTTTTTTTTTTTTTTATTTAATAGATACAGGGTCTCACTGTGTTGCCCAGGCTGGTCTCAAACTTCTAGGCTCAAGCAATCCTCCTGCCTCAGCTTACCAAGTAGCTGGGACTACAGGTGTGTACCACCATACTTAGCTAATTTTTTTTTTTTTAAATTGTAGAGACAGGGTCTTGCTATGTTGCCTGGGATGGTCTTGAATTCCTGGCCTCAAGCAATCCTTCTGCCTTGGCCTCTCAAAGTGCTGAGTTTACAGGTGTGAGACACCACACCTGGCACAAGCTTAAATTTTATTTATTTAAGACAGAGTCTTGCTCTGTTGCCCAGGCTGGAATGTGGTAGCACAATTTTGGCTCACTGCAACATCTGCCTCCTAGGCTCAAGCAATCCTCCTGCCTCAGCCTCCCGAGTAGCTGGGATTACAGGTATGTGCCACCATGCCTGGCTAACTTTCGCATGTTTTGTAGATGCAAGGTTTCACCATGTTGCCCACGCTGGTCTCCAACACCTGGGCTCAAATGATCCACTGGCCTAGGCCTCCCAAAGTTCTGGGATTACAGGTGTGAGCCACTGTGCTTGGCCCCAAGCTTAAATTTTAAATCCCAAATGGGAATTTGCAACATTCATCTCATGTTGAAAAACATCTTTCTTATGAACTCTGAAGAGGCCTGAAGCCCTCTCTGCTCTTGAATTCTTCTATTTCTTGAGCCAGGGGCAAATCACTAACCTTCTTGGGTCTTAGTTTCTCCATTTATGAAGTGGGAACATTATTGCTCACCATGGCACAACTACCCCAAGGTTAATGGTGACCACAATGACACTCAAATTCCAAACAGGATTTCTGAGAGGACCTCTAATATTTGAATGGAGTACTAGGATGTTAGATCTGGGAGAAATTTGTCTAGTTATATGGCATTATACTCATCTGGTAGGGGACAGAATGGAGTCAGAGAGGTTGAGTGGCTTCAGCATCTCTTTTTATGCATTTTTGTGGTACACAACCACAGTGTGTCTCCTCAGCTCTGGGAGCTCCTTCAAGGAGGCATATCTTAATCATCTTGATGTCACTCAATCCTAGCAGAGTGCCAGGAACACAGCAGATGTTTGCTATTTGTTAAATAAGTTGCTAAAGGCAGTCAGAAAAGGAGTCTCTCTGGTAACTGGACTCCTAGCCAGCCCTCTTTTCATTAAGTCTCAGCTCTGTAAACATTCTTGACAAATATGTTAGTTCAGAACATTCTGGACTCACTGAGGGATTTTTCTCAGCAGCATCTCACTGGAGATGTTTCAATTCCTTTGCCAAGGGTCCTGGTTGTGTGGTCCCACAGGTCTTGGCCAAGTCTGCACAGACGTGGTCTATTTATCTGGGTCTCTTTCTCCCTGCTGTGGGTCCCTTGAGGATTGTGAAAGTGAATTAGTCATCTTTACATCACTGGAGACAAGCACAGTGCCTGGTGCACGATCATGGTTCTATGAGTGTTTGTTGAACAAATTAATGTTAATTAACACTTGTTGAATGCTAACCCCTGTGCCAGCCACCTTTTCAGAGCACTGTACCCAAGGAACTCCTTTGATCCTCACGACAGCATTCTCATCATTATTTTTAAAAACATTTATTTATTTATTTATTTATTTGAGACAGAGTCTTACTCTGTCACCCAGGCTGGAGTGCAGTGGCACAATCTTGGCTCACTGCAACCTCTGCCTCCCAGGTTGAAGCAATTCTCATTCCTCACCCTCCTGAGTAGCTGGGACTACAGGCATGAGCCAGCACGTCCGACTGATTTTTTGTATTTTTAGTAGAGACAGAGTTTCACCGTGTTGGGCAGGCTGGTCTTGAACTCCTGACCTCAAGTGATCCGCCCGCCTCGGCCTCCCAAAGTGTTGGGATTACAAGCGTGAGCCACCACGCCGGGCCCCCTTACATTCTTATCATTATTCCAGTTTTATGGAAGAGGAGACAGGCACAGAGAAGCTTGGAACTGAATAGAAAACCACACAGCTAGTAATTAGAGGAGCTGGGATTTGAACCGAGGGAATTTGGCTTCAGAGTCGACCATACCAGTGATTCCCAACACTTTGTTCTTGGCCCCCCTTTGCACTCTTAAAATTAACTGAGTGCCTCAAAGACCCTGTCTTTATTTAGCACCTCAAGGAGCTAAATCTCTCAAAACTTATGATAGTAAAAATTAAACTGAGGAAATTTACAAATGTTTGTTGATGAATTAATTTAAATATAACAATAATAAGTCCAATTGAATGTTAATGTGACATAGTTTTATTTTTAAAAACTATACTTTTCTTTAAAAATGTAGTGAAAAGAGTGGCAATGTTTTTTGTTGTTGTCATTTTGTTTTGTTTTGAGACGGTTTCACCCTGTTGCCCAGGCTGGAGTGCAGTGGCATGATCATGACTCACTGCAGCCTCCACCTCTTGGGCTCAAGTGTTCCTCCTGCCTTAGCCTCTCAAGTAGCTGGGACCACAGGTGTGTATTACCATGCCCTGCTAATTTTAAAATTTTTTGTAGAGACAGGGTCTTGCTATGTTGCCTGGGCCGGTCTCGAACTTCTGGGCTCAAGCAATTCTCCTGCCTCAGCCTCCCAAAGTGCTGGGATTACAAGTGTGAGCCACTGCCTCAGGCCTGAGTGGCAATGTTTTACATTGTTGCATATTTCTTTAATGTCTGACTTAATAGAAGACAACTGGATTTGCTTATCTGCTGTGTATTCAGCCTCTTGACATATGTCCTGTAGCCTCTAGAAACTCCACTGTACACTTGTGTGAGAGAGAGAAAAGGGCAAATAACATCTTGGGTTTTGGCACTCCCCACGGGTGCCCCCAGGGTATAGCTTGGACAATATATAACTCCCTCTCTGCGTGCTCCCCAGAGTGGAATGGGATCACAAAGCAAGAGACTTGGCCTTCCACGAGACATTAATGCTGCAGAGGTGAGTGATGCAGCCTGCTCTAACCTAGGGCGCCCTGTGATGGGGCTGTGGACTTATGAAACCAATGTGTGTCCTATGCCCTCAAATTCCATGTGGTTTCCTGCCTCTGTGCCTCTGCTCTTCCTGAACCCTCTGTCTGGCATGCTGTCCTCCTTCAGGTGGTTTCCTGGAGACCAAGGCTGTACTGAATATCCCCCTCCTCTAGGCTCTCATAGTACCCCAAATAGACCCCCATGGCAGCCATCACCACATTACATGAGTCTCTCTACCCCAGGCTGAGTGCTCCCTGAGGGCAGGGCTTTAGGATTTAGCCCTCTTTGTATTTCCAGTGTTGAAGGCAGAATGACAGAGCAAAGTGCTGGGGAACATGGGGGTGGAGGAGACAAATTTGACCTGTAGATCGAGGGAAACTTCCTGGAGGAAGGGGATTGGGCCTGGTCTGGTGGCAGAGGGAAGGTAAGGGCAATCCTGTCAGTTGGAACTGTTTGACCCTGGGGCAGGGGCATCTCCCGGGGGAAGACAGAGTTGGCAGAAGTGGTTGGAGGGTCCAAGGCAGAGAGGCCAGTGGGAGACAAAGCTGGGAAGATCAGAGAGGACACAAAGTCACTGCATACAGAAGTCACTTGGATGAAAGGAGCTCTTCTGATCTCAATCTGTGTGAGTTTCAGAGCAATTGGACTGTAGGTGAGTTGATGCCTGGCTCAGTGCAGGAAATGAATATTCAGGCCCTTTCAGCTGAGATGGAAGTGCTTTTCCTGAGCAGCAGTCAACAGACCTCACATTTTAGGAGACCCCTGGTCCCAGAATGACTGTTAGCTGGATTGAATTCTGTACGAGCAAGGTCTTTTTTTTTTTTTTTTTTTTTTTGAGACAGATTCTTGCTCTGTCGCCAAGGCTGGAGCGCAGTGGTGCAATCTCAGCTCACTGTAACCTCTGCCTCCCAGGTTCAAGCACTTCTCCTGCCTCAGCCTCCTGAGTAGCTGAGATTACAGGTGCTCACCACCACACCTGGCTAATTTTTGTATTTTTAGTAAAGATGAGGTTTCACCATGTTGGCCAGGCTGGTCACGAACTCCCTGACCTCAAGTGATCCTCCTGCCTCGGCCTCCCAAAGTGCTGAGATTACCGTTGTGAGCCACCACGCCTGGCCAGGAGCAAGGTCTTAAGCAGAAAAATGCTCACAGCCACTGGGCTAGTAAGTCTGTTTATTCTCAAGGATGAAGGCTCTAGCCCTCATACAAATATGACAGAAAGCAATCACACACCAAGCTACATGACTAGGAAGTAGAGTACTTAAGGAGGCAGAGATTTGTTTTTAGTTGACAGCAAGAAATATATGTTTTCCTCTTATTCTTCAGCTACCATTCTGGCTAGTTTTTATTACTCTCAAGAGAGGCAAAGCCAAGAATTTCTTGTAGACATTATTTCCCAGCAAATGTCGCATTTTAGAATGCATACTGACATCTTCCCCTTAATTAATTTATTCCAGACATTCAACTTGGCAGCATTTAATAAATTATGATTACAAACAACACCACTTAAAAAGTATGATTATTAAAATGGTACTCATTGAAGAATCTGAAAGTACAGAAAAACAAACAAAAAGTAGCAGGCCAGGCATGGTGGCTCACACCTGTAATCCCAGCACTTTGAGAGGCGGAGGCAGGCAGATTGCTTGAGCTCAGGAGTTTGAGACCAGCCCGGCCAACATGGTGAAACCTCGTCTCTACAAAAAATACAAAAATTAGCTGGGTGTGGTGGTGCGTGCCTGTGGTCCTAGCTACTTGAGAGCCTGAGGTGGGAGGATTACTTGAGCTTGGGAGGCGGAGGCTGCAGTGAACTGAGATTGCACCACTGCATTCCAGCCTGGGTGACAGAGGAAGACCCTGTCTCAAAAAACAAACAAACAAACAAACAACAACAACAACAAAAACTAGCAGGAAAAATCTCCCCTCTCTTCTAATTCCAAACACTAAGATTCCCATCCCCGTGTGGTAGTCTCCCCAGATGGCTGCCATCAATTTTTTTTCCTTCGTATGCACATGCTGTTCGACCCAGCAAGAAACCATTCTACCTCCCCTGGAATGTGGCCTGACATCTTGAATTGGGTTGGCCACTACTAGAAGTCTGTATAAATGATGCTGTGCCAATTCTAGGCCTGGACTTTAAGACGTCTGGCAACTTTCACATTCCCTCTGAAAACCTACTGCCACATAAGAAGTCTGACTATGCAGAGACACCATGCTGTGAGGAAGCCCAAGCTGTGATGTGGAGAGGCCACCAGAAGAGAACTAAGTGTCTGACATGTGAAGAAAGCCTTCTCAGTCCTTCCAGCCTAGCCCAGCCCCCAGTTCAGTGCAGTAGAATTAGTGACCTCAGCCAATGCCACCTGGAACAGAAAACCACCCAGCTCAGACTAGTCTACCCAAAGAATCATGAGAAATGATAGTTATTGACTGATGACACCAAGTTTTGCCAAGTCTGTTATTCAGCAGCAAGTAATAACTGAGATGCCTTGTTCTATTTTAGAATATTTTCTTAGTATCTTTTTTCACAGCATTTTTAGCAGTCACACTTATACAATAAATATAATTGGTTTTTAGCACTTTTCACAATACATTTCAGGACATGTCTCTTCTCATTTTATCAAAAGTGGAAGGAATATTTTTAGTGACCACACACTGTTCAATTGTAGGGATGTATTATCATCTGGGCCAATCAAATTCTGTCTGCTGGGAAGGTAGAAATGGGACAAAGTGATTCTGATCAACCTTTGTGGTTGAGGTGGCCACATTTGGATATTGTGCAAGCAGAACTAGAAAATCAGTCACAGACAGAAAGAAGAAAGAAGTGGGCATAGAGGTTGGGCGTGGTGGCTCACGCCTGTAATCCTACCACTTTGGAAGGCCAAGGTGGGCGGATCACTTGAGCTCAGGAGTTCAAGACCAGCCTGGGCAACATGGCAAAACCCCATCTCTACAAAAAATAAAAAAAAATAGCCTGGCATGGTGGTGTGCACCTGTAATCCCAGCTACTGAGGAGGCTGAGGTGGGAGGATTGCTGGAACCCAAGAGGCGGAGGTTGCAGTCAGCCAAGATTGTGCCACTGTAGTCCAGCCTGGGTGACTGAGTAGGACCCTGTCTCAAAAAATATAAAATAAAAAAAGAAAAGAAAAAGAACTAGGCTTAGAAAGAAGAGAGAAAATGAAAAATAGAGATAATACGGCCCATAGTGTGTCCTTGAGGTCTACTGATTTTCTAGTTCTAGCCCTTGTGTTGTATGAAATACTTGAATAGCCTTTTTCCCAGCTGCCATGTAAGAAGTGATAACTGAGATGTAAGAAGTCTGACTATGCAGAGACACCATGCTGTGAGGAAGCCCAAGCTGTGATGTGGTGAGGCCACTAGATAAGGCCTCCTGTATTCCATGAAATACTTGAATATTTTTTTCCAATAAATTCTTCATTTGCTTTCAAACCACTTTGAGAGACTTTTGTTCCCTGCAACCACTTGAATAAGGCCAATGGTTTCAAAAGAAGAGCAGGAAGGAACGTCATGTTGGAGAGGCAGGAAAACCTTCTTTTTTGCAGCATGAAGTTGCCTCTGTGGACTTCAGTTTCCTGATGGTGACTCAGCTCTACAACTTGAAAATGAGCAGTTAACAGGCTGTTTGTGCCAAGTAATTCTAGTGATAGATGTGCATTTTTTCTATAGCTTCCCACCATTATAGTCCACTTTGGAAGCTGAATTCTGATTCAAAAAGGAATGGAGGGCAAAAACCGTGTGTGCTCCTGAGAGAACAGTGCCAAATTCTCCACTTGCAAAATGGGACATTAATAATTGCCGCCTCATTCCACTGAGTCTATGATGAAAATTATTTCTTCAGTTTTTCAAATTTAATCACAGCTTTTGAAATTAAGGACATCTGAATATTGTGTGTGTATATACAGTATAATTAATGCTGTATTTCTGGGCTAAGAGCCCAGAAACTATTGTATATAAGTATACACAAATGTACCTTTACAGTTTGATAATATTTCATTTCCATGTAGGCAATTTTCTTCTTGAATAAATTACTTGATGGTTGTATTTTTTCATGAACCATCATGAGGAAAATTCCAGATTTCCAGATTTGCTCTCCAGTGTTTTGAATGTACAGCAACCTTGCCAATATGTGGCCTTGAACGTTCTGCACATGGCTAAGGATCTGTTGGATTACCATTCTCTATAGCTGCCCTTTTCCATACAGGAGCCACTAGCCACATGTGGCTACTGAGCAACCGTTAGTGGATTAAATCCAAATTCAAGTGTTCTGTAAGTGTAAAATACACACTTAATTTTGATGACTTAGTACCAAAAAAAAAAAAGAAAAGAAAATATCTAATAATTTCTACATTGACTACATGTTGAAATAATAGTATTTTGGATGTACTGGGTTAAATTAAAGATATTAATTTCACCCATTTCTTTATACTTTAAAAAATGTGGTTACTGAAATTTTTAAAATTACATATATGGCTCACTCTTGTGGCTTGCATTATGTTTCCAATTGACAGTGCTACTCTACGGAGCTGAATTCAACCTTTTGTGAGTCTCTCTGGGCCCCCAACCAATAGGGACGAGTAGCCTTAAAGTGCTAGCTTATTTCTTCTCAGGATTCCCAAAAACCAGGGAAAGCAGATAGAAGAATCAGGATGTGTCTGCCCTGGATGCTTCCATTTTTTTTTTTTTTTGGTCTCCTTCTTGACTCTTTGTGTCCTCTCTACCACCTAGTGCTACCTAAGTGGCCCGCCAAGAAAACCTACCCAACATGCACTTCCTGAAACATCTCCCTGAGCTCCAGAGTATTGTATTCTTTTTCTTTTTCACCTCCCCCAAAACTAACAACCCCTCAGTGTAGGAATCTCACATAGCTGTTATATGAAATATGGGCTTTAAAAAATTTCTCACAAGAGTATGTAAGATAAGCCTTTGTATTAGCCTGTTAAAGGTAAGGTTGAAAGGCTCTCCAATGGGACAACTTCTGGCCAAGTGTTCCAGTAGAAAGATGCATTTCCAGCAGTTGAGAGGGCAGTATTTTGGGGTAATGTGTTTAAACCAAACATTGTTAGCACATACCTATTCTGTAAATATACTAACCTTTTCCCTGCTAAAGGCATAGTTATGGGTCATACAATCAAAACGATGTGATCTCACGTTAATTTTCCCTAAAATAATCTCTACCAGCTTCCATAGAAGCCCCTTCTGCCCCTGTCCTCATATCCTTTTCCCTAATTAAAAGTCTATAATTTAGAAGGTGCCATTATCGACCAAATCGCTTCTGTTGTAAAACTATCGGCTGAGATGTTTCTAGCTGTCTTCCATTATTCATGACTCTCTCTCCTTTGAAGTAACTAACTTTTTTTTTTTTTTTTTGAGACGGAGTCTCACTCTGTTGCCCAGGCTGGAGTGCAGTGTCGCGATCTCTGCTCACTGCAAGCTCCGCCTCCCGGGTTCATGCCATTCTCCTGCCTCCGCCTCCCGAATAGCTGGGACTACAGGCGCCCGCCACCACGCCTGGCTAATTTTTTGTATTTTTAGTAGAGATGGGATTTCACCATGTTAGTCAGGATGGTCTCGATCTCCTGACCTCGTGATCCACCCGCCTCGGCCTCCCATTCACTCAGTCACTCACTTGTTCATTCATTCATTCATTTATTATTTATATACCATGCACTTTCTAAAAGTTCTTGAAGCTGTTTGGTACCCTTCATACACATGCAAACCTGTGCTTCCACTGTTGTGCTGTCAAACTGGGGGCCTCTAGTGAAGAAGGAAAATAATTCCACATGCACGCCAATCCTGTTCAAACGGACACCAGGCTAAGCCCTTTGGGAATTTTACACTCAGACCCAAGTGGAGAACTGGGCTTCTTAAAAAAGTCCCGTAAATCAATCCATAGTATATAAAAATTAGCCATGTCTAAAAGAGGTTTATTAAGCGATTTCCACAGCCACTGCATTAGATTTCAAGGAGTTTATGAGGATAAACAGATCTTTATTGAGAATCACCATTAACATGGTCATTAGCTTTCACATCATTAAATATCTCATTTCAAGGGCAATTATGTTGGATTTCACATTTATCAGAAAATAATTGCAGAAAAATGTGCCATACACACCATTTTTTCAGAGGCATCAGCAACACAAAAGGTGGAACTCAAAAGCAACATTTCCTTTTTGTGTATTATTTGAAACTTATGCCATGGCAATTTTGCAGGACTAATTCACAGATTGGCTTATTTAAGTCAGACGTTATATGAGCATCAAATTATCCAACTTCTCTATGATTCTTTTAACCTGTGCCAAGTTTGTTTTATATGGTGATTGATGGCTTACTATTGGGAGAGTCACTCCATTACAATAAGATTATTTGTAGATGAGTGGTGGACACACCCTCAGGTGACCCCCAATGAGTCCCATCCTTGTATAAGCCTCTCCCCTTGAGTGTCAGAGGAAACTGTCTTGCATCCAGCCAATAGAATATGGCAAAGGTGATGGGATGTCACTCCCTTGATTACACCATGTAAGACTCTGTCTTAGTGGACTGGCGTGAGAGACCCTGCCTTGCTGGTCTTGAAGAAGCTTCCAAGCTGTGGGACAGCCCCTGGCAAGGAACTGTGGGCAGTCTCAAGGACTGAGTGACCTCCGGATGACAGCTAGTAGGAAAACAAGGACCCTAGTCTTGCAGCTTCAAGGAACTGAATTCTACCAACAACCATGTGAGATTGGAAAAGGTCCTCGATCTCCATATGAGACTGCAGCCCAGCTGACAACTTGATTTCAGCCTCTTGAGGCCAGAGCTGAGAATCCAGCCATGCCATACCTAGATTCCTGGCCCATAGAAACTGTGAGATAATAAATGGCTGTGGCCAGGCATAGCTGACACCTGTAATCCCAGCAATTTGGGAGGCCGAGGCAGGAGTATCACTTGAGCTCAGGAGTTTGAGACCAGCCTGGCTAACATGGCAAAACCCTGTCTCTACAAAAAAATACAAAAATTAGCTGGGTACAGTGGTGTGTGTCTGTAGTTCTAGCTACTTGGGAAGCGGAGGCACGAGAATCTCTTGAACCCGGGAGGCGGTTGTTGCAGTAAGCCAAGATCGCGCCATTGCACTCCAGCCTGGGCAATGGCAATGAAACTTTGTTTAAAAAAAAAATAATAATAACAATAAAAAAAAATGGGTGTTATTTTGAGCCACTAAACTTGTGGTAGTTTGCTATATAGCACAGAAAACAGATACAATGGGTTTTTCATTCATGTCTGTGACACAATATTCATAAATTTATCTTTAAACTAGTTATTCTCAAACTCTATGAAAAATCAATTTTTTAATCTCCAATCTATCATGGAAAAATACTTCCATAAAATGAATTATTAGAAAAAACTAAATTTAAAAGGTGTACAAAATACAGGTCCATGGACCAATAGTCATAACATTTTTAAAAATGAGTTCTTGCAAAAATTTAGTAAAGACATACAAAACGCAAGCCTAAGAGTTTTATTAGATTTGATAGACAGTTACTCTGTTAAATTAGTGTAAAAGTCTTTAAACATTTATGCTCAATTTACATGTCTCCCTGAGGCTGGATAATAAACAGCTCACTGAAGAGTGGCCATCTACAGATCATCTATTTAAATGATACCAAATCAACTTATAAAAATAGCTGGTATTTATGGAGGTTTTATTATGCCCGGGACAGTGTCCAGTCATTCACATGAATTACCTTCTAGTAATGATCATCCCAACTCTGAACTTTATGAATTCTCCTATTTTATGTGTGAACAGACTAGGATTAATGGGATGAAGTAACTTACCCAACTTGGTCACACAGCTAGTAAGTACGGGAAGTTGTGACCCAAACCCAGAAATCTTAACTGCATAGCATGACACTGCAGAATCCCTTTATCCATGGTAATATTTGAGATAATACAATGCTCAAATTATGGTAAATATGGGATGAAATTAATTTCACCCTGGTCAAAATTTCCACAAAGTCCTACATAGGGAGATTTCTGTGCTTTTGTTCCCTAAAAATGAGACCCATCGCTTATACCAAACATGAACTAGAGAGAGATGAGGCATGTGGTGAGGTCTAGAAGGAAATGAACCGTGCTGTTGTTGATGTCTCTTCTCAGAGCGTGGTGGTTCTTAGTATAGTAGCAGAATCAGAGATGCGGAAGAGAGGAAAGCAGGTGTACCTTGGTGATATATGCTCCATTTACACTGGGTTGTGGATTTTACTTCCTTCACTGAAGTTTGTCAGAGGCTTGAGGGTAACAGTTTCCATCACAATCACTGGGGGGATTTTTGTAACTACCGATGTGTAGGCTCTGTCCCAAGAGATTCATAGTTTACTGGTCTGGAAGAGGCCTGGGAATCGGAAGTGTTTCCAAAGCTTCTTGGGTGATTCTAATGTGTAGCCAGGGTTGAGAACTGAAGTTTTAAGGAAGATAAGCATGGAACTAGGTACAGCTGAGTCATTTCTGCTGGATGTCCTCTTGCCCAGGGGTGGTGTGAAAGCCACAGGAGAACAGCCTTCTGCCCACTGCAGTCACCCATGGGGAATGCCCTATTGGGATTAGCGTGGCTCAGGTACCTCCATGTTATATGAAGCTCAGGAAAACATCCACCAGCCACTTTAATAGTCTCCAGCCTCTGTCATTTCAGACCCTCATTAGCTTAGGTTTCATCTACTTTGCAAAATATCATTCCATTGATTTTAGTGTTTTAGGTTATCATTTATGGCAAAATTAGAATTTCATTGTTATTCAGCCCCCATTTGTGGTTTTTGCTTATACCACAGGAGATACGTCCTAAGTATTAGAACTTTCCTAAGCATTTTAGTATTTTTACATTTAATTTACATTTTACATTTAACCAGCTTTGACCTGCATCACAAATCATTGAGATTTTGCATTTAAGAATTTTATATTTTTTCTTCCTATATCAGATTGGACGTAATAGTAGAGCTAGGGTTGGTGGAAACTGTAATCTTACAGCATGTTTGGTAGAATCCTAGTCTTGTGAGAAGTTCCTTGAAAAGAGAGTTTTCTAACTCCTTAGTACTCAACGTGTGGGGATGTATGAGCCAGAACATTGGCATCTCCTGGGAGCTTGGTAGAAACACAAAATCTCTGGTCCCACTGAAGACCTATTGAATCTGGATCTGCATTTAACTAGACTCCCAGGTAATTCTTATGTTTGTGTAGAAAGGGTTTAAGAAGCATTGAATGTTGAGAAACAACTGCAAATTGTGTTCCTTTTCCTGCAGTTGCATTATACACATTAGCATATGAAAGGTTCTGTTAAGTACAATGGTAAAGAAAATGGTTTATCCCAGATATTCCCAAAGGTATTTGACCATAGGGCAACAATTTTTTTAGGGTAGCACTTTTAAAAAGCCTTTTATTGGAGCGTGACATATATCAGAATAGTGCATATATTGTTGGGTAACCATTCTCCATGGGTCTCTCACCTTTCTGCACGCCTTGTAACCAGAGGCTCTGACTCCATTTGTTCTGAACTCTCTTCTCAAGGATGTTTGTATAGTGAACAGCCTTGGAAGACAGAGATAGGGTTTCCCTCCAGAACAAAAATCAGTCCAGTATAATAAAGCCATTCCAACACAATAGTGGTTCTCTCCAGGACAAAGGTCAGGCAGGCTTATTGCCTCTTTAGAAATATTTGGATTCCCTTCACTTTGTGTTCTTAAACTATGGCATAAACCCACTGCATGTGCAGTATTCAACTGGGCTCCTCTACATTGCCCCCATGGGACTTAGAGGGCAAGAGAAACTGATACAAATATGAAGCTCATGTTGTATGCTGTTCTCTGAATAAGAAAGTCCTTTTTCTCTGACCCAGGAGTCTCATGTCTTCTGTCAACATCCATGAAACTAGGGCAGGCTAACTTGTCAGATTACAAGTAGGGTCAAATCTGAGAACCTTCACAGTTCTTGATAATTATATAGGATTGATTTGATGGATCTTTGCAAACTGCATGTAACTGTGTAACAGGTTATCAGTTCAAGAAAGATAAAATTGCTAGTGCCCAGAAGGCCTCTTCACGACCCTTTCCAGTCACTACTCTCCCCAACTCATGTGGACTAACAATGACCTCCTATGTATGTAATGAGCTGTTTTCTAAACTGAGATCACTGAAGCTGACATTGATCAGTACCTAGTATGAGTCAGTCAACCCTCCGAATGACTTTATGTGTAGTAAATATTTTAATTCTCACAGCAACCGTCTGAGGTAGGAATTATTATACTCATCTTGCAGGTGATAAATTGAAGCACAGGAGAAACTAAGTGACTCGCCACAGGTCACAAAGCTAGAATTTGAACCCAGGTAATTTGACCTCAGAGCTTTTTTTTTTTTTTTTTTTTTGAGACGGAGTTTTGCTTTTGTCGCCCAGGCTCCAGGTTGGAGTGGAGTGGTGAGATTTTGGCTCCCTGCAACCTCCGCCTCCCAGGTTCAAGCGATTCTCCTGCCTCAGCCTCCCGAGTAGCTGGGACTACAGGCACCTGCCACCATGCCTGGCTAACTTATTTTTGTATTTTTAGTAGAGACAGGGTTTCACCATGTTGGCCAGGCTGGTCTCAAACTCCTGAGCTCAAGTGATCTGCCTGCCTCGGCCTCCCAAAATGCTGCAATTACAGGCATGAGTCACCATGCCCGGCCTTCCTCAGAGCTAACTTTAATTCTGTCACCACACTGGGCCCCATGCTCTGACACTGGCACAGAATATTTGCAACAGGCATAATCTCAGGAAGTCTGAGCATGAGTGGTTTTACAAACACAGGCAGGCCTCAAATAGAAATATGCTGTGTTCCAAGAATTTGTTTATAAACCAATCATTTTTCTTATGTCATAGAAAAGGTACTGGATACATCATCTGACAAATCTAGACTCCCATCCTGACTTGCATTTAGTAGCTGTGTGTCCTTGGACAAGACTTAACCTCTTTGGGCTTCAGTTTCCTCATTTGTAAAATAACAGAGGTGGACCAGAGGAGCATGCAAGCTTCTTCTGACTTTAAAGTTCTGTACTTTTATATCCAATATATATTCTCCACAGAATTAGCACTATCGATTCCAAGACTAGCACCAGAATATTTTTTTTGAGTAAAATGGTGCTGGAAATTTGAAAAAATACTCATACAAATATTTCCGTGGACTGGAACCTGATTTTATCACCTGTGACTTGGGCAAGTCATTTAATAGATGTGAAGCTCTTTTCACCCCGGCAAAACGAAAATAAATAATATTTGTTCTGTGGGGAATCATGAAACTTCAAACAAGTTATCTATCTATCTATGTATCATCTATCTATCTTTATGTTTTATAAGGTGATATGTATTATACACACAGGTATGTTATTTGTTTTTTATAACCTCATTCATCCATTTATCTATCCATCCATCCATCCATCTATTCATTCATTCATAAAGCATTTATTGAATGCCTGCCCACTTCTTGTCAGGTACTATGTGAATAGTGGAGGTATAACATTAGAATACAGTGTGATAGAGGGTCTGAGAAGGGCAAGTACAGGGTGCTCAAAATGGGTACCTAATCTAGTTGGGTGTGTTTTCTGTGGCAGAGAAGGGGAGGAGAAAGCAGGGAAAATTCCCCAAGGAGTTAATATAAAAGTTGAGACTTGCGGGACAATGTTGACCAGGCTGGTGGGAGTGGGGATAGAGCGTGGGAGGGAACACAGGACACAACATGGGCCAAGGCTGAGAGGTATAAGGAAGCGGAATTATTTGTAGTCAGTGTGGTCAATGCATTTGGACTTCTCAGAGCCACATTTCACACAGCAAGTGTAGGGGTAGTGTAGACGGCTCCAATTATGGGATGGTGCAAACAGCTGTAGTTTGCAAACTTTCAACCTATGCTTAGAAAAGGATCCTTTCTTAAGCAGGATCCTTTCTTCTTCCTCCAAATTGGGGGAATTGGGGGAGAGATCCCTGGAGCAAGTCCTGGCTTCTTTTGAATCCCTCTGAGAATTACTTTTTCGTCAGAGGTTACATATATAGTTATCAGCCCAGGATGCCCTAAACTCCACATTGGCCTGTGGCTTCATTCCTCACCTTGCACCTCTCTCCCCACTTTCCTTCTTCCAGCCAAGAGGGCATGGAGGCTGGAGATGGAGGCTGGAGACTGAGGCCGTGTTTGGGGGTATACTTTCCTCTTCAAGGCTGGCTGACTTTAATCCGACTGCTCCTGGGTTAAGATTCTGGGAGGTGCTTCTCTTTCTTCCCTTTCCCTCCCTCTCCTCTCAGCCTCCCACTGCCCCGTCCTGATCCTGCCCTGGGCCCAACCTGTTCTAGGAGTCTCAAAGACATGCCCTGTTTCTCCAGAGCTCATGCAGAGGCTGCTGAGGCCAGAAATCTCTCAGATTCCTTTTGCTCCAGCCTCTGGTTTTTTAACGAGCAATTGCCTGGGAGGAACTCTGAGGGAGGCTTTCTGCTGAAGAAGGGAAGTGCTTTCAGTTTCGGCGTTTTCATCTGGAGTTCAGCAGGGCCTCCCGCAGCCTTTCCAACCAGACCAGGCACATGCAGAGTGGGGAGATGGCGTCACCCAGAACACCTCTAATTTTCCTTATCCAAATGATTTCTGTGACTCAGAAATCGTTGGCTGATGCAAAGCCAGGGAGCTGGGAGCTCCTTTCAAACTGGTGGAAAGACTTTCGATGCATGGGAATTGGCTTTCCTGGGCACCAAGTCTCTGGGGCCCCAGTTTGTTTTCACAGCTGCCTTCTGGTGGAGGGGAGAATGTATTAATATCATGATTACTTGCTCCCTGCCAGCAAGCACTGCCTGGCAGGTTGTAGGCCCCTGAATGTTTTGGTAGAGAAGGGAAAATGCGGTCAAAGAAGCTCAGGGCCTGGGTGCTGTCATTATCCTCTTTCAGGATTTAGGTCAGTATACCACGATGCATTTAATGCATCTGTTTTTTTTTTTTTTTTTTAATTGAGACAGAGTCTTGCTCTGTCACCCAGGCTGGAGTGCAGTGGCGCAATCTCGGCTCACCACAATCTCCGTCTCCTGGGTTCAAACAATTCTCTGCCTCAGCCTCCCAGGTAGCTGGGATTACAGGTGCCCACCACCGGCTAATTTTTTTTTTTTTTTTTAAGTTGAGACGGGGTTTCACCATCTTGGCCAGACTTGTCTTGAACTCCTGACCTTGTGATCCACCCGCCTCAGCCTCCCAAAGTGCTGGGATTATAGGCATCAGCCACCGCACCTGGCCCACATCTATATTTTCAAGCAAAAATGATTTCCCCTTTCAGTTGGAGAATTTTCATTCTTAATAGTTACTGCCTATCTTTCTCAAAAATTCCTGTGTCAATTTTGGAAAACATTAATTTTTTGGATAATGGGGACAGCCTTACATTTAACAGTTGCTTGGCCTTTAATCACCAATGGAAGGGGGAGAAATTATAGAATTTTAAAAAATGGTTGTGTTGGAAGAAGATCTTTTAAGCAGTCAAAGCAGGTGGTAGCATGTGGCAAAGGGGTGGCACTGATGGGAGAAGCATTTATTTATTTACTTATTTTTGCCATTTTACAATGAATTTACTAATTTGGGTTAGTAGGTGACTCATAAAATAGCCCTGTATGTGTTGTATAAAATAGAAGTGAGATAATGTCCCTTTTCTACTTAAAAGCCTGCAATGATGATAGTAGCCCTATTCACAATAGCTAAAAGTGGAAACAACCCAAATGACCTTTAAATGGTGAATGAATAAACAAATTATGGCATATGCATACAACAGAATATTGCTCAGCCATAAAAAGAAATAAGGTACAAATGCATCTCCAAAATATGATGCTAAGTGAAACTAGTCAGTCGCAAAAGTCACATATTATATGATTCCATTTATATGAAGTGTCCAGAAGAGGGAAATCCATAGAGACAGAAAGCAAACTGTGGTTGGCAGGGGCCACGGGGAGGGGATGATGGGGAATGACTGCCAATGGGTATGGGAATATCCCTTTGAGGTGATGAAAATGTTCTAGAACTAAATAGAGGTGTCGGTTGCACAACGCTATGAATACACTAAAAATGCCACTGAATTGTTCACTTTAAAATGGTTAATTTTATGATGTGTGAATTTCACCTCAGTAAAAAATAATAATTAAGTAAGATCTGCAATGGTTCCCTATTTCTCCAAGAGTAGAAGCCAAATCCTTACAGAGGCCTCCTATAGGAGATGGCCCTGTTACCTTCTGGCCTCGTCCTCTCCTCTTCCCACGACTGTCTCACTGAGCACCATGGCCTCCATCAGTTCCTCCTAATGCTAGGCATGCTCCCACTCCCAAACCCCCTTTGCACTGGCTGTCCTGTCTGCCTGGAAGACACTTCTCTCCAGTGCCCACATGACTCTTTTAGTCTTTGCTTACATGTCAGTGTCCAAGGAGGCCTGTCCTCACCACTCTTATTTCCAATCACACCCGTCCCCAAGTATCATTCCCTTTATTCTGCTCTGCTTGACTTATTTCCTTCTAACAAACTATGTCTTTTTACTTATTTATTCTGTTTATTCTCTTTCTCCTTCTCCTTCCTCTAACCATTGGAATGTAGCTCCACCACCAAAAAAAGAATTTTAATATGTTTCTGTATTCTAGGCTTAATTTGTATTGATTTTTTAAAAATGTCTACAAAATCAAATAACAAAGAATTACACATTCAAACAGATTCAATTAAGTGGATTCTGAAAGAAATATCTGTAGAAAATGAAGTCTCAAATCTCATAGTAAAGCATCTTCATAGCTTTTTATTCTCTGCTAATGTTTATATTTCATGGAGGCATAAAATCATTCAGGCTGAAGTTAAAACATCTTTCTTTTATCACAAGTAGCTTGAGTTTTGAACCCGGAGGAGGCACTCTGGGTTGAAAGTTATTCATTATAGAAAATGGTTGAACTATAAAATGTCTTCTACTGGGAGAAGGTCGGCTTATTTGGGTTGCTACAGCTTTATTGAGGGTGGGGCAGGGAAGAATATAAAAATTTCTTTCTGCTGTTGCATTTGTTTATCAAATTTGTGCAAGGCCTTGTTGATCATGGGAAGCATAAAGAACACAGATACTATATTCACGTTTAAAGTAAGACAACGGAATCTATCACAAGGGTAGTGAAAGTCTAAAAAAAAAAGGGGGAACAGAGAGAAAAGAAAGGGCAAGTATTTAGAAATAGATAGCAGCCTGAAATATTTTTGTACACGCACAGGAAGTTGCTTTCAGAAAGCCAGGCCACAAGACTCTTGCACACAAACCTTGCACAAGGAGCTCTAGGATTAGAAAATAGCATCATGAGCTGAAAGTGATTACATTTTGCAGATGGGTGTCTCTATTAATTTGGATCTATACTGTGGCTAGAGATCCTGCTGTCTGACGCAAAAGCAAAGGATGTAAAAGCCAAAAAAAAAAAAAAAAATGCTGTAACCCTTCTCTTAATATTGGCATTAAAGCTGAAAATATGCCTCTGTTTATCCAAAGCATAAGGAAGTTGTATATCATAGTAGCAGAATGTATCAGGTATCTAAGATTGAGTGCAGAATTCCGATAAGAGAGCTCTTGAGCACAGAGTTTCAGCTTTGGGCAAGGAAGAATTTCCCTGTGTCATTTTGTTTAGGGAAATGTTTCCCGAATAATACACATTTCATTTTTCTGGCATGGACTTGGACTCATGTGGATTCCATTTGAGGAAAGAAAAGCTCAAGAAGCAGAGGGGTGGTGGGATTTTTTTGTGACTGCTGCAATTTCAGAGAATGCAAAACTAGTGTGACCCACTAATGGTGACTGTTGTGCTGTAGAATGTTCTGTTCATAGCCACAGGGGAAACCACTGCGATTCTGAGGCAGAACTGGCTAGTTCAGGAGCCAGCAAAGACACTAGAGTTAAAACCCACGTGCCTACCTTTGTCTTGTAACAAATAGCAAAATTTTGCCTGATGTTGGAAGAAATATTCCTTTTCTTAATCTGGTGTAAAGCAAGTACATGTGAATGTTTCCCTTGATTAACTTAAGCTCCCTCAAATGACAGGTGCATTTGTGTTTTTGCGAAGAGTTGGAAGGTGGATTGGTGGTGAGGTGAGACAGGCATCATCATCGTTTAGGATTTTTCACGTGTCCTTGGGGCATAAACCAAGCTAAAGATATCCAAAAAAGCCAATTCCTCTTAGAGCTCTCACAGTGTAGCGTGAAACCTGCCTAGGAGACTCCAGTGGTTCTGAATCGGAAGGCAAATTGGCAGGGGGTACATTTTTGGTTATCAGGATTGGAGGCGGGAAAGGGGCAGTGAAAAGGCTGCTCTTGTCATGGAGTGGGTAGATGCCAGGGCGGCTGCTAACCATGCCACCATGCACAGGACAACTCCCCTAATACAGAATTGTCCAACCAAAAGTGTCACTAGTGCCGAGGCTGAGAAATCCTCATCCTAACACATGCCCTAAACAATAAATCCATTTTAAACATTCCCCAGTTGGTGAAATTAACCAGAACGATAGTCTGATAAAACAAAAAACAAGTAACCCAGTAAGTAATATTTCCTCCTTCCTCTTTCCCATTTCACAGAAAATCGTTGAATAAATGCAAGCAGGATATTTTTAAGAGAACAATTCTGTAAGCAATCTCCTTAAATATGTTTCACTTCAATTTCTGCCATTATCTAGAGGCTATATGCCCAGTACAATTATTGAAATCACTGTAACAGTAAAAATTTATAGCCGTATTAGTGTATTTTGGCTAAGTTGAAATGGCAGATGAGGGTAAAACACAAAAATCCTTTAAAAAAAGATAGCTTATTTGATTGCTGCACCAGTTTAAGAAAAAAGGCTAGAATTTATGTTAAAACTGTCTTTAGGGCCCAGCATGGTGGCTCATGCCTGTAATCCCAGCACTTTGGGAGGCCAAGACGGGTAGATTACTTGAGGTCAGGAGTTCCAGACCAGCCTGGACAACATGGTGAAACCCAGTCTCTACTAAAAATACAAAAAAAATTAGCCAGGCATGGTTGGGGAAAACCTGTAGTCCCAGCTACTTGGGAGGCTGAGGTGGGAGAATCGCTTGAATCCCAGAGGTGGAGGTTGCAGTGGGCCGAGATCATGCCATTGCTCTCCAGCCCAGACAACAGAGTGAGACTGATATGGTTCTGATGAGTGGAGGAACACCAGGGTTCTTGGTCCTCATGCCGGTTTAGATAAAACAACATGGACACACATGGAGTGGTTTTAAGGAGCGGAGAATTTAATAGGCAAGAAAGAAGGGAGAAGAAAGAAGGAAGAAGTTCCTCTGTACAGAGACAGAGGGAGGGGGTCTCCAAATCCAAGAGAGGAGGCCCCATGTGCTGAGGATACCAGCCAGTTTTATGAGGAGGCTGGAGGAGGCAGTGTCTGATTTGCACAGGGCTCAGGGGATTGGTTTGACCAGGCTTGTCATTCATGTAGCCTGCGAAAAAATTGGCCCCCCACCCTAGCTTTTAATATGCAAATGCAGGGCACCATGACGTTCTACACACGTGGGGATATGTGGGGGTGCCCATGTTGCCAGGCACATGTCCGGGGTAAGGGCAAGAGGACAACGGTGGGAATCGCCATGTTGGGTGGACCCAGTTTCTAATGGCCTGCATTTGCATATCAAAGGTTGCCGGCCTGGGTCTAGGAGCCAGAGTTTTTCTGCTAGACAAGAAATGTTTCTGGAGTTGCTTTGAAAAGAAATGAAAACTTTCCAAGGACCCCTTTTCCTCTATCTGCCTAAAATAATTTTTTAATAACTCCTACCACAAGACTTTGTCTCAAAACAAAAACAAAAACAAAAACAAACAAAAAAACCTGGATGCAGTTTAGATCTTTAGATGCAGGACAATAAGTGACTTACATAAAAATTCAAGCCCAAGAAAGCAATGCGTGTTTCAGTACTCCTGAGCTTGTATCTCTTTTAATTTATTGGCCAGAAGAGGAAACAGCTTCAGCTACTCTTCCTAGTTGGGAAACTTAATATGAAAACCTAATATGAAGCCCAAGATCCTTAGAGAATGTTAATACAGAAAGTCCTGCCCATGGCTTGAAAATTTTTGTGCAAATAGCATTAATTGGGGTAATCAGGAGGTTTGGGATTTTAGGACAATTGGTGTCACCACTTATCTGTGTGGCCTTGGCCTTCAGTTTCCTTATCTGCAAAACAAAGCCTATGATTTCCAAAGTCACTTTCAACTAAAGAAACAATGGTTCAAAAATAGTCAAATACAGGCTGACCTTGAGATTTCTACCAAGCCATCAAATGTCTCTAGTAATTTTTACCGATTTGGAAGTAAAGTGATAGCTCATGAAACTGGGAATTTGTTCTTTAACCAGTAGAGAAAATAATATTTATTAGTATCTGCTTTAGAAGGATTGCAAATAGTTAATACCCTCTTTCCTTCATCAGAATAAATGAATCCAGGACCTCTATGATAAAGAATTTATTTTTTCTCCCACATCCAAATCTATTTATTATTCTGTGATATTTGGAGTTGAGTATTTAGATCATTTTAGGTCATTCTATGTCAATTTAGCCTTGCAGAACCCCCTGAGACAATAGTACTTCTATCTTAATATTAGTGCGAATGTTAATTTTTTTTTTTTTTTTTCCTGAGTTGGAGTTTCACTCTTGTTGCCCAGGCTGGAGTGCAATGGCGTGATCTCGTTTCACCGCAACCTCCGCCTCCTGGGTTCAAGCGATTCTCCTGCCTCAGTCTCCCGAGTAGCTGGAATTACAGGCATACACCACCACGTTCGGCCAATTTTGTATTTTTAGTAGAGATGGGGCTTTTCCATGTTGGTCAGGCTGGTCTTGAACTCCCGACCTCAGGTGATCCACCTGCCTCGGCCTCCCAAGAATGTTAATGTTAATTTAGAATTTCCCAAGCAAATCTGTATACAACAGAAATTGCCTGGCAGCATGGCATATCAGCATCTAGTGTACTCTCTCTGAGAGGCTCTTGAAAGCTGAAAACTGGAGAAAACACAGGGCAGGAGCACAGAACATGGGCAAACAGCATCACTACATGTTTTCTCCTTTACAGGAAATCTCTTGCCGGAAGCCGTGCCACAGAGCACACAGGCAGTTTGCAGAGAAGGATGCAACCCACACCATGTCCGAAGCGGGCTCTGGGGAAGGCAAGGTTTGATTGTTTCTCAGGTTGTTTTACTGCCCTGCCCACACCCTCCCACCCAGAGAAGTTATTCCTTCTGCAGCTGTGTGCGATTTTTTCAGAAAGAGTTTTAGTCTTTGTTTTTCCCAAGACTTTGTATTGCCTTTTCTCCTCTTCTTGGGCTTGAGTTTAGATGGGACATAACAGGAAAGGGCAATGAATCCCAAACCCATTTTATTTTTTGGTTCATTTGTTGATTTATTTTTATCTCAGCAATAATTTAGTGAGAAAGAAGGTTAATATGATGACAAAAATATGGGTTTGGAAGACCCTTAGTGAGTTTTAAGAAGACAGGCCACCATAGCAGCTGTAGCTAAATAAGCATTTGCTGTATAAGTCAATTACTAAAAATTGTGTGTTGTCTACTTAGAAATGTTTCTTGGGGTGTTTATTAAGGTGTGTGACTTTGAGAATGAGGAATAGAGGAAATGGAAGACGAGTAAGAGAAACCATCCTCCATTTGAGATATCGTGACCCAGCTCTGTTTCCTTTGCTCTCTGTCTGAAGTTAAAAAAAACAAAAACAAAAACAAAACAAAACAAAACAAAAATTAAAAACCCTCAATGGAGAAATATATAAATATTTACAAAGGCTTCTCTTCTATCTACAATACCTTTGTGCAAGATATATCATCTTAAAATCTTGCAATTTGATTGCAGTTGAAATTAATGGTGCAAGAGGTTTTCTTTTTTGTTTGCTTTTTTCTTCATAACGGAAGTGTAATCTCCTTGCAAAGCTTGTGAGCATGCATCCTAAATTGTGAACTTCATCTGCCATGGAAGGGAAAACCTTGACCCAATACCATTGGGATCTAAAAGTGTGATTCCTAGGATTCTGAGCATACTACACGAGATTTAAGGCCCCTTTCAGACTCTGCATTAATGCTTGTTCAGTAGTGATAAATAACATTGATTGGTATTGAGACCAGATTAATAACAGAAGGCAGCTAAAAGGTATTCCCTCTTAGCCTAATTTCCCAAAGGGCATCACTCAGCTGCATTAGTGGGGCGAGGCTCTTCCTTCTCTAAGTGGTGTCTTTAGAAGCTTGAGGGATTATTGCTCAGGGGAAAATGGCTCAATCTGCGGGATTCTTTTTCTTTTTGAGATGGAGTTTTGCTCTTGTTGCCCAGGCTGGAGTGCAATGGCACAATCTCGGCTCACCACAGCCTTCGCCTCCTGGGTTCAAGAGATTCTCCTGTCTCAGCCTCCTGAGTAGCTGGGATTACAGGTGTGCACCACCACGCCCAGCTAATTTTGTATTTTTAGTAGAGATGGGGTTTCTCCATGTTGGTTAGGCTGGTCTCGAACTCCCGACCTCAGGTGATCCACCCGCCTCAGCCTCCCAAAGTGCTGAGAGGGATTCTTAAGAGCAGCTGAGAAAGGGCCCTGCACTTCAGCTGGCTCCAGTTTGTCATCCTTTGTCTGGTATCTTCAGACAAGACATTGCAATAAGAAAAAATAAATACAGTGTGAGAAATCAAATGGTTTTTGTCAAAGTGTAAAAGGGACTGCATCTGACTAACACTGGAGTTGGACAGAAGCCATAAAGGATGTTTTGTGTGAATGTTTCCGGCTGCAAAATCTACCTGACTGTTGCACTGAAACCACAACTATCTATCACATGCTTGTGAGAAACCCCCAGGAGCTTCCTGTTTCGTGTGGGTCGTGAGAAG
Organism: Homo sapiens; assembly: GCF_000001405.40. NCBI lineage: Eukaryota > Metazoa > Chordata > Mammalia > Primates > Hominidae > Homo > Homo sapiens. Next base: position 13,087,507 of record NC_000023.11, read on the forward strand.
ATTGCACAGCACAGTACAGCTTTCATTGTCTTTGAGCTAATCTTAAGCTAGGAGAAGGAAGGAGAATTCACATTTTGTATGTTTAGTTATTTGTGAAGTCTTTACACCCATAAATCGATTATGTATAAATTAGTATACAGATTCACTACCATGGAGAGGATACTGTGTACATCTGAGGATACTGTGTACATATGGTTGAGTCACTTCACCTAGGCCTTGGGGAGGAGTTGGGGCATCTCCAGGGTAAAGTAATGTGGTTTAGCACGGGGACTTCCAAGGAAGCATCAGTATGAGATAGGGGAACATGGCTGACCAACGGCAAGATGATGCCCCATGATGGAGCAGATGGGATTGGCGTGGGAGGGGTAGTTTGTGAGACCAGAAGACTTGCAATCTCTCCTGCTGAGACCAATACCAACCAAAGAATAATTAGAGAGCATGGAGGACAACATGATCTCATGTGAATCTCACATCATACCTTACAAGTTAACTCTGTGTATCGCCTAAGGAACGGCTGAAGCTTCTTTTCTTGTAAATGACAATAGACACATATCCAGTGCCATTAAGGACAGCATCTGGTCACCCAGTGGCCAATAATGTCAAAGTTCTGATCACAAGGTGAGCAGTTTCCTGAAGATAGAAGAGTACGATGGCCACAGCCATGGGTTCCAACATAGCCACTCTCTGGGGCCACCAGACACCCTCCTCACACTCCGCAGAGTTTGCTTAAATGTGCTCTGAGCTGGATGCATTTGCTAAAGGTTTGTCTCTTCCCCTTTGTTAACCCAAGAAAACAGAAGGACGTCTCAGCTAGACCCCAGCCGCTGCCACCCCATCTCTTCTCCAACTCTGCTCCGGCAGCTGGCGTTTCCTGTGTTCTCTCAGTGGGTTAAGAGAATGGTGGTGGCACATTGTCCCTTAATTAGACTGCAAGAGCAGCCATCTCCTGCTCAACTTGCCTGGGCAATCTTTTTATTCATCATACCTGAAAGTAACAGTAGTGGCTTTTTGTATGGCATATGTTATATGTAATCATGATGACCTTCTTATAAGCAGAAGAGTGGAAAAAATACAGGAGGAACTTAGAACTGACATTCTCACTTCCATCATGTGGATTAGACTATTAGCATGTTGCTGTGCCCCCATTTCATGTTATTAATTAATTAATTAGGGATCAGGTTGGGCGTGGTAGCTCACATTTGTAATCCCAACATTTTGAGAGACCAAGGCAGGAGGATCACTTGAGCCCAGGAGTTCAAGACAGCCGGGGCAACATAGCTAGATGCCACTGTTTCCATAAAAAATAAAAAATAAATTCAGGCATGGTGGTATGTGCTTGTGGTCCCAGCTACTTGGGAGGCTGAGGTGGGAGGATTGCTTGAACCTGGGAGGTCAAGGCTGTAGTGAGCTGTGATCGCACCACTGTACTCCAGCCTGGGCAACAGAGCAAGACCCCGTCACAAAACACACAAAAAAGGATCAGCAAGCTTAGGTGAAATATTATTTTCGTAAGTGAATTTTTCATTATGAAAAGTTCAATAAATTTTTCATAAAACAGTATTTTTTATAAAACAATATTTAATTTTCAAAAGCAATATTTAATAACTAAGAAATTTGAACAATATAGGAAAGCACAATGATAAAAAACAAACCCCACAAAACCCTTATGGACTTCATTCTCAGCCAAAATTGCAGTTAATATTTTGATGTATTCCCTTCCAGTATTTTTTTTTCTCTGCTTCTACATATATTGGTAAACACTGTCCCTCTTTTTACAAACCTAGATCATTCTGGATATTCAATTGCGTATCCTACCTTTTTTCATGTTATGTAGCATTTTAGCCTCATTTCCCCATTCTCTTATAACATGATTTTTTTTTTTTTTTTTTGAGACGGAGACTCGTTCTGTTACCCAGGCTGGAGTGCAGTGGCACAATCTCGGCTCACTGCAACCTCCGCCTGCCAGGTTCAAACAATTCTCCTGCCTCAGCCTCCCGAGTAGCTGGGACCACAGGCATGTGCCACCATGCCCGGCTAATTTTTTTTTTGTATTTTTAGTAGAGACAGGGTTTCACCGTGCTGGCCAGGCTGGTCTCAAACTCCTGACCTCGTGATCTGCCCACCTCGGCCTCCCAAAGTGCTGGGATTACAGGCGTGAGCCTCCGTGCCCGGTCATAACATGATTATTAATGGCTATGTTCATTTTAAGAATATGCCATATTTTTTTTTCTAATTGTTGTTGAGGGATATTTAAGAGGTATAGAATTTTTCTCCATGGTAAACAACATCGCAATGAATATATCTGTCCATAGATTTTTAGACTATATCTCTGATTACTGACCAAACATGTGATCCTTGAATTAAATTTTTCAACATCAACAGATCTAAATATTTTTATGGCTGTTGATGCATATTGTCAGCCTGACCTTGAAAATGACTACACCAATTTATAGTCACAATCAGATTGTTAAAATTTTTATTATCAGACAATCCTTGGTACCGAGGACTGATAGTGACAGTGCAGTGTCTTAAGTGACAGTGAAAAGCATAGACCAGCTTCATATACGGAATTTAAAGATCCAAGAGAAAAACTGATCAGATATTGAACTAAGGGTGCTTCCCAGGGTTGTTCTAGAAGGAAATGGCCATTTTGGCAGAGCCACTGACCTTTAACAAAGATACCAGAATGAGTTGAATGCTCATTCTGCTTGAGCATGAAAAAGACATATACTTCATCCAGAATTTCCCTTCTATCCCCCAGATCCACACTTCTCTATTCAAGTCAGGGTTTGTGACAGGGTAGCCTAACAGGGTTTGAGGTTTCCATAAGGGGAGGGCTCATACGTATGAGTTTAGTTCTTGCAAAAAGGAAAGCGTAGAAGTTGACCTTTGAGGTCATTTCGTGCACAACATGCAGTAGGCAACGAGAGGTGAACCAACCTTCGTTCTTTTCTGCTTCTGGCCAGAGCTGACTCCGTCATTGTCTGTTTTCCCACTGATTATAATAATATCCGTTGGCTTCCAAAGGGTAGTTGGGGTTGAATTCCTGTTTATCAAAGGCTTGGAAGAGAGGCCCTCTGATAGCCTGTGCAAATGACTGGTAGGAAAGTACAGCTGTGGCCTTGGCGGGCCACATTGTCTGTCTCAGATGGCTATCAAATGAAGCCTTGGGTTGCCTCTAATGTAACAAAGCTAGAGTTAACAGTCTTCATCCTTACAGAGCTCTTGGGCTGATTGTGCAAGAGATTCATGATCTGATCACAAGAGCAAAAAGAACGCCTGTGTTGCAGATAACAAAGAATTACACAAGGCCTGAAACAAACCCCAATGTTTTAAAACACTTGGTGGAAATTTAAGTTGCAAAGCATTTTATCATCTCAGGCCATCTCTTACAGGGGCCAGCTGAAGCTACCCGTACACATCGTTTTACAAGCCCTGGGCTGTCAATGGGTCTTTTAAAACCAGCTGAACTGCGTTTTGCTTTTCAGTGTGTAAGCTGGTCAGCTTACAGCAGTACAAATTGGCAGCGTGGCAAGAAAGAAAACTGAAATTCAATCCAACACTGGGATTGGAAGCTCTTGAGACTCAAATGTCACCAACACCGGGGGCTTCTCCTCTAATTATCCTGTCAAACGAGGGTTGAAAATGTCAGCACAGACTTCAGTCTCAGCTCCTCCAGCAACCAATGAGAGTGGGCTTGGGTCTGGTTTAAATGATGAAGAACAAATTTGAAAAACCCTTCAGTTGATTTCAAGACTTCCTGGGACGGCGATGTTTAAACCACAATGTTCTTCTTTTGGGGCAAAGTTAAGAGCCAATCACAGTTAAGGTTTCTCTGCATGTTCTGCCCATATTTGGCTGTAATCTTGCTTCATCCAACTAAATTTATAATATATGTGAGTGAAAAGCAAGCCTTTGGGATTTGTCTCTCTCTCTCTTTCCTTGTTATAAAGGAAGCCTTATCTTTATGCATTTGGGGCTACCTGTGAACTTACAGTCTAGCTTCAAAGCAAAGAAAGGAGCAGCCAGTGTAGAAAACTTCGTTTTTACTTTTTTTTTTTTTTTTAAACAAGCTTTAACTGTAGCTTCTGGCTACAGGAAAGTACATAGAAAACCGAATCTAGTTTCGGCCTGTGCAGTACTGACCAGGAGAGGCTTATGAGATTATGGGGATATTGAAGAACACAGAATGTCACATGGATGATTGTATTTTATCTATAATGTATGTGTAGGAGAGATCCATTTCTCAGAGATGGCAAGAACTAAATGCACCCTTTGAAATATCTTCTTAGGGGTTGCTTGAGGAGGATGATCAAATCTTACAGAGAGATAAGACACAAATATGATAAAAGTTATTCTCATTTTAAGTGACTATTTATTGACCACTTGATATGTATCATCCATTTCATTCTCACCACAATCCTATGAAGGAGATTCAATTCTATCCACATTTTGCAGTGAAGAAACTGTGGCAGTGCATGTAACTTGCCCCAGGTGCCTGAGCTTATAAGGAGTGGAACTAAGAATCCACTCTGAACAGTCAGCTGCCAAAGCCCCTCACTCTTAGCCTCTTTGCTCTACTCCACTGAGATGTTCTCTTGGGTTTACTACCAAGAACAGAGGCTGTAAGTAGTATAGAATGCCCCCGGGGACCCCAGTGTCCAAGACACCAACTTCCACTGCCTCTCAGGACCCTAAGGAAAGAAAACTGAGAGGTTGTTCAGCTTGTCTCAGGTCCAGAACTGTCTGGTCAGAGGGGATCCTGGGATCCACCAGTTGAGCCCTTCATTCAGGGCCCCAGTTATTCCTAGTCTTGGGAAACCCAGCTCTAGAAGCCCCTCCCCAGCAGGATTGAGGACAAAGGGGCTAGACTAGAGACCCAGCAACATGGCCCTTCCATGTTCTCAAAACTCAAGAGACCTAGAAAAGAGAAGGGTGGCAAAGCAGCCCAGCCCCACCCCCCAGGGCCAGAGAGGCCCCACTTCACTCTGTAGAGCAGTGGGATTCATCTGGGTGCCATTTGGCCCTCCAGGAGATGTTTGGCAATGTTTAGAGACATTTTAGGTTGCCACAGCTGGGTTGGGGAGGCGAGGGTGCTACTGGCATCTAGTGGGTAGAGGCCAGGGATGCTGTTAAATATCCTACAACGCACAGCACAGCTCCTGCCACAAAGTGCTGCGGTGAGAAGCCCTGCCCTCAAGTCTTGGTTGGGCACATTCCACCCACAGCTCTGAGGAAGCTCCGTCTGGGGCTTCTTCAAAGAGTCATTCTGCAACCAGGAAGCTGGCAGCCCATACAACTATGCAGAAGGTGAAAGAGAGAAGGCGGGACCATGAACACGCGTTTTAATTACTGCATGTTTGTTTCTGACAGAGAGAGGTCAGTGTTTGCCTCCATTTGCAGGCATCAGGACCAAGGTGGGCAGTGGGCAGTGAGGGGGCAGGGGTGGAGGGCGGCACTAGCTCTGTGTAGCAGGCTGAATAATGGCTTCTAAAGATAGCAGATCCTGATCCCGGTAGCCTTCTATGAAAAAAGGTGGTCTTTGCAGATGTCATTAAGTGAAGAATCTTGAGATGGGGAGATTATCCTGTATCATCTGAGTGGGTCCTAAATGTAATCACACGTATTCTTGAGAGAAGGAGGCAGAGGGAGATCTACGTGCACATGGAAAAGGTGATGTAACAACAGCAGAAATTGGGGTGATGAGGCCACAAGCCAAGGAATATGGATGGCCACTAGAAGCTGGAAAAGGCAAGGATCAGATACTCCCCTAGAGCTTCCTGGGGGAACGTGGCCCTGCCCACACCTTGATTTGGGCCTAGCGAGACTGATTTCAAAATTCTGGCCGCCAGAACTGTGAGAGAATAAACTGTTGTCTTAAGCCACCAAGTTGGTGGTCATTTGTTACTGCAGCCATAGGAGACTAATCTACCCTGAGACTCCTGGGGCCCCCAGATGGATCCTCTGAGGCTGAGGGGCAAACTCTTCCATGCAGGCAAAGCCAGAAAAAGGGGAATGGAAATTTCCTTTGCACTTTCCTTGATACATTTACATTTCCCATCCCACCCTTTAAGCACCCTTTCCTGTGAAAACATGGCACCTGCCCCCTCACCGGCCTCTATCAGTCAACAATTCAACTGAATGTCGGGCAAAGCATATGACACCCCCAGTGCTTGGTTCAAACCTGTTTGAGTCACCTGTCACTTTCTACCTTGAATTTTTGTCACCAATGTACATGCAGTAACTTCTATACTAGACTGTGACTCAGACGCTCACAATCACACTCAAACACAGTCTAGTGTTTTTCACAGCCTGGTATAGAAGGTACTGCCTGTACATCAGAACAGGGGAGCAGGAGCCTGATCTGATTTATTATGAAGTCTCCCAAGGCCTCCAGCGCACAGTATCAGGCACACAGGAAACAATCAATGATTAATGTGTGCTTCCTCCATCCTATGAGAAATATTACTTAGGTCTCTTTATGACGAGTGGCCAAAAAGCACAAAGCCGAATCTGATGCTTATTAATAGTAATCCCATACTTGCTGTAAGCCCTGCAACAACTATCATTATCCATGTTTTGTTTTTCAATGGAGGTATAATTTACATACAGTAACATGCACACATCTTAAGTGTATAGCTTGATGAATTTTTACCTAAATATACCTCCTGGAAACCACTGACCACACAAACATCTATGTCTTTCCATCACTCTAGAAAGCTTCCTTTTTCCCTTTTCCTAGTCAATTAACCCCCATGCCCCTCACACTCCAGTGAACCACTATTCTGACTTCTACTCCCATAAACTAGGTTTGCTTGTTTGTGAACTTCATATAAATGAAATTGTACAGAATGTACTCTTGCATCTGGCTTCTTTCTCTTAACATAATGTTTTTGAGATTTATCCAGGTGATTGTATCAGTTTATTCTTTCTTTTTTTAATCTGCTGTGTATTATTCCATTGTAAGAATATGCCATAATTTGTTTATCCATTCTTCTATTGATGGACATTTGGATCATTTCCAGTTTGGGCATATTGTGAATAAAGCTGCTATGAATACTGGTGTATTTTATGGACCTGTGCTTTCACTCCTCCTGGCTATGTACTTAGGAGTAAAATTGCTGGGCTGTAGAGAAGGCATCTGTTTAACTTAATAGAAGTTAGTATCACTATTTTTGATTTGGATATGAGAAAAAAAGGGTTTTTTTAGAAAAAAAAAATGAAACAGTTACAATCTTTCTTCACTTATTTTCCCAATTCCATTCATTGTATTAATTTTTTAAAGAGTAGAGTATCTCTTTCCTGTGCCACAGGCATGGTTAATTGAATCAGCAGTACAGAAAGTTAGAGGGTCACGAGGTACGAAGAATCCAGCAAACTCACATCTGCGTAAATACACTCTCACATCATTTTATATGCATTCACACCAACCCATATCTTTAAAAGTGGACTTTCCTGACACTGGGGTTGACCACAGTGCTGACACAGACAGAATTCCTATGAAAGCAAATATTTTAAGAGGAAAATTTCCCCTGTAATGAAAACTTGATTGAAATGACAGTTGCAGGCAGTGAAAAGCATGTGGAATATGTAGAACGAGCAAAATCAGATCTTTCTGTGGTGTCCTTTCTGAGTATCCAAGAAGTCTCATTCCCCTGCCAAATGCACAACTCTCCTAAGGCCTGAGCACAAAGAGAACTGCCTGGTCTTCCCAGCTGCCAGCTCCCTTCCAAAGTGAATTCCTGAGTCCCAGCTGCTCCCCACTGGAGTGCCACTGAATTCTACAAAATCCTGACCAGCTATGCAAAAGCAAATAAACAGGGGCAAGTATTTTAAGACCCTATAGTGTCACAACACTGAAGGCTGGTATGCTAAAAGGAAGAACAGAAATGTCCAAGCTTGTTTCTCTACAAGGTATATTTTACAACAGCCATTACTCATCACAAGTAAAATTCGTTTCACCCAAATAGGCATTTCATACAATTTTTCTAATGATACACAGTGCTTGTTTTCAGATTACCTAAAGTCCCAACCCTTCTGCTATCTCAAACTTTGACCTTTGTCTGTGAGATGCATCTAGTGCCTCATTAAATGGCAGCTTGATACAATTATATATTCCTTGGTCCTTTCTTACAGAATCTGAGATGACACCCCGGGATTGCCACGGGAAAAATTGCCATGTCTGTGTGATATCAAATAGTCTGATCAAGTCAGCAAATAAGAAATGTCAATCACTCAGGTTTTGTCGTTGGCACAAGGAAATCAAAACAATGGGGTGATTCAATATCTTTCCCTTTCTTTTCTTATTTTTTTTTTTGGTTTGTTTTTAAACATTTATTTTTTCCACTGCTCTCTTGTTGTGTTGATAGTCATTTTCTGAACAAAAACAGAACACTTTCTACTTGATTTTCTTTGCCATTTTTTGAGAGACTATCGAATGTACTTGTCCTGAAACTGTTTTCAGAGCAGAATTTAGCTTTCTCAGTGGGACTGGTAATGCAATGGGAATTAGCCCTACATTTTCCACATTGATTTCCTGCAGCTCAACTTCCATATGAGTTGTTTTAATGTATAACTTATTGGATCTGTCATGATTTGGAGTTAATTTCTTTCTTATTCTAAAGAGCACACAGGATTGCTTAGGGAGAAATGACCATGGACTGGCAGAGGCTTCCTTATTAGGAAGTCAATGTATCTGCCACTGAAACCCCACATCATGGACCTCGGAAGCCTCCATCATGGTGGGGGATTTGGTTCTCTGCTCCGCATATTTTTTTTTTTTTTTTTTTTTTTTTTTGAGATGGAGTTTCACTCTGTCACCCAGGCTGGAGTGCAGTGGCGTGATCTCGGCTCACTGTATCCTCCACCTCCTGGGTTTAAGCAATTCTCTGCCTCAGCCTCCCGAGTAGCTGAGATTACAGGCGTCCACCACCACACCAGGCTATTTTTTTTTTTTGTATTTTTAGTAGAGATGGGGTTTCAGCATCTTGGCCAGGCTGATCTTGAACTCCTGACCTCATGATCTACCCGCCTTGGCCTCCCAAAGTACTGGGATTACAGGCATGAGCCACCACGCCCGGCCTCCTCTGTATATTTTTTATGGAATCACTTCTTTCTTATTTTAGTTCCACTAGCACAAGTAAGTTTTGATTTGGGAAATGGTGAACATATTACTGCACATGTTTTGTGGGCCCACAGACTCTATCATAGACTTTTTGTTGTTGTTGTTGTTGTTAATGTCCGATTTAATGATATAAAATTTACCTACAGTATAATTTAACCCTTTTATGAATACAATTCTATGAGTTTTGTAAAACAAATGTAGAGATGTAACTACCACCACAACTAAGATATTGAGTATATCACCCCACAAAGTTCCACTTTGCTTCTTTGAAGTCAGTCTCCTCCCACCAATCCCCAGTTCCTGGAAACTACTGATCTGTTTTGTGTACCTATAGCTTTGTTTTTTCCAGAATGTTGTATTAATGGAACCATATAAAATGTGGCCTTTTGTCTCTCACTGTTTTCACTCAGCATGACGCTTCTGAGATTCATTTATGTTGTGCATATCAGTACTTGTTTCTTTTTATATCTGAGCAGTATTCCATTACATGGATATACCAAAGTTTGTTTATACATTTACCTATTAATAGAGCATTTGGATTGTTTCTAGTTTGGGGCAATTATGAACAGTGCTGCTATGAACTTTCTCTTAGAAGTACTTGCGTAGACAAGCATTTCCATTCTATTAGTAAATTACCTAGGAGTAGAAATGCTGAGTTGTATGCTGTGTTAAAAGAAACTCCCATACAGTTTTCCAAAGTGGCAGTATCATTTTGCATTTCCACTAGTATTTGATAAGATTTCCAATTGCTTTGCATCCTTGGCAGTATTGTCAGTTTTTTTTTTTGTTTTTTTGTTTTTTGTTTTTTTTTTTATTATAAGCCAGGCATAGCCCCAGTTACTTGGGAGGCTGAGGCAGGAGGCTCGCTTGAACCCAGGAGTTTGAGGTTGCAGTGAGCTAGGATCACTCCACTGTACTCCAGCATGGGCAACAGAGTGAAACCCCATATCTAGAAAATATTTAAAAATAGTTAAGTAAAAACTGTAGACATTCTCTTGGGTTTTCAGTGGCATTGCATTGTGCTTTTAGTTTGCATTGCCCTAATGACTAATTATATTGAACATTGCCCTAATGACTAATGATATTGAACATTCATGAGCTTCATGAGTGTATTTGCCATCTGTTTCTCGTGTGTAATCAAATCTTTTGATCATTTTTTAATTGAGTTGTTTGTTTTGTTTGATTATTGGAATGTGACAGTTCTTTAGATATTTCTCGATATGAGTTTTTAAAATCAGATACATGATTTGCAAATATTTTATCCAAACTCTTGACTAGCTTTTTTATTCTCTTACCAGTGTCCTATTATACACTCTCATTTGCAGTGAATTGGGGTTGTTTCTTGCCTTCACCCCTGTCATCTTGGACAGCAGGGTAAGGAGATAGGTGGTGCCATTGGCTTCTGGTCCAATGCATAACACTCTGGCTTAAGGTCTATTATGGGTTGAATGTTTTGTGTTTACCCCTAATTTACATGATGAAATCCTAACCCCCCAATGAGATGGTATTAAGAGATGGGGCCTTTAGGACATAATTAGGTCATGAGAGCTTGTTCTTGCTCTCTGCTCTCCATTATGTGAGGATACAATGAGAAGATAGACATCTGCAAACCAAGAGGTGGGCCCCCACCAGACACTGGATTTGCCAGCACCTTGATCTTGGACTTCCCAGCCTCCAGAACCATGAGAAATAAATGTTTACTGTTCAAGCCACCCAGTCTCTGGTACTTTGTTATAGCAGCTCATGCTGACTAAGACAAGGTCAGTCTCCAGAGAGAAGAATATTGACCTAAACATTGGATTCTTCACTTCTCTAACTGCAGAGTACATAGAATAATTGGGAAAGTTTGATTAGTATGCAGATTTCCAAGCTCCACTTCCAGAAATGTTTATTCAGTACCTGTGAAGTGAGACCTAGATTGTTGCGATATTTAATAAGCAGCCAGATTATCCTGATATAGGTGGCTCTGGGATGAGACTTTGAGAAATCCTGAATATCTAAAGCCACTCATGATGCTTCATGTCTGGTGTGGTAAAGATGCGAAGTCTATGTCCAGGCCTAAACAAGATGGTGAGGTGTAAGTCAGAGCAGGGGATGTTGCCACACAATTAGACAAAAAGAGAAGAATCACCAAGAATGCAGGGATTTTAGGGCATTTATACTGAACATTCAGCCTGTTCCCTCATCCATCACTCTGCTATCATAGGCATGTCGTAATAAAAGTGGCTTTCATGTGTGATATTTTATTTGAATATAAACTGGAGGGGAAAGGTTGTTGACAAATAAATAAATTTTGGCACACTAAAAAATATCAATCAGGCTGCTGTGGAGGTTCATGCCTATAATCCCAGAACTTTGGGAGGCCAAGGTGGGAGGATCACTTGAGGCCAAAAGTTCAAGACCAGCCTGGGTAACATAGCAAGACCTCATCTCTATTTAAAAAAAAAAAAAATCAATTCTTAACCTTGATCCTGAATAAGAATATTGTCTCCTTATGTCATACATTACTGGGCTGCCAGCTATGGTGCTGTGATGGATTCTGGTTCATATTTTTAGGTCCACTGTTCTTACAGGAAGTCATCATGACCTTTTTCAACAGGGATGTGTGGAAGCTCTTTGGTCTTACAGTAATACTTTTCTAGACAAAAGTAGAACTTGTCCTGCTTATTTTCAAAAAAATTCATGAAGGATATTGGAGTATGAATCATTATTGTGTTTTAGAGAAAAGGAAACACAGACAGTAGCAACAAAACACCCAACTTCTATGTAAGGGCAAAGGGAATTTTTCCCTTCCCCTCTGAAGGTTTGAGTCTGCTGAAATAAACTGATAAAGAGGAGAAAGGGCATACAAGTTTATTAATGTGTAAGTGTGTATGGGAGCCATACAAAATATGATACTAAAAGAAGGGCCAGATGGGTGAAGCTTAAATAGCACATTCTTCACAGAAGGGAGAGAAATAGAGGAATGTAGGCAATTTTGAGGTGTAATGAATGATTTTCAGGGGAAATGAATAAGCCCATAGAAGAGACAATAGCCTGGGACAAAATTTCTCTGAGCTCTGGAGAGGTGGCTGACAAATTTCAAGAAAGTGAGGGGTAGAACTTCACTATGAACAAAGGTTGTCTTATTATGTAAGTAAAATCTTCCAGGTAATCTCTTGGACCTTGCCTCAGAAGAATAGAAGTCTGCCTGGGCATGGAGGTGACTTTTAGTCTTTTCTCCTCTTTGGTGGCCAATCTTTCCTGGTTATTTGATGAGATTCATAGATAAGGGGTTTTAAGAAAATTGAATCTCTTTTCCAAGAAGTTTTCTTCCCACAGATAAAGGAACTCCCAGAGAGAGCCCCTTCATGCACTTTAGGGGTAGAAACAAGGGAAGGTTACAAAGTCCTTGGTTCTAAAGGCAGCTTTTAAGGACTTCCAATTTCCTTCACTTCAAAAGTGCTCAGCATGCCACAGCTGATACTTTGGGGTATCATTCTCTGAGCCCCAACCTCTATAAAATCCAGGCATCCAGATATTTGGACTATGTAATACCAAACAAACCAGTTGATCTGTTTTTCCTGAATTGGACAAACTATTCTGACATTGCATAAGTACAACCAGCATGATTTAAGTTTTATTTGCAGACAGAAACCAATTGGGACTGACCTGATTTTCTATGTTAATTAATCAAATATTGTTGTTCAAACATTTTGGTACCTCTCAGCTAAAAGAATTTAAAAGTCCTGTTACTTTAATCCTGTTGTGGAATGTTTTTTAAAACTTATAGCTAATTAACAATCTTCATGGGCAACTAGAGCACCTCAGGCTCTGGTAAACATAAGGGATCAATGGTTATTAATCAAAGGTGGTGTAGTTGGAAGAAGCCTGGAGTAGGAGGCAAGAGACCTAGGTTCTACTGCTTGCTTGAGCTGAACTGTGCTTCCTTAAGCTTCCATGAGAGTAGATACCTTCTAGCAAAAAAAAAAATAAGAGAGAGAGAGAGAGACTAGATACTTAAGGAAACATACATTTGTAAAAAGACTAAAACCAAAGTGATTAACTACTGTCTAAATATAATTCATTCCCAAAACAGGCAAGCAAACAAACAACAAAACAATCCTAACAATGTAGGTGTTTATGTACCTCCCATATAAAAAGGATCTGAAACCCTGAAGCCACAGGATTCAACCAGGCAAGTAGAGAATTATTTTCTTTATTTTAAAACAATACTAAAGTCATGCATAATTAATGCTGAAAAATTAGAAAATAAGGAAAAAGAAACTAATCAATGAATAAAATCAATTAAAACTCTACCACCCAGTAAAAACCACTGCTAGCATATCAGTGCTATATTCGTCCATAGATCCATATACATACATGATGCATGTATATTTCAAATGGGATCATGTTGTAGCCACTGTCCTGAAATCCTGAAATCTGCTTCTTTGAGCTAATGCCGTATTGTGAAGCAGCTTGCGTGCTAATAAATATGCATCTTCATCACCCATTGTAATGACTACATTATATTCCATTGTAGGCTTGAAAATATTAACAACTAACAAACCTAGTGCTTCCTCTGTGCCCAGCACTTTTCTAAGCACTGTAACAGCATGCCTGTGAGGTAGGTAGTATGATTACTCCTGTTTTACAGAGAAACTGAGTTAAGGAGAAGGTAATTAACTTGCCATTTGGGGTTCAACCCCAAATGGTCCAGGATCAGAGTCCAAGCTCTGAACACCTGGCCATGCTGCTCCTTGCCTCTTCCTTTTGGTTGGATCTTTATGTTATGTCTAATAGTTCATTATTTTAAACAGTGCAGGTTAATTTAAACCTCTACGTCCTCAAAAGAGTGGTGGTGGAGGGTGGAGGTAGAAGGGGAAGCATTGATAAGAGATGACTTTTTAATAAGAGAGTAACAGAGAGACATTCTTTTGGATAAAATCAGATTAGAAGGTGTTCATTCTCATGGTAAAAGTGAGAGCTCATAAAATCACTGTAGTTACTTAGGGGAGGGGGAATTTTCAGGCATGTGCAGAAGGCGTATTTGCAGGACTGTGAGACAGACAGATTTCACCAATTACATAGATCTACATGGAAGAAAATGTTAATAGCAACTGCGTAGTAGAAAAGAGTAGCCCTGCTAATGAAAATACAGAGTTAATTTTCTGTAGTCTGAACTTTGACCCATTGTGAAGACAGAAATAGAAGTCCTTGGCAATTAGAGTAGGAACTTGCTGTGAAGGAAGTGAACATTCATTTGAGACTGGGTGTGGTGGGAAATAAAGCAAATGATGACTCACAGACAGATCAGCGGACAAGGCGAGGCTAGGCCTGGGAGGAGCGAGGAGACCTGAACGAAGCTAGGCAGGCGCTTCTCTGTTCAGACTCACAAGGCGTCACTGGCTCACTCTGGACACAGAATATCTTTACTGATAGCTGCACATCATTATTATTTCATTTTACAAATTACACAACTGGCATATTCCCACTGTAGAATAGTTTTAAAGTGAGATGAATAAGAAGAAAGTAAAGTGAAATCCATCCATTACCTTAGACATTCTTAGATACCCATATTAAGAGTTGGCATATATTTTCACATTATTTTCCTATATACTTTTAAAATAAAGATGGGATTTTCACCACTCAACAATAAACATATAATTGCATCATTTTTCATATAATGGGATGCTATGTAGCCATTAGAAATGATAAAAATATGTTATTTGACCAAATAGTAATGGGCATTGTGCGTACATGGTCTTAACTAGCCAGTAACCATTTTTCCTTTGGTTCATGGAATTCATGAATTCTACAAAGTTAATCTTATATTGGGGTGATCTCATTGACTTTTAAGTGCCACTGCAGTTAAGTAAGAGTGGGGATGGGGTATGAACTTCAGGAGTGAAAAAAAACAAAAACAAAAACAAAACAAAATGCTTTATTACAATATCTTTTCCAAACTACTTTGGATGGCCCCGAGGAGGTCAGAAAAAGAGGAGAGCGATTATCATTAATCTTATTCCTCTCTTTACAGCCACATTAACCTGAAAGAACAAAAATGTAGAATACCTTCCTCATCTTCTCACTTTTTCTTTAACTCTCACATAGTAAGGAATCCAGAAGAATAAGGCTACAAAGCTACAGGCAAAACAGTAACAGGAATGGCAAGCATGTCCTGTTTGTGGACTAAAAACACAGAGCATTCCTTGGAAAGCCAAACTTTTGATATTGAGATTAGAAAGAGGTTTTCTAGGGCAGCACATGTCCAAGTATTAAACACAAGTCAGATCTTATGAAAGTCTAAGCAGGTCATAAAACAACCCAATGAGCTTAGAAGAGTGGAGAGCTATAGTTAGAGTGCCTGGACCCTTGATTATCTTATTTCCATGAGCTCTAATTAGCATAGTACAGAAGACATTAATGCAATCAGCCACAATTATTTATTGAGTTTCTACTATGTGTCAGATGGTTTTTTGGGTCGTGGGTATGTAATACCGAACAAAAGCATCATGGTGCCTACCCTCACAGAACTTATAAATTAGCAGCAGGGTGGGGAGTGGGGGGTGGTAAACAAGTGAACAGGTAGACAAATCATTCTAAAGAGGGACAAGATTCTAAATAGACATTTTTCCAAATAGGCTATTCAAATGGCTAATACCCACGTGGAAAGATCCTCAATTAGTCATAAGGGAAATACAAATCAAAACCACAATGAGATATTTCATCAAACACACAAGAAGGGCTATTATAAAAAAAGACAAACAACAACAAATGTTGGTGAGGATGTGGAGAAATTAGAACTCTTTTACACTGCTGATGGGATTGTAAAATGGTAGAGCCACTTTGGAAAGCAGTTTGACAGTTCCTCAAAAGTTTAAACACAGAGTTACCATATTGTTACCTTATGCAATAAAGAATTTGGGTCGAGCCCATAGGGTAAAGTGAAAGAAAGTAAAGGAATAAAAGAATGGCTACTCTATAGGAGTAGGATCACTCCATAGTAGTGGCATGAGCTGCCCGACTGAGTATACTTATGGTTATTTCTTGATCATATGCTAAACAAGGGGTGGATTATTCTTGAGGTTTCTGGGAAAGAGGTGGGCAATTCCTGGAAGTAAAGGCTCCTCCCATTTGTAGATCATTTAGGGTAACTTCTGGACATTGCCATGGCATTTGTAAACTGTCATGGTGCTGGTGGAAGTGCCTCTTAGCATGCCAACGCGTTATAACTAGTGTATAATGAGCAGTGAGGACAACCAGAGTTCACTTACGTTGCCACCTTGGTTTTGGTGGGTTTTGACCAGCTTCTTTACTGCAACCTGTTTTATCAGCAAGGTCTTATTGACCTGTATCTTCTGCTGACCTCCTATCTCACCCTGTGACTGAAAATGCCTAACCTACTGGGAATGCAGCCCAGCAGGTCTCAGCCTTATTTTACTCAGCCCCTATTCAAGATGGAGTCACTCCGGTTTGAACGTCTCTGACAATATGACCCTGCAAGTTCTGTCCTAAAGAAAATAAAAACATACATCCACACAAAAACTTGTACACAAATGTTCATAGCAGCATTATTGATAAAAGACAAGAAGTAGAAACAACCCAAATGCCCAGCAACAGATGAATGGATCAACAAAACATGAATAAATAAAATATACATATGGTGGAATATTATTCAACCATAAAAAGGATTGAATTATTGATACATGCTACAACATGGATCAACCTTGAAAGCATCATGCTAAGTGAAAGAAGTCAGTCACAAAATGCCAGAAATTGTATAATCCCATTTATAAGAGATGTCCAAAATAGGCAAATCCATAGAGACAGAAAGTAGGTTAATGGTTGCCAGGGACTGAGGGTATGGGGGAATGGGGCGAGACTGCTAATGGATATGGGGTTTTCTTTGGAGGTGATAAAAATGTTCTAAAGTTGATCGTGGTAACAGCTACACATCTTTGTGAATGTACTAACAGCCACTGAATTGTACACTTTAACAGGATCAATTGTACGACTCGTGAGTTATTCCTTAACAAAGCTGTAAAAAACAAAAGGTGATGAAGTGTGTTGAGGAAACAGAAAGAAGCCCTGAGACACGAAAGGGCCTTGTGTGCTCCAGGAATGAAAGAGGAGGCCCGTGTGATCGAATGCTCTAGAGGGCTCGGAGGGGACAGCGGATCTCGTGTTTAGGCACATGAAGTCAGTAATTATAGGCAGTTTGGGATTATGTTCAATGGGCAGTGGAAAGTCCTAGAAGCCTCTAACACCCAGCAGTTATGTGACCCAACTTTTATCTTTAATAGCTCTTTGTTCCTGAATTGTTAGGGCAGAACTAGATTGCTATTATAGCTCCTAAAACCAGATAGAGATCATTAACTTAAAAATTTGGAGTTAAAATTAGCAAGGGGCTATTTTCTTTTGATTTAGGACACATACTAGGAAAATGAGGATATCAAAATACTTCTTTCTTAATAGCACAAAAGAAGAGCCTTATTATAGTAAATAATGTAAGTTTTTCATTTTTTAAACCTAAGCATATTCTGTTGCTTCTATAGGACACAAGTTGAGAATTAAACCATTTATTCATGCTCAGTATCACATTTATATTACACATAGGTTCAGGTTTAATTGCATTTAAGAGAAGGAGGGAGTAGAAGATGTTTAGCAAAGGTCATGGTGGAGTGAGCCAAGGCATTCCTGTATGTCAAATGTGGGATCATTGGTCTATCCCCACAGGGCACAGGGGACCGGGAATTCTTCTGGCTTCTTGGTTGAAAATGTGAAGATGTTATTGGGACTAATGATTGAATTGTACAGATCTGGAGACTAATACTCCCAGATGAAAAGAGATGGGCTTTGCCAACCTCAGGGAGGGCAAGTAAACAGCTCAGGAAAACAAGGAGCAGAACTGTGCTGGAAGGCAGCTGAAGGCAGTGTGCTCAGCCTGGGACAGCAACTCAGAGCCCAGCAGTGGGGAGTGAACAAGCTCCAGTGTGGCACCTGCCAGGGGTCCCAAAAATGCCCAGGTCTCACTCCGTTACCTAGGCTGGAGTGTAGTGGTACAATCTCGGCTCATTGCAACCTCCGCCTTCTGGGCTCAAGAGATTCTCGTGCCTCAGTCTCCCGAGTAGCTGAGACTACCGGCACATGCCACCACGCCCAGCTAATTCTTGTATTTTTAGTAGAGACGGGGTTTCACCATGTTGGCCAGTCTGGTCTTGAACTCCTGACCTAAAGTGATCTACCCTCCTCAGCCTCCCAAAATGCTGGGATTACAGGCGTGAGCCACCACGCCTGGCCAGATGCCCAGGTTTTTGTGAACCCTTTCCAAGTTCTTCAACAGCGTGAGGCTTGTGAAACTTCTGGAAAAAATTTCCCTTCACTCCTGGCAGTGACATGAGCAAGACAAGAAACAAAATATAGGAAGAGTGGCGCTTAACAATTTTAGTAGAACATTCAGGTACACACATGTGTGCACATGCACACACACACACACGCCGCCCCCCCCGCCCCCCCCGCCCCCCACCACCCTGCGAAGCACCATGCTAGGGAATTCCAAATATGTTAGAACCTGGTGAAGAGAATCCATGGGGAGGAGAGAAGATTGGCGAGCCTGATTCTTCATAATTTAATTACCATTATCTTTGAATGCATTCCATTGCTTGATTGTATTATAATTTACTTAGTCTTGTAACTATAAACCTTCAGGTTTCTTTCAACTTTTTAGCATGACAATGTTGAAACATGTATCTATCTATCTACATCTCTGCTGGGACTAAAATCATGTGTCATATCATCTTTAAAAGAAGTCACCAAATTGCTGTCCAAAAACATTGAAGAACTTTATATGTCCATCAACAAGTGTATATAAATGTATCCTAACACCCTTGCCATTACTAGGTGTTATAAAATTTAAACTTTTTGGGCAACCCATAGTTTAGTATGATATCTCATTGTTATTTTGATTTTGATTTTGATTTTTCTTTTTTTCTTTTTGAGACCGGGTCTCGCTTCATCACCCAGGCTGAAGTGCAGTGATACAATCATAGCTCACCTCAGCCTCGACCTCCCAGGCTTAAGCGACCCTCCCACCTCAGCCTCCTGAGGAGCTGGGACCACAGGAACACACCACCATGCCCAGCTTTTTTTTTTTTTTTTTTGTAGAGACAGCATCTCACTATGTTCCCCCAGACTGGTCTCAAACTCCTGAGCTCAAGTGATCCTCCTGCCTCAGCCTCCCAAGATTTTTGATTCTTAAATTATAAGTCAGAATGAGTTCACTGGCCGTTTTTTTCCCCTCCCTTCCCTTCCAGAAACTTCCTGCTTGCCTGTTTTCTATTGGATTATCCATCTGTTCTTAATGATTTGTGTGAGCTCACTGTCATATCTGTTGCAGTATTTGCTCCAGTCTTTCGGTTTAGAAATAACGTTTTCTGAAATAAAGAAGTTTATATTTTTTATGTAGTTAGGTTTATAAATAATTCTCTTTATGGCTTCTGGATTTTATCTCTGGCCTAGAAGGCTGTTTTTTTCACCAAGATTAAAAATACATTCACTCCATAGAATTACCATATGATCCAGCAATTCCACTTTTAGGCACATGCCTTAAAAAATTGAAAACAGGAACTCAAACAGACACTTACACACCAATCTTCATAGCAGCACTGTTCACAATGTGCAAAAGGTAGAAATAATCCAAATGTCCACCAACAGATGAATGGATAAAATGTGGTCTATATACACAATGGGATATTGTTAATTGTTAAGCCTTACAAAGGAAGAAAGTACTGATCATGCTACAATATGGATGAACCTCAAAAACATTATGCTGAGTGAAAGAAGCCAGACACTCCTGACAAATATTTTACAATTCCACTTGTATGAAGTTCCTTGAATAGGAAAATTTATAGAGACAAAAAGTAGAATAATGGTTGCCTGGGGCTAAGGAGTAGGGGAATGGGGAATTGGTGTTTAATGGGGTCAGAGTTTCTTTTTTTATTTTTATTTTTTTGAGGCAGAGTCTCGCTCTGTTGCCCAAGCTAGAGTGCAGTGGCAGGATCTCAGCTCACCGCAACTTCTGCCTCCTGGGTTCAAGTGATTCTCATGTCTCACCCTCCAGAGTAGCTGAGATTACAGGTGCATGCCACCACATCTGGCTAATCTTTGTATTTTTAATAGAGATGGGGTTTCGCTATGTTGACTAGGCTGGTCCTGAACTCTGACCTCAAGTGATTTGCCCGCTTCAGTCTCCCAAAGTGCTGGTGTAAGCCACCGCGCCCGGCCTGAGAGTTTCTGTTGGGTATGATGAAAAATTCTGGAGATGAATAGTGCCGTGAATAGATTTAATGCCACTGAATTGTACACTTAAAAATTGTTAAAACTGTAAATTTTATGTTACGTGTATTTTATCACAATAAAACAATGGAATTAATTTAAAAATAAAATCACTCAAATTACTTTCTAGGCCTTTATATTTTATTTCCTATATTTAAATCTTCCCATTTCTGCATTTACTATTTTTATTTTCTATCTCTTCTTGACTCAATTAGGGTAAACATTTTCTCTTAGGAAAACATTCACTTCATTGAAATTTTAAAATTTATTTGCGTGAAATTATGGTAAATAACAATTAAAAAAATTTCTCTTTGCTTAATTATCTATTTTCATTCTTAATTCTGTACCTTCCCCATTTGTCTTGATGGGGCTAGCTAGCACCTTGTTTTATTTTATTACTTTTAAAAAGAGCCAGCTCTTCTGTTTCTTAGTTCTCTGGTTTTCCTGTTTTCTAATTTATTGGTTTCTGCTTTTACATTTATTAATTTCTTTCTTCTCTTTTCTTAGGTTAATTTTATGTTTCTTTTTATAAATTCTTGCGCTAAATGTGCAATTAACTAATTAACTAAAATTTTTAGTAAAGTAAGTGTTTAAATTCATAGCTTAAAGGTATAGAACAGCCATATTCCACACGTTTTGACATGTATTATTTTCGTTATTATTTTCTAGACATTCTAGTATTTTAGTTAATATTTTCATTTCAACACAAATGTACTTAAAAGGAGAATTTTCTTTTAAATCTCAGTGGTGGGTTTTTTTTCCCTCTTTTTGTAATTATTTTCTACTTTAATTTACTATGGGTACAGAATAGCCCTGTTTTCTTTTAATATTTGGGAAGCTGTTGAAGTTTACTTTTGTCACAGTGGGTGAAAAACATCCATTGTTTCCAAGAAGGTGTATTCCCTGTTACTGATTACTCAGTGCACTTACTTTCTCTGCATTATCTGAGTTGAGAAGAGTGAATTGAAGTGTGGTTTCGAATTGATTCTATTATTTATTTTAGTATCTGATATGGTTTGGCTCTCTGTCTCCACTCAAATCTCATATTGAATTGTAATCCCCAGTGTTGGGGGAGGAAACTGGTGGGAGGTGATTGGATCAGGGGGCAGACCTCCCGCCTTACTGTTCTCATGACAGTGAGTGAGTTTTCACGAGATCTGGTTGTTTAAAAGTATGTAGCACTTCCCCCTTGGCTCTCTGTCCTGATCCACCATATGAAGATGTGCCAGCTTCCCCTTTGCCTTCTGCCATGATTGTAAGTTTCCTGAGGCCACCCAGCCATGCTTCCTATAAAGCCTGCAGAACCATCAGCCAAGTAACTGTTTGAGTCCTTGTTTTCAATTCTTTTGGGTATAGAGCTAGGTGTGGAATTGCTGTGTCATATGGTAATTCCATGTTTAACTTTTTGAGGATCTGAGTTTCATTTTAGTGGTTTTTCTTTTTTCTTTTCTTTTCTTTTTTTTTTTTTGAGATGGAGTCTTGCTCTGTCACCCAGGCTGGAGTGTAGTGGCACGATCTCAGCTCACTGCAACCTCCACCTCCTGGGTTCAAGTGATTCTCGTGCCTCAGCCTCCCGAGTAGCTGGGACTACAGGCGCCCGCCACCACCCCCAGCTGATTTTTGTATTTTTAGTAGACACAGGGTTTCACCATATTGGCCAGACTGGTCTCGAACTCCTGACCTTGTGATCCACCCACCTCAGCCTCCCAAAGTGCTGGGATTACAGGCTTGAGCCACCGTACCCGGCTGTGGTTTTTCTTTTCTCCCATTCTATCACACTATTTCACAATAAGAACAAATAAAATAATCAGATAATGGAGAAGTTTCTCTATTTAATATCTCTACCTATCACCCCACTGAATGCCTTTAGTTCTACCAGGTATTCAAATGAATACATTTCATTTTATATCATTTATTTTCATTATTTTCGTTATATAACTCAACGTAGCAGTTTCTAAAGGGCCAGAGATTTGTCTTAAGTCAGCAAGCAGGAAAGTGGATGAGGGAAAACACAGGGCCTGGGTAACCTTCCCATTGCCTGTGACTAATCAAGAATCAGGGCTGGCTTCATGGGTGTGCAACTTACGCCATCACATAAGGCCCTGTGCTTAGAAGAGCCCTGCACTGAGAAGGGCCCCGTGCTCAGAAGGACCTGGTGCTGGGCTTAATGATCTGCTGTGACTGGTTTGAAAATCTTAATAATTTTTGAACAGGAGGCCTCACATTGTTATTTTGCACTGGGCCTCGAAAATTATGTAAACTCTATTAAGAAGTGATGGTATCTATCTATGCCCATCCTGTATCCTAAAAAACAAGTTGTAAATTCTAAAAACAAATTCTAAAATGGGAATAAAAAAAGATATGTCTACCACTCAAGGTGGAAGCGTTCCAAATGTGGGTGGATACTAAACAGAATAGTAATAGAATAACTGAAGTGTATTTAAAAACACAGACGACAGACCAAAGTCAGACAGAATTTTTACAAATGAATTTACTGTGTCTCCTATTGTTAGCCTGATAGAAGACTTCAAAAAGTCATTGCAGGAAACTGAGCTCAAGTAAGAACAAATAGCAAACACATTCCTTCTACTCTCCAAGAAAAAGTGGGGAGGTTTCAGTTCTTATGCCTTCAAGTAGAACTGAACGATGCTCCCCCCACCCCCGCCCCTCCGCCCGTGCTTGGAAGGGCCTGGTAAAATCAAGAGTAAAATGCAATCCCAAGAGATGAACTATAAAGAAAACATAATACTTTTGCAATAGCCTGCTAGGCTTTTCCATCATGTTTTGATTGCAGGAAAGATCAGGCTTTATGGGCTAAAGGAAAAATAAATGAGTTCGTGATAAGCCAAAATCCTGCCCTCCCCTTTCCAGTATCAGCAGGGAGTAGAGGTTCTGGGTTTTTCCTAAGATCAGAGGAAACATGTCTTAAATTCAGGGTGGAATCACAACTGGCCAAAAACCTCATCAAGGCCTTCTTATCTGCTCCATCTGCTGGCTCTGAGTAATCTTTAGCAATTGCTCAATGGTGACGTCTTTAAAGAAATCCTGCCAAGAGCACCCTTTCCCTAGCCTTTCCTTAGTTACAACAATCTACAAAAGACCAAGGGTGAACGTCTGGGTGGAAGAGCTGGCCACCTCTGTATTTGTTCCTTGCTACAAGTGGGTATGAGAAGTATCCTAGGAGACAGATTTTCCAGGACAATGATTAGCCAAACAGTCCTATCCAGAGGCCTTCCAATAAACCAGATTAGCTGTGATGTGATTATGTAATTATATGGCATGTTTCAAGGAGACACCGTAAACTACAATCAACAATTTGGCATCGCGCAGCAACTTGGGGTGTAACCTATTTCAGGAAGAGCCAAATTGGATACCAAAAATGGAAGGACTTGCTCTCATAGGGAAAGAATAGTGAAGGGAAGTGTTTGGTGATGGTGAAAAATATAACATATTTGGAATTTTTAATAAAGAGTTTCTTAGAAGCATCTTATAACATCTGTCCACATCCCTGATTCCCCTTTACAGCTCATGGCCTGAGTTAACATCTGTCCACATCCCTGATTCCCCTTTACAGCTCATGGCCTGAGTTAAAAAAAAAAAAAAAAAAAAAAAAAAAAAGACTTAGGTAGAAATAGCAGGGACTGGCTTACCTATCGTCTATGATTTTGTTGAGTTTTGTGGGAGGGAGACTCTCTAATATTGTTTTCCTCCACTCTCATTCTCCATGGTGCAAATCCCAGGTTGGCTTTTTGTGGGTTTTTTGTTGTTGTTGTTTTGTTTTAGTTTTTTAAAATGTATAATTGACACATAAAAATGGTTTTCACATAATCCTTCCTGCAACACAAAAGGCCCCAAGGGCACTTACCTAGCTTGCCTTCAGGGGTCAATTAATTCATGATGTGCCAGGTAGTCAGGTATACTCTATGGAGGAAAGCCTGTATCTTTGCATATCTAATTTATTTCCCAAGTTTAAAAAACAGTGCTGCTTTTGATCTGACTAGAATGGCTTGAACTGGATTCTGTTGGAAGTTAAAGTGGTATTATAATTGCTTTTTTACTTAACTGTCTACCCCAATGGAATGTACTCCTTGAGGGAAGGTATTACATGACAGTATATTGATCATTATGTTCCCAGGGTCCCAGGGTCAGGTATAATGCCTGGCACACAATAAGTGCTTCATAAGTATTTCTTGAGTGGTTGCTGGATGAGCAAAGCAGACAGAGACCCTTTGAAGACCTTTTATAGCTGAAGCATCTGTAAGCAAGTAAGAATAGTGGTTAGAGGCAGAGTTTATAGAACTGGACAACTTGGTCTTGAATCCTAACTCTGCCTCTTTCTACTGTGGCTAAATTATTTAACCTCTTCATACCTCAGTTTTACCATCTTTAAATTGGGTGTAATAATGAGATCTATCTTATAGCTCTGTGAAGATTAAAGGAGTTGAAATTGGAAATGGTAGGTGCTCAACTGTGTTAGTTTTATTTCTTAAAAAAGTGAACAGATGATCCTTTTCATGTCCTTGCAGCTTTGTTCCATGCCCACTGCTCCCCAAAAAATTAATCCTTGGGCAAAATATTTTATCATAATAAATTATTATATATCAAATCATCTCCCTTGTAATTGTTCCGTTATACAGGGCAAAAATCTTACAGGAAAAAGTGTCTCCAATCCACACTCAGTATGGCATGCTTACTAAATATACAACTGGCAAAAAAAAGTTGGTGGGGGAAGAGTGGGAGAAAATTTTGGAGCCATTTGAAGCTCTAAGTGACCTAAGCATTTGCACCATCTAATAAAATTTGATGAATCATTTTCAGTTATTAAACATAAAAAGGATTTGCTTATGCATGGCTATGTTTGAGCAGATTTGGTTGATACCTCATACTTTCCATTAATTATAAACTATAAAATGGGAACAAAATGAGAACAGTGAGTTAAGGCTTTTTTTTATTTTCTTTTTTTTTTTGAGATGGAGTCTTGCTTTGTCGTCCAGGCTGGAGTGCAGTGGCGTGATCTCGGCTCACTACAACCTCTGCCTCCCGGGTTCAAGTGATTCTCCTGCCTCAGCCTCCTGAGTAGCTGGGATTACAGGCGCCCGCCACACCTGGCTAATTTTTGTATTTTTAGTAGAGACGGGGTTTCACCACGTTAACCAGGCTGGTCTCGAACTCCTGACCTCAGGTGATCAGCCCACCTTGGAATCCCGAAATGCTGGGATTATAGGCATGAGTCATTGCGCCCAGTCAGAGTTAAGGCGTTTTAAAAATAAAATTTCTGACATCTCTACCACTTAAGAAAATGTCTGCCACCATCCTTGTGGAAGGTTTGAAAAATTATAAATATGCCAAGTGGATCTTTATCCATTCTTCCAAGCATTCCTCTTATGCTGCTGGGATGGTTTGACTCTAATTATACTGGAAGTTCAAGTTCAAAAAAAGTTTAAGGGGGAAATGTGTGGCTGTGAGCTGACTTCTATGAAGCAACCTGGATTAGGATGCCAGTGAAAGAGGACCTGGGGGTTGGTTGGTGAGTGTGGCTGAAACTTCTCTGATATAAATCCATTCATTTGTGTGCCCTGAGGTGTGGGCACTCCTGGGGGCTCTGAGATGCCAGGCAATGGTCACTCCTGACTTCCAGTCACCAATACCAGCTTGTCCTCGTGGTTAATCTCCTATTCCCTTTCTACATATGTCATCAGACTCCTCAAACAGTTCTTAAACAGCAATATAGTATTACCAAATGAGGAAAGAAAAGGATAAGAAGCAACATATACAAAATGGTCTCAATTGTTTAAAAAACACACATAGGCCAGGTGTGGTGACTCCCGCCTGTAATCCCAGCACTTTGGGAGGCTGAGGTAAATTGCTTAAGCCCAGGAATTCAAGACCACTGTGGCAGCCTGGGCAACATAGCAAGACACCTGTATTTACTAAAAACAAAACAAAACAAAAAACACACACACTGGGGAATGAGATTGGAAGAAAGGACACTAAATGTTAGCAGAGTTTATACTGGGCTTTTAATTTGTAGCTGATTTATATTTTTTCCTTTATGCTTGCCTGTGTTTTCTAAAATGTTTATAATAGACCTATGCTGCTATAATCATAGAACAAGGAATTAAGGGCCAGATGTGGTTGAGTCACGCCTGTAATCCCAGCACTTTGAGAGGCCAAGGTGGGCAGGTCACCTGAGGTCAGGAGTTCGAAACCAGCCTGGCCAACATAGTGAAACCCCATCTCTACTGAAAATACAAAAATCAGTTGGGCCTGGTCATGGGCGCCTGTAATCCCAGCCACTCAAGAGACTGAGGCAGGAGAATTGCTTGAACTCAGGAGGCAGAAGTTGCAGTGAGCCAAGATTGTGCCACTGCACTCTGGCCTGGGCAACAGAGTAAGACTCCATCTCAAAAATAAAATAAAATCTATTTAGAAAAATATCCATATGACATGGTGAGAACTGGCTGGGCAAGTGCTCCACATGGCCAGTTTGCAGCCACGTGTAAGAGGCGATATCTTGTGAAAGCTGATTATACAAATTGGGTCATTCTTGTCATGCCCAACTAAATCAGCATCAAGGGCCAGGGGGAAAAAGAACTTGGGGAACATAGCCCCTGCTCCAAGAATTGAATTTTCTACAAGCCCAGCTGCTGAAACAGCCAGCTGAAACCTGAAGAGCAGTTTTACCTAGCAGCTGCTGAAGCAACCTGCTGTGACTCCAAGCCTGGTTTTACCTACCACAGTCACTCACTGTATTCGTCCATTTCGTGTTGCTAAAAAGGAATACCTGAGGCCGAGTAATTTATAAAGAAAAGTTTATTGGGCTCATGGTTTTGCAGGCTGTACAAGCATGGCACCAGCATCTGCTTGGCTTCTGGTGAGGCCTCAGGAAGCTTTTACTCATGGCAGAAGACAAAGAGGGAACAGACATGTCACATGGCAAGAGAGAGAGAGAGAAGGAGGGCATAGTCTCTCTAACAACCAGATGTTGCTGGAACTAACTGAGTGAAAACTTGCTCATCACCAAGGGGATGACACCAAGCCATTTATGAGGGATCTGCCCCCTATGACCCAAATACCTCCCACCAGACCCCACCTCTAACATTGGGGATCACAATTCAACACAAGATTTGGAGGAGACAAACACCCAGACATCCACTCACCAATCAGAGCTTGCCAGCTCCCAAAAGCTTCTCTAGTGCCAATAAGCTTTCTTTCAAAATGATAATGTAACATTAGCATCTCTTTTTCTAATAAAACTCACAACCTTCTCTTTGTTCTTCAGACATACCGAAGACCACCCAGTCTGTGTGTATGCCCCAAACTGCAATCCCTGCTTCCCAAAATAAAATGTTAAATTTAGAGATTCATCTCTATACTTTATTTTGGCTTTGACAATCTGATTGAGAGAAAACTCAGCTGCCTCTCAGACAAGCCCAAAAGTATTACCAAATGAGGGAAAAAAAGATAAAGAGTTTCTTACAAGCTTCTATAACATCTGTCCATATCCCTGATTACCCTTTACAGCTCATGGGCTCAGTTAAAAACGACAACAGAAAAAGACTTGAGGTAGAAATAGCAGGGACAGGGTCACCTGCCAAAAAGTCCTTACATCACACCCTGCTCCTAAGAGTTCTGCCTCTTTACTTACTGGTAGTTTCCTGATAACATGTCCCCAGTCCTCCTCCATAGGTGACAACTGGGCTGCAATTGGAGCTCAGAGCAGAACTCACCAGGAAGGAAGCAGTGTGTGTTTCACAGTCCACTGTTGAGCTAATTATTCCCAGAGGCCTACGGGACTACACAGGCTTATATTGACCATTGTCAGCAGTCAGTGCCTCCCTTTTTTGAATTGTACATTGCTGGTTAACTCTGTAAGTTAAGAAGGGAGAGTATCCATTTCTTCACCTGCTGACCCAGAGCAATTTCCTTTCTTCAAGAAAAGGGAGAAGGTTATGATTTCATAAAAGCTGCCACTTCTCTTTGGATGGAAGACTAGATTTGCTACAGACATTTTCACCTTGTTATGAATTTGTCTGTTTGCTTTTGCTTTGGGAAATGGTATTTAGTGGGCAAAAGAATAGCTTATTTTTGAAGCACCAATGTGGAAAACAATAGTTAAAATATTAATATCTGTTGAAGAATCCATCAAAGGGTATACCATTTATACAAACGATAATGACTTCGGAAAATATGGCTTCAAAGGGATTGTTATTTTTTGTTTATAACCTAAAGAAAATCCCTATCTAGCAAGAGGAATTCCAATTACTTCATATATTTCTTTTTTTTCCCTCTTCTTCTTCTTTTTTTTTTTTTTTTTTTTTTTTTTTTTTGAGACAGGGTCTCTCTGTTCCCCAAGCTGGAGTGCAGTGGCACTATCACAGCTAACTACAGCCTCGACCTCATGGGCTCAAGCAATCCTCCCACGTCAGCCTCCCTAGTAACTGGGACTACAGGCACACATCACTATGCCTGGCTAAATTTTTTTTTATTTTTTGTAGATACAGGGTTTCACCATGTTGCCCAGGCTGGTCTCAAGCTCCTGGACTCAAGTGATCCACTGACCTCAGCCTCCCAAAGTGCTGGGATTATAGGTGTGAATTCCACGCCCGGTCATACTCCACAGATTTCCGATCTGACTTAAGAGCCCTCTTCCCCATCTGCTCTGCTGTGCTCTACCATTATTTCTTGTCTAGGCTTATATCATGTGATCTCCAAGGTCTCCCTTTGACTAAAGCAATTTGTGTATGTGTCTTGTCTTCCCTACTCAATTAGAAGCTCGTCAGGGGCAAGTGAACATACTGTTCCATTTGTCTAAGGTCCACATTGCTTATCTCAGTTCCTGCCACATATTAGTAGCACAATCAGTTCTTACCAAACAAATGAATCTTAAATATATTCATTGGTCATTTATTCCTTCATTCAGTTAGTCACTCAACAGATATTGTTTGAGCACAACTATACGCCAGTCATGTTCAAGGTGCTGAAGATACAAACTTAAACAAATGAGGCTGAGATCCCCATCCTTAGGAAACATATTCTATTCAGTTTGACCTGTTACTGTGAAAACCTTTAATCTCCTTGTTTAAGGGTCTAATTGCTGATTTCTGGTAGTTCATCTGAAAGGCGGTAGGAGTATATATTTTTTGTGGCCTTTCCTTTTTCCAAGGATGTGTTCAGGATCAGGAAGCAAATAAAGCCTTTAAAGAAAACCTATGAGTTCAAAATTTGCCCCAGAACATTGTGTGGCTAAAGGTACAGCCCCAGATAGATCCCTCCCTCATTGAGGAGTTGGGGCCCCGTGCATAATCTGAAAGGGAGGGGGTGAAACAAAAGGATGTAACTCACCTGTTATCGGGGGAACCCACCCCCGATAATTCAACGTGGGTCCTTTTCTATTTTCCCTAAGTATTTCTCGGCCAGTCCGAGAAATAAAGGGAAAGAGTACAAAAGAGAGAAATTTTAAAGCTGGTTGTCCGGGGGAGACATCACATGTCGGCAGGTTCCATGATGCCCAATGAGCTGCAAAACCAGCAAGTTTTTATTAGTGATTTTCAAAAAGGAAGAGAGTGTACAAATAGGGTGTGGGTCACAGAGATCACATGCTTCATAAGGTAACAAAATATTACAAGGCAAATGGAGGCAGGGCGAGATCACAGGACTGGGGCAAAATTAAAATTGCTAATGAAGTTTCGGGCACGCATTGTCATTGATAACATCTTATCAGGAGACAGGGTTTGAGAGCAGACAACTGGTCTGACCAAAATTTATTAGGTGGGAATTTCCTCATCCTAATAAGCCTGGGAGTGCTACGGGAGACCGGGGCTTATTTCAACTCTTATCAGCAACTGTAAAAGACAGACGTTCCCAGAGCGGCCATTTCAGAGACCTCCCCCTAAGAAAAAGAATTCAGTGATATTTCTCCTATTTGTTTTTGAAAGGAGAGAAATATGGCTCTGTTCTGCCTGGCTCTCAGGCAGCCAGACCTAATGGTTATCTCCCTTGTTCCCTGAACATCGCTGTTATCCTGTTCTTTTTTCAAGGTGCCCAGATTTCATATTGTTTAAACAATTTGTGCAGTTAATGCAATCATCACAGGGTCATGAGGTGACATACATCCTCAGCTTATGAAGATGATGGGATTAAGAGATTAAAGTAAAGACAGGCATAGGAAATCACAAGAATATTGATTGGGGAAGTGATAAATGTCCATGAAATCTTCACAATTTATGTTCTTCTGCCGTGGCTTCAGCTGGTCCCTCCGTTCAGGGTCCCTGAGTTCCCGCAACAACCTGTGATAAAAGACACCCTTGAGTCACCCTCTCCCCCCTCTTCCTAAAGTTAAGAATTTAGGAACTCTGTGGACTTAGAAAATGAGGAGCCAGGATAAAGCTGTCTGTGTGAATTGAATGGTAGCTGGTCATTCCAGAGGTGTTCAGAAACCTAGATATGACCTAGGAGGAAGGAGACCCACAGTACCTGAGCCTAGGGTGGAGTTGGGAGCAAGAAGAGGCAGGCAACCTCTGGAAAGTGGAAAGTAATCCACTGGGAATTCTCATAAATTTTAGGATGAGTGCAAGGCTTCCTAGAGCCTGTGTGATTGAGCCCTAAGCTGTTTTATCTAAACGTGAAAGGAAAGCCTGGGCCTGGAAAGCTGGAGTGCATGGAGAATTCAGATTATTCTTCAGTCTCAACCTTCTTTTCCACGCTAAGGAGAGCAGTTCATTGGCAGCTCTGTATAGGATGCCAAACATGTTTATCTGGTGGGTCTTCATGTTGCCTCACTTCCAGAAAATCTAAGAACTTTAAAAGACCGGCACGTTGTATACATGTACCCTAGAACTTAAAGTATATAAAAAAAAAACCCTCTAATAGTAGAAGGATCTCATTTTAAAAACTTTTACTCATAGTTGGGAACAAACTTTCCCTATATTAAAAGGAGACAGAACATCAATCTGAGTGTACACAATGCAAAATTCTGAACCAATTCCTGTTTTGTGGAACTGTTTTCTGGATATATTATATGCAGTGGACAGGTAGGTCCTTGTAGCCCACTGTTTTCTCTGAGGGATCCAGAACTAATTCCAGGAAAAAGCAGAAAGACTCTCAAGCTTATGGTTTTGATGCCTCCTTTGCCCATGAAGAAGATGCTATTTTCCATCAGCAATCTATTTGCATGAGCCACTTTGTATGTACAAACTAAAAATGAACAACATTGACCAAAACTCTCAGCAGTGGGGGCAATGTGATGAATGGATGATGACTCTTTCTCTCTCCCAGCCTTATCACCAAACCCCTCCATTTCAACGCTCAAAAAAGTAACTAAAACAAGGGAAACCCAAGGTTTCACAAAAATGACAAATTCAATTTGATTAGAACAAACTCCCGCTTTCCTCAAAGGTATATGCTCCTGCACCGTTCTGGCTTTGAAATTGAACTTTGGGAATAAAGGTTTGAAAGATCACCTTGGTTTTGGGGGGACCCATGTGGCAAATTACCTCTCCTCTATTTCTGTAAAAAATGAGGATTCAGAGAAAACTTGGAACCCCAAAACTTCCCTCTAAAAATGTAAACTTCTGCTGAAGAGGATGTCATGTTTACGACAATAACAACAACCAAAGCAGGTCATTGTGATGACAGGCGGGTTAGTCACATGCCTGTTCACATTCCATCTGCAGCTTAGACTCTAAAACCCTTTGGCTTAACGTCTCCCCTTTGGAGGCTGAAAAACAAATAGAATAATGGAGAACATTTAGCTCCAGAGGATTTAGTAATCTTTTCATCCATTTGATTTATAAAACTGATTGGAAGGAATGGAGAAGCTTCTCTT
Organism: Homo sapiens; assembly: GCF_000001405.40. NCBI lineage: Eukaryota > Metazoa > Chordata > Mammalia > Primates > Hominidae > Homo > Homo sapiens. The sequence continues at coordinate 13,119,774 of NC_000023.11, forward strand.
GTTGTTACCATTTAGCTCTTTACCTTGATGCTCTATTTTGCTCCCTTAAAGCTTTTAATGGTCCCAGATAAATCAGAGCTTTCACATCACCCTGCCACTTTCTGCAATCTGAATACTCTGTGTCCTAATCTAGGATCGAACAAGTTTAAAAGATCATTTGCTTTTGAACGCGGTTTGCTGAGTCTTTCTACCCTCCATGGAGATCTTCTGCATTGAAAAATTCACAATTCTGGTTCAGCTTGAACTTGGGTTTTCCAAAAGTTTCCACTGGACTCCTTAAGGATGAAAAGAGGAAAGTCTTAGAGACAAGACAGAAGGCAGGCGCTAAGGCCAGCCAGAGCGAAAAAGATTTCTAGGAGTTAGCAGCCAAATAAAACAACGGCAAACAAAACAAACCCAGGCTGCCCTTTCCTCTGCTCTGCAGGCTCTTATCTGTTGGTGAACTCAGCCGCCTCAGTCTAGAATACTCAGCCCCAGCGTCACTGAGAAGGCTGAGTTTGTGCCTGTCCGTCCCAGGTACCTCTCAGCACCCTGCACAGTCTTTGTTCCAGCACATTCCTCATAGTTTTGTAACTATTTGTCCACTGGTCTGTCACCACTAACATCTAGCACCCTCTCGTCTAGTCTGTGTTCCTTGTGTATATTCCTAACTAGTACTAGTGTGTTAACTAGTAGATAAATTCTACCAGAATTTAAATTCTTATTCTCATAGGACAGGGATTTTCGACCTCAGCTCTTTTGACATTTGGGGCCAGATCATTCTTTAGGTGTGGGCTGTCTTATGTATTGTGGGATGTTTAGCAGCAGCCCTGGCCTCGGCCTACTGGACGCCAGGAGCACCCCCCACCCCCCAAATTGCTGCAGTGGAAAATGTTTCCGGGCTTTGCCAAATGTCCCCTGTGGAGCAAAATCTGCGCCGTCCCCCCAAACCTCTTGAGAACCACTGCTGCAGAGTAATACGAAAAATATGGGTTGAATGATTTAGTCCACATGGTCTCTAATCACAGGGACTCTCCAAAGCTATCAAAATTGTCCCTTATTTTTATTTTTTAGAAGAAAGCATCAACGTTTTACTGATGTAACCACCAGCTTCTACTTTAGACACATATTTTAAAATCACATTAAAACCAAAGTTTTTTGTTTGTTTGTTTTTATTTTTGTTTTTGTTTTGTTTTGTTTTTTAAAGTATCCCTGAGAGGTAGGTTTACTTAGCAGGGTCTCTAGGGTAGTAGTTAAGAGCATAGAGTGTGGAACCAACTGCTTCAGTTTAAAATCCAGTTCTACCATAAACCACCTGCATGATCTTGGGGAAGTTACCTAACCTCTCTGTGTGAAATCCTCAGCTATGTAATGATCCAAGTAATCTAAATTATAATGTAGAATAATAATAATACTGCCTGCTGAATAGGGTTGTTGAAAGGGTTAATATTTGAGTTAATATTTGAAAAGCTCTTAGAACAGTTCCCAGCACAAAGTAAGCAAGATATAAACATTAGCTCCAAGCCAAGAAGTACAGGGTTTTCAAAAAGTCTCTAAATTCAAGCACATTTGTTTAGAACTATTTGGAAGCCTTATGTTTCTGCTGCCAAAGGGATCAGAGTAGACCCTGCAATATGTACAAAACATCTCTATACTTCCAACATTTTGGAACTGAATTATAAATTTCCAGTCAGCTCTGTAACTTTCTATTCTTAAGACTTTACTTTCCTTCCGTTGTGACTTCAACTACTCAATGTAGAAAGTAAGAAATACAATGAGTCTCAGAAATAAAATGGGAAATCTCATTGCCTATTGTATGTGCTAGTCAGTGTTTCACACTTAACTACTAGAGGCAAACACAATGGAAACCAGTTGGCTGCCATTTTGATAACACATTCAAGTTTATTTGTGTTCTCTGGGCCATTCATCTCTAGGGAATTTCTCTTTGTTTATTCTTCTTCCCTTTTTGTGTACAAAAAAAGAATTTAAAATATGTTATGCCTTTGTCCTCACTGTGTAGTGGTGTTTAGACTAGCATCTGTGATAATAACAGTATTTGTTGCCATTCTTCAACATTGTATTTTGGAGGCAGCATGGTGTGGGGATGAGGACATGGCTTTGGGGCTCTATTTCCAGTTTTACAACTAACTAGATATGTCACCTTGGGTGAGGCACTTAATTTCTCAATGGCTGTTTCTCCACGTGTATGGTAAAACTGATGTTACTACTCTCATCAGAGAGTTTTAGTGAGACTGAAAGGAAAGTTCATCTTCAGAAGTCGGCACAGAGCAAGACTCATGGTTGAGGTTCTGTAGATATTAGCCATTACCATTCCTAATATCTCACAACCACAGTGGAGGTAATAATTTTTCAAGCAGTTTTATGCTTATTGTCTCATTTGACGAGAGTATTGTTCAAAAAGTAGGGGAAGGTGATTTTAATGAACTGAATATTTATGTCCCTCCCAAATTCACATATTGAAATCCTAACATCCAATGTGATGGTATTAGCAGGTAGGGCCTTTGGGAGGAAATTAGGTCATGAGGGTAGAGACCTCATGAATGAGACGTGTGCCCTTATAAAAGAAACCCCAGGAAGTTGTCTTACCCTCTTTCCTCCTGAAGAAGGATCTCACCAGAATCCAGTCATGTTGGCACCCTGATCTTGGACTTACAGCCTCCCGAACGATGAGAAATAATTTTTTGTTGTCGTTGTTTAAGAAGCCCGTTCTATGGTATTTTGTTATAGCAGCCTGAACTAAGACAGTGAATTTAGCCGCACATTAAAGAGAAGATGACCAAGGCAAAAAGATGGTGAGAAATTTGCCCAAGGTCACCAGTGACTTAGCATCAGTTCAATCTGGAACTGGATCCCCAAGACCCCAAGTCTCATGCACTTTTTTCCACCAGTGCTTCTCAAAAATTAATGTATACTCAGACAATCTGGGAATCCTGTTAAAACACAGATTCTGATTCAGCCAGTCTGGGGGAGGTGCTGAAATTCTGAATTTCTAACAAGCTCTGAGAAGGCGCCAATGCTGCTCGTTCATGGAACCCACTTGGAACAGTGAGGGTCTATAACTGGTTTCATCAACCTCTGGAACTTATGATTCCTTGAAGCTAAACTTTCATCAGAGTTCGAAGAAAAAAAAAGTGTGCAAAAAAAAAAATCACAAAACATATAATGAGATAACTCCCAAAGTTATTATAATCTCACTACTGTGAAGTTACAAGGGAGTTTATTACCAAAATACCCATCGAACTTCAAAGTGTCAGTACAAACAGGCAACCCTCAATTTTGCCAAGGCCTACAATCAATGAAAAGTTTCTATTCTGTTGCCTGATTGGAGGTCCTGCTGGGAGACACAAAAGTCCCTTCCCTCCTTCCCTTCATTTAGCACCAGGGAGTTCATTACCAATGGGGGCTCCATGCAAAAGAACATTTCTCTATCTTCTGAAAATTGATTGCTCCCTCTCTCTGTACATTTGTTTTTCATTTACACAGATATTTCAGCTATTTTTGATTTGTGGTGTAACCTAGGTAACCTAAATCAGCTAAAATAAGAACTAATTCCAACCTCCAGATCAAATGGCAAACCACACCTGAGCTTTGCACAGATCAAGTAGCAGAAGGAATAGCGAGGTTTTTGTGAGGAGGGCTGCCTTCTTTGATCTGATGTGGCCCGGACAGCATGGGAGCCGGTGCAGATGTGTAAGAGAGGCTCAAGTGCCACTTTGGAAGATTCACCAAGAAGAGTGCATTCTTCTCTCTTCTGGTTTCTCCATATTGTTCTTTTGGGTGTTCACTTTCAGATTCTGCTGGCCTTTGCATATTAGAGAAGAGGTTGGCAAACTTTGTCTGTAAAGGGTCAGCCAGTAAATATTTTCGGCTTTGAAGGCCACATACACGGTCTCTGTCACAACTACTCAACTGTGCCCTTTGAGCTCAAAAGCAGCCACAGACAATATGTAAACAATTGGGCATGGCTATGTTCCAAATAAACTTTATTCATGGACACTGAAATCCTAATTTCAATTAATTTTCATTTGTCATGAAATATTATTTTCCTTTTGATTTTTTTTCACCATTTAAAAATGTAAAAACCACTCTGCTTGCAGGCTGTATAAAACCAGGCGGCAGGCCGGAGGACTTGGCTCACAGGCCATAGTTTGTCTACCGTTATACATATTAGAGTCATACAAGTACAGCCAAATGCAACATTCTCATAAAACATAATGTTAAAAATCAGATGGAGAATAGACCTCCAGATTTCCTGCGTTTATGATGACAGCTTTACAGGAAACCAAAACTGTGTGCTGGGGACTGTTCTGGGTATTCTGCAAATGTTTTTTCGTGTTTGTCTTTGGTATATAATACATTCTCATTTCCTAGGGCTGTTTAGTTTGTGAATGTGAAACTGTCGACTTCCTGTGTCAACTTCAAGTAGCTAAGTTTTCCTATTTGTTTGAATTCCTGTAGTGGACCCTCATCTTATATTTATTTATTTTGGCTCCAAAGACTGACCATATTCATAGTAAGAGTTTGGCAATGTAAGTAGTCATTTTCTGCAAAGAAATATATTCTGACCGAATCATTTCACTGAAACCTCCTAAACCATGAACTTTTATTCTAGAACTAATAAGTGTTTGTGGCAAAGTTCTTTAGCCCTTTGGCTTGTACATTTTATGGCTACAAAAAGGTAGTTGGAATTTTTTTTTTTCGTGAAGGAATTTCATGCATAGCCCAGGACTGTTTTAAGTGTAGAATTTATCTTTGCAACATGCATCTTCAACATGCATGTATGCTTTCTGAGTATGTGCAATTATTCTACTTTTGTGTTAGATGTTCTAAGCTTTTGTGTCTTTCTTGTCACATCATATACAGATTCCTTTCAACCATTACCTTATACATACCCTTTAACTTCAATAGCTTTAGCTGTAGGAATGTCTGTAAAGTCACAAAATTAATTTTCTCCAAACACCACATTCATTTATCCCTCCCCTTAGTGGCACGAACTTAACACAAGGCACACGAGCTTTCAGACTTGAGATTCTTTTTTTATGACTTCTTTAAACCATCATCTAATTGTTGATCTGACAGATTGCATACTCAGAGTAAGTTTATTAACCAGAGCATCTTTTTTGATACCATAAAATTAATTTATTTCTGCCCCAAGAGTGCATTTTGGGAGTGGGTTAGTAAGAAACATCTGAATCATAATCATTTTTGGAACATCCCTTGTACTCCATAAAAATAACATTGATTCAGAACCACTCCCAATTCTCTGCTCCTTCAGGAGACAGGATAGTGGAATTGATTAGCGCTCAGCTGCTGAATGCTGAAGGACGCCCACAGGCCTGGAAAAGACTTGGCTAGGCCTCTGCCAATACCCCTGACGGAAGAAGGGAACATTGGTCGGCTCCCTTTCAGATAATGTGCTTGGGTTTTGCCGTACCTTTGAAAAGACATTGAGACATAAAGGCTTTGTCAGAAGAGGAGGAGGATGCAGGAGGGTGAAGGCTGCAGCCTTGGCCCAGCTGAAGTGCCCCACACAAATTTTCAGATCTCTGACATCTGTGTTTCCTCTGGCCTGACCTTTTCCTAGTCCTTCCCTGGCTTAAGGGGTAGCAGTCCCAAGAATACAAGCCTATGTCACAACACCCTGCATGATCAAGGACGTCCCTGGGTGGCCTAACAATAAAAGCACAGCATTCTGGAGGAAAGAACAAAAAATGGACAAGAAGAATGCCAAATAAGCAAATCTGCAATGTCATAAGGGTCAAGGTAGTCAATGTCTGTTTTATTGCCAATTCACAGAACAGAAAAAAATGTAGCTTTAAAACGATAACAACAACAATAAAAGCATATCCACTGGCACATCTTCCTTGTTTTCAGTGATTAATGCTTTGAAGAAAGTTGATTGGAAGAGAAACACAGTCATCTTAAAATACAGACATGTGCTTTTTTGCTTATAAGCAACTGTAGCTCAGAACTCCAATCACTTCTGTTTTGCCCTTCAAATTTCCATCCGTGGTAGACATGTCAAGAAGGAACACCCCATTATTCTCAATTAGCTGCCCTCCTGGAGGAGGTAGGTACACACACGATGCAAAAGTCATTTCTGTTTGACTCAAGATTAATTATTATTGTTATTATTATTATTATTATTATTTTGACACAGAGTCTCGCTCTGTTGCCTAGGCTGGAGTGCAGTGACACACACAATCTTGGCTTACTGCGACTTCTGCCTCCTGAATTCGTGATTCTCCTGCTTCAGCCTCCCAAGTAGCTGGGATTACAGACATATGCCACCATGTATTTTTAGTAGAGACAGGGTTTGCCATATTGGCCAGGCTGGTCTCGAACTCCTGGCCTCCTGCTATCTTTCTGCCTCGGTCTCCCAAAGTGCTGGGATTACAGGCGTGAGCCACCGCGCCTGGCCACCTCAAGATTAATTACATGGTGTCAGTTGCACTAGATGTACCCTTCTGATCTTTGGATGATGCTTGCGTTAGACTAATGTTAGGTGCACTGCTATTCCCTGAGCACACCTTCTGATGAAATGCACCCAAACCCAAAGTTCCCAGAGCTGTCCCATTACAGCTTGAGGAACTTTCCATTGCTATGACCAGAGGAGCAGCAAGATTTCTTCTCTAAAGACCGTGCCCAGGAATCATGTGCTTTCCCATTTGCTTTTTTTGAGGTAACAACCCTTATTCCCACGATGTGTCAACTGAAGCAGAAATCAGTGGACAAGTTTGGTCATTTGTCAAAACTGCACAAAGCTCTTTATTCTAGTGCAGGGTTCTCAGCACTATTGACATCTTGTGCTGGATCATTCTTTGCTGGGGCCAGGGGACTGTCCTGTGTGCTGTAGGATGTTTAGTAGCATCCCTGGCCTTCACCCACTAGATGCCAGAAGCACTCTCCGCCCCTGCCCCCTGTCATTTATGACAACTAAAATTGTCATGGAACATTGCCAATGCCCCCTGGGGGCAAAGTTGCTCCTGATTGAGCACCACTGCTCTGGTATGAGAGAATTGTGGGGGTACACAGGGCAGCCAATCTTATTTATTGCAGTTCGGCTCAGTTTGAATCACCAGTCATTCTTTTCCAGACCTTTGAAGTACAGGACAGGCAGTCATGCAAGGTAAACCGCCATCCCTATGAAGAAAGCGACCCTCCCTTATCTCTAGCTCCTAGTCTGGTGATTAGTTGAATTACATTTTTTTTTTTTTTGCCTGTGAATTTTCTCTTTCCACTGTGCACTTAAAGTCTAGGAACTGTTGACTCACTTTTCTTGGTAACTGGGACACTTTGGCTTCAGATTCCCTCAGTTTCAGATGCCAATTTCCATTTCATACACAAATGTCTTAACTCAAGGGTGCCCCAAGAATCTTGCTCACAGCATATGCTTGAAGGAACGTTTCTGTCCTGGGAAAGGTTTATCTCTGTACATTTTCTTCCTCATAGCGTTTCTTCAACTTTCTCTCTGAGCCTAGTTTTTCACAGTCCTCATTGGCCGTCAGTGATCTCCAAGTCTCTGTTGCCGGTCACCACATTCTCACTACTCAGGAAGCCCTCTTCTGGGACCTCAGTCCTGGGCATTGTCTCTTCACAGACAATCAGTCATCCACAGTAGAGAGAAGAGGGTAAATCTTGGAATTATTGGCTGACTCTTTGTGGGCATCTAAACCTCCCTAAGCAGAATGTCCGCAGCTTTCACTGCATATCCAGAGGGATTTAGTACACACACAAATCTCCAGGCCCTAGCCCATCAGAGGTTAACTGCACTTTGAGATCCTTGGAATAGTGGTTCATACTCTATCCATGATCTTTATGGGAAAGCATTTATTTTATTATTTCAAAAATGCACATTGAACACTACTGTGTACTAGGTACTGTGCTAGGTATTAGGAATTCAGCATTAGTAAGAGAAGCAGTCCCTACTCTTGTGGAGGTTATAATATTGGAATGAGCTGGCTCAAGGAGAAAAGGGTCTGGCACACAACCCTGAATGTGGTCAGTGTCTCCGATCATTTTAGAAAAATTAAACAACAACAAAAACTTGTGCAAGTTTCACAATGGAAGGATCCTTCCATGCATCCATATAGATCCAAAACATTGCTAAGTGAGAGCAAATATCATGAGAAACATGGAGTCTAAGAAAGCAAACAGACAGAAAGCCACATGAACCTTTTGTATCGGGGAAAACTCATACAGGACTTTTGGTCTAAGTTTTTGAAAGAGGAGTGTTAAGCTCAAATACTTCCTCAGAAAACTTAAAGAAAACCTGAAGAATTCATTGAAGTACAAATTGAACTAGAGAAGCCTTCAATGATGATGTGAGGTGTTTTATTTTGGTTTTACCCCTTCATCTTACAGTGCTAGAAAAGAAAAGCTGCTAGATTTGGGGGAGTGGAAAGGTCCTCAAACAACCTGGTTCCTTCATCATTTTGATCTCTTAGCCCTTGGTGATTTTATTCTGCATGGAGAATGGCTATAGGAAAATGACATAGACCATTATTTCTCTTGATTGAGTCATGTAAACATGCTATTGCAAAATATCAGAAGTTATGAGTCAGAAGTTATGCCAGAGACTATTATATAATAGGTTCCCCTATTTTTAGAAAATATGGTCAAAACCCATTTTAAAAACTAGATTTTGATTTTTTGGCATACTATGCCTTGGGGGATCTGTAGCAAGACACAAAGCCATCATATCCCACTCATTAACTGTTAAAGAAACTACTGTCCAGAAAAAGAAAATTGAGAGCACTATGATTGTATTTTAGATCAGAAAGACAAGCAATAGAACTAACATGGTTATTTCAATAAAAACACCTAAGAAATAAGGAAAGTCTTATGTCACTAGATAAGAGAAGGCAGTTTTTCAACAGGGATCTATGGAAATAACACCTTAAAAGACAGATGAGAGAGTTTCAGTTTTGGTGAGAATCATTTGACATACTTCGGAGTGGTTTGATTTTTTTCAAATATTTCCAAAATGAATACATGCTAATATATATTGTATATATATATATGTGTGTATATATATATATATATACATGTATATATACATGTATATATATATACGTATATATATATATGTATATATATATGTATATATATATATGTGTATATATATATATATATATATATATTTTTTTTTTTTTTTTTTTTTTTTTTTTTGAGACGGAGTCTTGCTCTGTCGCCCAGGCTGGAGTGCAATGGCGTGATCTCGGCTCACTGCAAGCTCCACCTCCTGGGTTCACGCCACTCTCTTGCCTCAGCCTCCTGAGTAGCTGGGACTACAGACACCCACTACCACACCTGGCTAATTTTTTTATATTTTTAGTAGAGACGGGGTTTCACTGTGTTAGCCAGGATGGTCTCGATCTCCTGACCTCGTGATCTGCCTGCCTCGGCCTCCCAAAGTGCTGGGATTACAGGCATGAGCCACCGTGCCTGGCCTATTGTAAATATTTTTGAGTCTCCCTGTTGGGATAAGAGACATGTTCGGGCACTGAGAAAACTTAACCTGAGCCCTCTTAACCACCATCAAAGTATCAAAGAGAAGGGAATGGGCACTGGATGACTGAAGAATTGGGATTCTAATGGATAAGAGTCTAACGTGATCACCAAAGGTTTGGTTTCTGAACTCCTAATAGAGAAAGCAGTCATGATCAGAATTGAGTGAGGGCTCTCTGGAAGGAGTAATGTCAGACCAATCTAATATCTTTAAAAATATAAAGTTATTACATTGGTGGGATAGTGATAGGATAAACTTAGGGAGAAGACAATGAACCCATTGCTTTACAACAGACACGATTCAAAGATTCTCCAACACATTTATGATTTCCTACTGGTTGGTATCTAGTAATATGACAAAATACATAAAATATTATTTTTAGAGAGATGAAAGGCCCTGTATTAAACAACACCAATGTTATTTTAAAAAGTCTTGTGATTATGTATATGGTTCTTACTATTTTTCTTTGAACAACAGGCAAGTTGTTTGAGGGCCCATAAAGCGACAGAGATAGTAAATAGATCACAGACATAAATAAAAATATTATCATGTTAACTTACTATTTATAGGCATTTGGAAATTGCACGAAGCATGCATAACAGAAGTTTGACATGGATTATCCCCAGAGCTCTTTCCTGTGACCCATCTAGTGGAAATCATCCCAGAAATCCTAGAGGTTAGGTGTTTTTGCTGGGAGGAATAACACTACTGGAGTTAAACAAACCAACTATTTGGACACTCCCAGTCTCCCCACCTGCAACTGCCTCAGCAGTGGAAACATGAGGCCAGAGATCACAGGAACTCATGTGAAGATGCCTCTAAGTGGTTACTATTCTTGTAACAAATTTACCAACAAAGCACATGGATCTTCAATTATCTCTGTTTAAATTTAAGGAGAAGTGCCAGCACTGAAGGGTAACCTCAAATAGGAGCCCTCTTTTACACACACACATGCACGTGTACACACACACGATACACACATGATAAATAGCAGGACATAATTTGTTTATTTCTCCAACACTTCTCACTCACCAGACTGTCAGATCAATTACCAAGATGACTGAAATAAATAAACACAATTGTAATCCTTTATCACTAGATCACAGAGAAACCATTTCTAGAACCTGAAACTCAGACGAGTCTCTGTTACTGGACAGGGGCGTCAAATGGGAGAAGTAAAGGCTGTTTGAGGCTTGTATTCATTTGAGATGGCACTGGCTTCTGGATCTTTACAATGTGTCTCCCCTCTCCTGGAGGAGAAAATGACTGCTGTGGAGATTAGGATAAATAAAATGCACTTGATTCAGCTTGTTTTTTCTTTGCACCGGAAACTCCATCCAATGCACGTGGCCTTGAAAATAGATGCTGGGCTTGGAAAGAAAATAAGTACCTGCAGAGAGACAGAATTCAGAAGCAAGAAGGATCTTCTCTGGGTGGCCACCACTACCAGATTCCATTTTATTTCTAAAATTATAATTTCTGTGTTCATCCATTTGTTTGCATGGGGCTTTCTCATTTTGCATTGTTTTGTTTATTTTGATTTTGTTCTGTAGTCCAATACCAACACACTGAGGAATAGCTTCTAGGCAGTGTTTATGAACAGCTGAAGGCAAGGATCAAGTTAAATAGCACATATACTCCCAGTGAGATTTTCCTCTTTGCACTTTATAATCTTCACATTGCTAAATTCCTTAAACTACAATTGATTCTCTCTGCAAGAATTGCCAAGACACTGTCAAAGCCAACTTCAAAAAGCTAGAAACACGACCTTTATACAAATATATGGTGAGCATGTATCAAAGACATATTTAATTCATTAATGAGGAAACCAGCATGTAGGAGAAACATAAACACACACACACACACACACACTCTCAGTGGGAAAAAAGTTAAAATGTGATTGCAAAGATAGATACAGAACTCTTGTGTCCTACACGGCAATAAAACTGTAACCTTTGGATTTTGGGGGGGTTTTTGTTTGTTTTGTTTTGTTTGTTTTTTTTTTTGGTTTTATTTTGTTTTGTTTTTTACCGAATAGAAAGGAGCTGCAACTCTACTTTGCAAAAGTCATTTGTAACTTATCAAATTACCAGTTACAATCTACCTTCATAGAGTAGATGCTTCAGATCCTAGTCAGTCATAAATAGGTAAGTCAAACCATGGTGCATTTCCCTAGAGAATGAAATATTCCTGGATGGTTTTGGTAGACAGTGCTTCAGTATGAGTTGGCAAGGACATGCAGTCATCCTTTTGCTTATTTCCAAGTGTTGTATCACTTTTCTTCACAGAGCCACACAAAGGCATTCTGTCTACAGTTTAGTAGATGAAGTTTTGTGGGTCTTGGTGGCTGAAATACCCTTGTAACTTCCCTCAAAGCCCCACGTCATAAAAAGCTTCAGCAACCAAAGGAAAATGCTAATGTTTCAAAATGGAACTCTTGAAAGATTTGTCTTTCTAAAAACAAGCTTTTGTCATGCACCCAAGGCAAAGGTGGCCCCCATCTCCGCCCAGCACCTCACTTGACTATAGGGCAGCAATCTGCAGTGGACTGTTTGTCAATGCTCCATTGTATGCTGAGGTTCTGAGGGGTGTGACCACCCACAGCTGGCCACAGCTCCTCCATTTACATTTGCTAGCCCACGCTTGCAGCCAGAAAGCCTTTTAGAATGTTGCAACAAACAAAACCAAAAGCCCACAGGCCATCTCAGGCAGAGGAAACCACAGACAGACACACTGTCTTCCACAGGCTCCCAACTCTAGTTGACCCTGTTTATGTCTTAGTATTTTAAGTCTGTGACCTTAGCAAAGGTTCAACATGCAGTGCCAACTGAGCAGGCAGAAACAGAAGTACAGTTCTTGCCACAGGATTTGGAGGCACAAGAATTCAATTTGAATTCTGTGTCCACCATGTACACATCATGTAACTGTACCTGCCCTGAGTCTTGGTTTTTTCTTTTTTTTTTTTTTCTCTAATTGTTTTGGTATCTATCTATCTTAAGGTAAACATGGTTTTGAAGTAATGTCACTTTTTTATTTATTTTTTATTATTATACTTTAAGTTTTAGGGTACATGTGCACAATGTGCAGGTTAGTTACATATGTCTACATGTGCCATGCTGGTGTGCTGCACCCATTAACTCATCATTTAGCATTAGGTATATCTCCTAATGCTATCCCTCCCCACTCCCCCCAACCCACAACAGTCCCCAGAGTGTGATGTTCCCCTTCCTGTGTCCATGTGTTCTCATTGTTCAATTCCCACCTATGAGTGAGAATATGCGGTGTTTGATTTTTTGTCCTTGCGATAGTTTACTGAGAATGATGATTTCCAATTTCATCCATGTCCCTACAAAGGACATGAACTCATCATTTTTTATGGCTGCATAGTATTCCATGGTGTATATGTGCCACATTTTCTTAATCCAGTCTATCATTGTTGGACATTTGGGTTGGTTCCAAGTCTTTGCTATTGTGAATAGTGCCGAAATAAACATACGTGTGCACGTGTCTTTATAGCAGCATGATTTATAGTCCTCTGTGTATATACCCAGTAATGGGATGGCTGGGTCCAATGGTATTTCTAGTTCTAGATCCCTGAGGAATTGCCACACTGACTTCCACAACGGTTGAACTAGTTTACAGTCCCACCAACAGTGTAAAAGTGTTCCTATTTCTCCACATCCTCTCCAGCACCTGTTGTTTCCTGACTTTTTAATGATTGCCATTCTAACTGGTGTGAGATGGTATCTCATTGTGGTTTTGATTTGCATTTCTTTGATAGCCAGTGATGGTGAGCATTTTTTTGTGTGTTTTTTGGCTGCATAAATGTCTTCTTTTCAGAAGTGTCTGTTCATGTCCTTTGCCCACTTTTTGATGGGGTTGTTTGTTTTTTTCTTGTAAATTTGTTTGAGTTCATTGTAGATTCTGGATATTAGCCCTTTGTCAGATGAGTAGGTTGCGAAAATTTTCTCCCATTGTGTAGGTTGCCTGTTCACTCTGATGGTAGTTTCTTTTGCTGTGCAGAAGCTCTTTAGTTTAATTAGATCCCATTTGTCAATTTTGCCTTTTGTTGCCATTGCTTTTGGTGTTTTAGACATGAAGTCCTTGCCCATGCCTATGTCCTGAATGGTAATGCCTAGGTTTTCTTCTAGGGTTTTTATGGTTTTAGGTCTAACGTTTAAGTCTTTAATCCATCTCGAATTAATTTTTGTATAAGGTGTAAGGAAGGGATCCAGTTTCAGCTTTCTACATATGGCTAGCCAGTTTTCCCAGCACCATTTATTAAATAGGGAATCCTTTCCCCATTGCTTGTTTTTGTCAGGTTTGTCAAAGATCAGATAGTTGTAGATATGTGGCATTATTTCTGAGGGCTCTGATCTGTTCCATTGATCTATATCTCTGTTTTGGTACCAGTACCATGCTGTTTTGGTGACTGTAGCCTTGTAGTATAGTTTGAAGTCAGGTAGCGTGATGCCTCCAGCTTTGTTCTTTTGACTTAGGATTGACTTGGTGATGCGGGCTCTTTTTTGGTGCCATATGAACTTTAAAGTAGTTTTTTCCAATTCTGTGAAGAAAGTCATTGGTAGCTTGAGGGGGATGGCATTGAATCTATAAATTACCTTGGGCAGTATGGCCATTTTCACGATATTGATTCTTCCTACCCATGAGCATGGAATGTTCTTCCATTTGTTTGTATCCTCTTTTATTTCATTGAGCAGTGGTTTGTAGTTCTCCTTGAAGAGGTCCTTCACATCCCTTGTAAGTTGGATTCCTAGGTATTTTATTCTCTTTGAAGCAATTGTGAATGGGAGTTCACTCATGATTTGGCTCTCTGTTTGTCTTTTATTGGTGTATAAGAATGCTTGTGATTTTTGTACATGGATTTTGTATCCTGAGACTTTGCTGAAGTTGCTTATCAGCTTAAGGAGATTTTGGGCTGAGACAGTGGGGTTTTCTAGATGTACAATCACGTCATCTGCAAACAGGGACAATTTGACTTCCTCTTTTCCTAATTGAATACCCTTTATTTCCTTCTCCTGCCTAATTGCCCTGGCCAGAACTTCCAACACTATGCTGAATAGGAGTGGTGAGAGAGGGCATCCCTGTCTTGTGCCAGTTTTCAAAGGGAATGCTTCCAGTCTTTGCCCATTCAGTATGATATTGGCTGTGGGTTTGTCATAGTAGCTCTTATTATTTTGAGATACGTCCCATCAATACCTAATTTATTGAGAGTTTTTAGCATAAAGTGTTGTTGAATTTTGTCAAAGGCCTTTTCTGCATCTATTGAGATAATCATGTGGTTTTTGTCTTTGGTTCTGTTTATATGCTGGATTACATTTATTGATTTGTGTATATTGAACCAGCCTTGCATCCCGGGGATGAAGCCCACTTGATCATGGTGCATAAGCTTTTTGATGTGCTGCTGGATTTGGTTTGCCAGTATTTTATTGAGGATTTTTGCATCAATGTTCATCAAGGATATTGGTCTAAAATTCTCTTTTTTGGTTGTGTCTCTGCCCGGCTTTGGTATCAGGATGATGCTGGCCTCATAAAATGAGTTAGGGAGGATTCCCTCTTTTTCTACTGATTGGAATAGTTTCAGAAGGAATGGTACCAGTTCCTCCTTGTACCTCTGGTAGAATTCGGCTGTGAATCCATCTGGTCCTGGACTCTTTTTGGTTGGTAAGCTATTGATTATTGCCACAATTTCAGAGCCTCTTATTGGTCTATTCAGAGATTCAACTTCTTCCTGGTTTAGTCTTGGGAGAGTGTATGTGTCGAGGAATTTATCCATTTCTTCTAGATTTTCTAGTTTATTTGCGTAGAGGTGTTTGTACTATTCTCTGATGGTAGTTTGTATTTCTGTGGGATCAGTGGTGATATCCCCTTTATCATTTTTTATTGCGTCTATTTGATTCTTCTCTCTTTTCTTCTTTATTAGTCTTGCTAGCGGTCTATCAATTTTGTTGATCATTTCAAAAAACCAGCTCCTGGATTCATTAATTTTTTGAAGGGTTTTTTGTGTCTCTATTTCCTTCAGTTCTGCTCTGATTTTAGTTATTTCTTGCCTTCTGCTAGCTTTTGAATGTGTTTGCTCTTGCTTTTCTAGTTGTTTTAATTGTGATGTTAGGGTGTCAATTTTGGATCTTTCCTGCTGTCTCTTGTGGGCATTTAGTGCCGTAAATTTCCCTCTACACACTGCTTTGAATGTGTCCCAGAGATTCTGGTATGTTGTGTCTTTGTTCTCGTTGGTTTCAAAGAACATCTTTATTTCTGCCTTCATTTCGTTATGTACCCAGTAGTCATTCAGGAGCAGTTTGTTCAGTTTCCATGTAGTTGAGTGGTTTTGAGTGAGTTTCTTAATCCTGAGTTATAGTTTGATTGCACTGTGGTCTGAGAGACAGTTTGTTATAATGTCTGATCTTTTACATTTGTTGAGGAGAGCTTTACTTCCAAGTATGTGGTCAGTTTTGGAATAGGTGTGGTGTGGTGCTGAAAAAAATGTATATTCTGTTGATTTGGGGTAGAGAGTTCTGTAGATGTCTATTAGGTCTGCTTGGTGCAGAGCTGAGTTCAATTCCTGGGTATCCTTTTTAACTTTCTGTCTCGTTGATCTGTCTAATGTTGACAGTGGGGTGTTAAAGTCTCCCATTATTATTGTGTGGGAGTCTAAGTCTCTTTGTAGGTCACTCAGGACTTGCTTTATGAATCTGGGTGCTCCTGTATTGGGTGCATATATATTTAGGATAGTTAGCTCTTCTTGTTGAATTGATCCCTTTAGCATTATGTAATGGCCTTCTTTGTCTCTTTTGATCTTTGTTGGTTTAAAGTCTGTTTTATCCGAGACTAGGATTGCAACTCCTGCCTTTTTTTGTTTTCCATTTGCTTGGCAGATCTTCCTCCATCCTTTTATTTTGAGCCTATGTGTGTCTCTGCACGTGAGATGGGTTTCCTGAATACAGCACACTGATGGGTCTTGACTCTTTATCCAATTTGCCAGTCTGTGTCTTTTAATTGGAGCATTTAGTCCATTTACATTTAAAGTTAATATGGTTATGTGTGAATTTGATCCTGTCATGATGATGTTAGCTGGTTATTTTGCTCGTTACTTGATGCAGTTTCTTCCTAGCCTCGATGGTCTTTACAATTTGGCATGATTTTGCAGTGGCTGGTACCAGTTGTTCCTTTCCATGTTTAGCGCTTCCTTCAGGAGCTCTTTTAGGGCAGGCCTGGTGGTGAAAAAATCCCTCAGCATTTGCTTGTCTGTAAAGTATTTTATTTCTCCTTCACTTATGAAGCTTAGTTTGGCTGGATATGAAATTCTGGATTGAAAATTCTTTTCTTTAAGAATGTTGAATATTAGCCCCCACTCTCTTCTGGCTTGTAGAGTTTCTGCCGAGAGATCCGCTGTTAGTCTGATGGGCTTCCCTTTGTGGGTAACCCGACCTTTCTCTCTGGCTGCCCTTAACATTTTTTCCTTCATTTCAACTTTGGTGAATCTGACAATTATGTGTCTTGGAGTTGCTGTTCTCGAGGAGTATCTTTGTGGCGTTCTCTGTATTTCCTGAATCTGAATGTTGGCCTGCCTTGCTAGATTGGGGAAGTTCTCCTGGATAATATCCTGCAGAGTGTTTTCCAACTTGGTTCCATTCTCCCCGTCACTTTCAGGTACACCAATCAGATGTAGATTTGGTCTTTTCACATAGTCCCATATTTCTTGGAAGGTTCGTTCATTTCTTTTTATTCTTTTTTCTCTAAACTTCCCTTCTCGCTTCATTTCATTCATTTCATCTTCCATCGCTGATACCCTTTCTTCCAGTTGATCACATCGGCTCCTGAGGCTTCTGCATTCTTCACGTAGTTCTCGAGCCTTGGTTTTCAGCTCCATCAGCTCCTTTAAGCACTTCTCTGTATTGGTTATTCTAGTTATACATTCGTCTAAATTTTTTTCAAAGTTTTCAACTTCTTTGCCTTTGGTTTGAATTTCCTCCTGTAGCTTGGAGTAGTTTGATCGTCTGAAGCCTTCTTCTCTCAACTCGTCAAAGTCATTCTCTGTCCAGCTTTGTTCCGTTGCTGGTGAGGAGCTGCGTTCCTTTGGAGGAGGAGAGGCACTCTGCTTTTTAGAGTTTCCAGTTTTTCTGCTCTGTTTTTTCTCCATCTTTGTGGTTTTATCTACTTTTGGTCTTTGATAATGGTGATGTACAGGTGGGTTTTTGGTGTGGATGTCCTTTCTGTTTGTTAGTTTTCCTTCTAACAGACAGGACCCTCAGCTGCAGGTCTGTTGGAGTTTGCTAGAGGTCCACTCCAGACCCTGTTTTCCTGGGTACCAGCAGCGGTGGCTGCAGAACAGCGGATTTTCGTGAACCGCAAATGCTGCTGTCTGATCATTCCTTTGGAAGTTTTGTCTCAGAGGAGTACCCGGCCGTGTGAGGTGTCAGTCTGCCCCTACTGGGGGGTGCCTCCCAGTTAGGCTGCTCGGGGGTCAGGGGTCAGGGACCCACTTGAGGATGCAGTCTGCCCGTTCTCAGATCTCCAGCTGCGTGTTGGGAGAACCACTGCTCTCTTCAAAGCTGTCAGACAGGGACAGTTAAGTCTGCAGAGGTTACTGCTGTCTTTTTGTTTGTCTGTGCCCTGCCCCCAGAGGTGGAGCCTACAGAGGCAGGCAGGCTTCCTTGAGCTGTGGTGGGCTCCACCCAGTTCGAGCTTCCCACCTGCTTTGTTTACCTAATCAAGCCTGGGCAATGGCGGGCGCCCCTCCCCCAGCCTCACTGACGCCTTGCAGTTTGATCTCAGACTGCTGTGCTAGCAATCAGCGAGACTCCGTGTGCGTAGGACCCTCCGAGCCAGGTGCGGGATATTATCTCCTGGTGCGCCGTTTTTTAAGCCCGTCGGAAAAGCACAGTATTAGGGTGGGAGTGACCCGATTTTCCAGGTGCCGTCTGTCACCCCTTTCTTTGACTAGGAAAGGGAACTCCTTGACCCCTTGCGCTTCCCGAGTGAGGCAATGCCTCGCCCTGCTTCAGCTCGCGCACGGTGCGCTGCACCCACTGTCCTGCGCCCTCTGTCTGGCACTCTCTAGTGAGATGAACCCGGTACCTCAGATGGAAATGCAGAAATCACCCGTCTTCTGTGTCGCTCACACTGGGAGCTGTAGACCAGAGCTGTTCCTATTCGGCCATCTTCAATCTTGGTTTTTTCATCTGTACAGTGGGAATGGTAAGACTTAACTTACTACTCTATAGAACTGGTTTAAGATCAAACAAAAATATGTGTTCAAAGAGCTTGTTGTAATAAACATAGTTATCCTTATTGTTAAAAGCTACCCCATTCTGGATGCCAACTGTAAAGGGTGCTTTATATACATTAACTGGGATCACATAAAGAGCCACACAGCTGTTGGTTATTAGGAGCATGTATGACAAATACTGTCACTTGCATACCAATATCTCTTCATCCCTTTCTTCCATGCTAACATAATCTCAATTCTCTTTGCAGTAGCAGTATGCCCAGCTCTGTTCCCTAGACCTTCTTGTAGCTAGGAGAAGCCATGTGACCTGATTCTGGGCAATGAGACCTAAGCAGAAATCTTCCAGAAAGCCTTTGCCTCTGTGATAATAATGGCAGCAGCCACTCCAGCCGGCCTGCTGCTACCATCACACTGCCTGCAGCAGGGAGGCGCAGCTGAGGCTGCAGCTCTGTGGAGCCGGTGGGACCCCACCCCTTTTGAGTTGGGGCAGGAGCTCCCTGGGTGCTGCTGCAGCCACCCAAACCTTGGCTGCAGACCCAGGGCTCCCACTCCATGGAGCAGGTGGGAGACCTGCCCTCCTAGGCGCAGCTGCATCTGCCCAAACTGCAGCTTTAGACCCAGGCATCCTTGTACTCTTGGGGGCCTGGGAAGGCCCCCGCCCTGCTCTCACAGGCTTGGAAGTGCCCGGTCCCACTGCCTGCTTTCTCCCTGCCGTTGGCACCTGCTCCAATCTCGGATCAAAGTTGGGCCGAGCCCAGGCACCATGAGCAACAGTGGGAGGCAGACAGGTTCCTGGGCAGAAGGGGGTGGGTCCCCAGTGAAGCCCCACCTTCAGGCTGGGGAAGACCTGAAGCCTGGGGACTGGGCTACCAGTCCTATGGACCAGAAGGGCGGGTTGTGGTGCTTTTTCCTGGGCCCGCCCATGGCTGCACATGAACCAGTCAGCACACACTTCCCCCTCTGAGGCCCATAAAAGCCCCAGGCTCAGACAGAGCAGAGCAGATGAGGGGACTACCATCTGCAGAGAGGAGCTACCCTCTCACCCTCTCTGCTAATAGCAGGAGACATCAGGATGACCAGCTGCATAGAGGAGCTACCCACTCTAGGGCCTCCTCCCTCGTAAGAGCTTCAGAGACGTACAGAGATGATGGGATGAACTGCCTGCAGAAAGGAGCTTCCCACTCCAGGGTCTCCCCTCTGCTAGGAGCTGAACACTCAATGGGACACTTTGGCTGTGGAAAGGAGCTGCTCCTGCAGGTCTTCTGTGAGCTACTCTATTGCTCAATAAAGCTCCTCTTCATCTTGTTCACCCTCCACTTGTCTACATACCTTATTCTTCTTGGTTGCAGGATAAGGACTCAGGACCTACCGAATGGCAGAACTAAAAGAGCTATAACATAAACAGGGCTGAAACGTGCCCTGTGCTCACCACGCTGTGGGTGAAGAGAAGGAGAGAAGAGATGCAGCCACTCAGGGAGCCCAGACCTGGGAGCTCCCCGAGCCCAGGCTGTGACTCCCTCTTTGAGGTCCTGTGGTTTCTGGTGTTTGCTGAGCTCCTGAACACCACCACATTCCCTGGTGCCAGCTGGGGAAGCTGCTTGCCATGCACATGGTCAAGCCACAGCCTCACAGAGAGCCAGTGTCTGTTCCAGCACCTGGAGCTGCCCGCCCCACTGCAGCAGCCAGCATGCCTGACTGTGTGCAGTGGCCGGACCCCATGCTTGCTCGTTCACACACCCCCTGCCACTCCCCACCTGGCTCACCCTTGGCAGGTGTGGGATCCAGGCTGGTAGTGTGAACCAAGCACAGCCTGCCAGGCCAGGTGAGCAGAACGAGGTGAGCAGGCCTGAGCAAAAGTCAGGCAAAGGCACCACTGGCCACAGAGTTTTCTGGCCAGAAAAGCAACACCCCAAAGATCCCATGAAAATAAAAGGAGACTGAGCCAGCTGGTGTGGACTTTCCCTTTTCTCTTCCCATTTTCCTCCTGCTTGAATACAGAAGGGATGCTTGTTACCATGAAAATGAGGGAAAGACTAAGACAACTGCACAGACATGGGCCCAGCCAGAATGGGGCACAGCTTTGATCTGAACATTGACAACTGCCTGTCTTCAAAATTCATGTTACATAAGAAAAAAAAAACCTGTAAGTTTAAGCCATTCAAGTTGGGTTTTCAGTTATTTGCATCTGAACACAACACTAAGCATACAATGTGCATGAAGCAATAAAAGAGCTGTGTCTATGGAAGTTTGGTTAGTCAATTAATGCCACCTTCTCTGTGAAATCCCAGGGACTTTGAGTTCTGGTCTCTGGCTTTACTTTTTTCTTTTTTTAAATTTTTTTGTTTTTGAGACAGGGTCTCACTCTGTCACCCAGGTTGGAGTGCAGTGGCGTGCATGATCATGGCTCATTGCAGCCTCGAATGAGCAAATGATCCTGCACCCTAGGAGCAGGTAATCCTCCCACGTCAGCTTCCCAAGCAGCTGGGACTAAAGGCATGTACCACCATGCCCAGCTAATTTTTTATTTTTTGTAGAGACAGGGTTTCACTATGTCGTCCAGGCTGGTCTCAAACTCCTGGGCTCAGGGGGTCCTCCTGCCTCAGCCTCCCAAAACGCTGGGATTACAGGCATGAGCCACCATGCCTGGCTGGTCTCTGGCTTTTCTTATGGAACCACAATGGCCTCTATAACCTTCTCCCCCCAAAAACTTTAAAAGTTATCTTCCAATGGCCAATTCTTCAAAATTAAGCATGTATTTATTCCCAAAACTAAGATTGGCTCTTGACATGAAGCAACTGTTTCTAAGCACATTATCCATTATTTCTATAAATCATATAAATACTTTGGAATTTAAAATATTCTGCCATTCAACTTAATTGATTTATTACATCTAACATTCACTTGATATTTGCTAAGTGACAGGCTTTTTGGAAAGAAAAGAATAAAACAAATGGCATTCACAGTCCAAGGAAAAAGATAACTGTAAAAATAAATAATTTCAAAAAGACTGAAAGGAAAACCAGCAAAATATTCTTTGTGGTTATCTTGAATAAGAAGGACTCATGGGTGATTTTAATTTTCTTTTTCTGTAGTTGTCTTTCTTTTTCTGTTATCACATTACTGTGAGAATTAAATTTATTAACACATACATTGTGTTATGGTTAGTGCTCAGTACAAATTAGCTGTTAATAAGATGTTTATATGCTCAATTTTATTAACACATTAACACAGAAATATCCTTCCATTACACATGAGTTTTTCAACCAACGAATGAATATATATTTAAATTATTTTTTTAAATTTGATATATATACACAACGGAATACTATTCAGCCTTAAAAAGGGGGAAATGTTGCCATTTGAAATAATATGGGTGAATTTGAAGGACATTATGCTAAGTGAAATAAACCAGGTACAGAAAGACAAATGTTGCATGAACTCACTTATATGTGGAATCTAATAAACTGGAACTCAAAAAAGTAGAAAGTGAAATGATGGTTCCCTGAGACTGGGGGTGGTGGAGATGAATAGGGAGTTGTTGATCAAAGAGTACAAAGTTTCAGATAGACAGGATAAGTAGATTTTGAGATTTATTGCATAGCAGAGTGACTATAGTAAACAATAACATATGTTTCAAAATAACTAAGAGTATATTTCAAATGTCTTACCAGAAAAAATGATAGATAAGTGAGGTAATTGATATGTTAGTTAACTTGACTTAATCATTCCATGTTATAAACATATATCAAAACATCACATTGTACCAGGTATGGGGTTTCTTCATGGGGTGATGAAAATATTCTGGAATTAGAAACTGGTAATGATTGAACAACTTTGTGATCCTAGTAAAAACTGCTGAATTATATATTTTAACAGCATGAATTTTATGATATGTGAATTATATCTCAATTTAAAAATGGATTCTTAGACTGGTTATCTTTTAAATTATATACTATAGGATTAGAGTCCTATAGCAAAGTCAACTCTGTATTTCATAAAATTGTAAGGGTTCCTTTTTCACCATAGTTCTCACTTAGATGTTAATAGTCCCTTAAATGGAAATGACATCGTATTTATATCCACCATGGTTTTTACTGACCTCTGTCTCATGAGTTGTTTTCCCTTCCTTTCACAGTGACATTTGGTGAGCATTTTTACAACTTTCTTCTGAAAGTTCAATAAAGGCCAGGAAATATAAAGCCTAAGATACCTAGTGAAAAATGGTCTCCTAAAATATTTTAATTTTATTAAATTAAAAAAAATAAAGTAATTATTTTATATTTTTGATTTTGAAGTTTTATAAGTTTTATGGTTTGGGTTTTGTTTTTTTTTTTTTTTTTGAAAGGGCTGATCCGGCTTCCTCCCCTTCCTCCTTCTTTCTTTTTATGGTTAGAGGCCCAGAGATTGTAGTGAGGGCAGTAAAACACTCCCAATGCCTGCTGCAAGGCACCTCCCAGGCACAGAGGCAGGTGGAGTAAACACACTGCCTTATCAAAAGATAAAGCCAGAGGTTTGGCCCAGAGGGAGGCTGAGAAGGGCAGTGCCCGGAAGATGAGGGTTTGCCCATGATAAACCATATCCTGGGGCCTCTCTCACTCCCCACAAGGGAGGGTCAATTTCATCATGACCACAGCTCGAAAGAATCATTTTCTATTAGCAAGACATCTCCAGGGTGAGAGCCGATACTGGAGGCCTGTGCTCCCCTCTGCTGTGTGTTTTTTAGACAACATGTCTTGAGGATCTCAAACACTCAAACACTGGTTTGTCATGTCAAGAAGTTTGCTTCAAGTGCCTTCATTGATGGACAGAGAAGGCATTTACTTCCGGGTTCTTGGGCGGGTGGGGGAGGGAGAGGGCACTTTTCTCCTTGAGCCGTGCATGGAAAGTTCAATAAGGAATCAGACTCACTTTGCATGAGGGAGTTTGGGGACTCTCTGTAAGGAATTTTTAATTGTCCCAAGCCTTCTGTAAAGCAGGGATGGCCCTTCACCCAGGGTGGGACAGGGCCACACCTACAGGCCCAGGAATGGCACACTGTGACGGACATTTGACTCACTTTATGTAGCAACCTTGTTCTTGAAAAGTTCTGTTTAAATCAAATTGTACTGGAAGGACTAGCTGCTTAGACGAATCCAGAACTGTATTTCTTCATAACTGGAAAAAACATGGAGACCCCTATAAATCAGCAATTTGGAAAATTAGAATTATTTTAAGATGTGCTACCATTGAAGTCTGTCTGTCTGTACAGGGAGAATGATGAGGGGGATTGAATATCTTTTTTCCTCAATAAACTTGAAGTTGTGTGAGGTCAAAACACTTAGTCTTCATCATTTCACCTCCAGTCCCCAGCCTAGTGCCTAGGGTATCCCAGATATGTGCTAAATGAATGAATACATAAAGATTACATTATTTTCCTTAATAGTCAAAATAACCCTTTGAGGTATGCGTCATTATCTGTTTACAGGCGAGGAAGCTTTGTCTGTTGTGAATTAGCTAATTTGCTCAAGATCGTCCAGCAGATGAGAGCTAAGGATAGGATTAAACTCAAGTCTATGAGTTCTGAATCAATGCAAAAAAATGAGGTGTGGAGGGAAGATACTACGCATCCCGCCTCCATAATCCTACCACTCAAATATAACTAAGTTAACCACCATTCAACTTTTGAAATATTGGTATTAATTCACAAAATAGGTTTAAAGTACTTTTTGTCACATAAATTGCCTTTTAAGGATAATAATATAAAAAGATTATGTCATCACATATTCCTGTATAGCAGTGCTTCCTGAAGTGTGGTCCAAATATCAGCAGCATCACCATCACTTGGGAACTTGATAGAAATACAAATTCCTAGACCCCAACCTAGATTTACTGAATCAGAAACTCTCAGGCGGTGGGGAGGAAAAGCAATCTGTGTTTTATTTAATAAGCTTTCTGGTTTGAGAACCACTGATGTATGGTATTTTATCATATATGTCTTAGCTCTGACTACTATAACAAAATACTACAGACTGGGTGGTTTGAACAACAAATACTTATTTCTCACAATTCTGGAGGCTGGGAAGTCCAAAATCAAGGTTCCTGGTGAGGGCACTCTCCTGGCTTGCAGATGTTTCTTGCTGTATCTTCCCACCTCATATGACAAAGAGGAAGAGAGGGAGATGAGGGCTCCACCCTCATTACATCATCTAAACCTAGTTACTTCCCAAAGGCCCCCACTTCTGAATACTATCACATTGGGGGTTAGGGCTTTAACATATGAATGTGGGGGGAACAAAAACAGGCCACTGAGCAGCCCCTAAACAATATTTTTTCTTATAAAAATTGTGGTCATAAACATCCTTATAACCAAACCTTTGGGCATATCTACAATTATTTCTCTAGGATAGATGTAAGAGATATAATTGCTAGGTCAAAGAGTATGGACAATTGTAAACACCCATGATCTTTTTTGCTACAAGATTACAAGGTCAGTGCAAGGTGGACTGTGGTCTGGAACTAATAGCATCTCATTCCAAAACTTCCTGATGCCCTTGCGCAGGTGACCTCATCAAAGATATGAATATTTCACAGCAGAATTTGGAGCAGGCTGTGGATATCCAGATGCCTGTGCAGGAAACCATTAGGTCATAAGGAAGGTTTTGAGGCTGAAGAAAATGAAGGAGAAAGATAAGATGAAAATCAGAGAGAGCACCCCATAAATAAGCAATAAGCCAAGGAAGTTATAGCAAATTCAGCTCACTTGAGGATCAACTGTGATTAAATTTAAATGCAAGGAAAACCTAAAGCAAAATTTAAACCCCACAATGATGAGGAATTTCATATTAGTGCTTGCATTAAAATTCCTTACTACATACAGATCAGGAAATTATTAAAACACAACATTCCAAACATTGTAAATGTTTCCAGAGACATTTGAGTCATTTTATAAAAATAGACTTTTTTTTTCTTATTACTAAGAGTGGGTATCAAAAGTTAGAAATGGAAACCAGAAACCCCACTCCAGGGTTGGTGATACATGACAAGGGACTTACATGTTTCTTGAGCAAGCCCCTGTTCAGATGAGGGTCATTGTTTGAGGCTCAAATGCCAAAGCAAATGAGAGACAGAACAAAACCAAATTGATCACAAGCTTGTGCCCAGCAGATATTAAGAGCTAGACTGTGGTCTCTCGTAGATACCGCTTCTGACCTGTAAAAAGTGCTGTTGTCCCACAGAACAAAGTTCTATTCACAACTATGTTGCTTCCAGGTGCATGACCTTGGGCCAGATCACTCTCTTAGCCCCCATGTCCTCATTCATAAAGTGAGAACACAGATATCTGCCCTTGTTTATCTCCCAGGATTATGGCGGGCATGAAATAGTAGCTCTGAAAATGCTTCATAAAGAATGGCATAGTGGGCCAGGCATGGTGGCTCACACCTGTAATCGCAGCACTTTGGGAGGCCGAGGCGGGTGGATCATGAGGTCAGGAGATCGAGACCATCCTGGCTAACATGGTGAAACCCCGTCTCTACTAAAAATACAAAAAATTAGCTGGGCGCGGTGGCGGGCGCCTGTAGTCCCAGCTACTCAGGAGGCTGAGGTAGGAGAATGGCATGAACCTGGGAGGCGGAGCTTGCAGTGAGCCAAGATCGCACCACTGCACTCCAGCCTGGGCAACAGAGTGAGACTCTGTCTAAAAAAAAAAAAAAAAAAAAAAAAAAAAGAATGGCATAGTGGTAGGTACTGCCATTGTAAAAAGTGGACTTGGCAAGGCAGTGCTGAGGCTGAGAGATGGGTTTTAGTCTCAATTGTGCCACTAGCTAATTTGTGGCTTTGGGTAAGCAACTAAAGTAGATCCTGGTGGTGCCCCCTACTCACCTTCTCTTTATTGGGCTCCTCCCCCAAATGCTAGGTGCTCACAGCTGTCCCCTTCTCCAGAGAATTGCTTCTGGCCAAAGACAGTTGCCTTGTTTCCTCCCTACCTCCCTGCAGCCCACAGCTGGGGGGATGCTGAAAGCAGGCCCTCCTGCCTCAAGACATGACTCTACAGTGCTTTTTATACACCAGAGCTCCCCATGCTGATCACACGCTCACAGTTCCAGAGGCTGGGAAGTCCAAAAGCAAAGTTGAAACTAAGCTTAGCCCCTGCCCTTGGCTTGCTCCTTCCCCTGCTCTACTGGCTTCCTTGCTCCTTTTCTCCTGAGAATATCCAGCGTGTCAACTCAATAATTCTCATGCACCTAAATCCTGATATCAGGGTCTGCTTCTAGAAAACCCAATGTAAGACATTACACTTTCTTAGCTTCCTTCTGCTTATTTCTATGGTTTTGCTTCAGAGCAATTCCTCAACTCAAAGAGTTTGAAAGTTCTGGTCACCATTGTGCTCTGTGATTCTTATACCAAGACATGCATCATCAGTCTCCTGGTTAAACACTCATTTTTATACCAAATATTGCTCTTTAAAATGACCTTGGTGCTTCTCATGTTACTTGCATCTTGATTACATTCTACTTTTCATACAAAATGGCCCCAAGAAATGACTGGAAAATGACTCTCTATAGGTTATGGGGATTCAGTCAGGATGGTGGAAGAAATTGTAAAATTATAAGGAAATAAACACAAACCCTCTTGGAATGCCTGGGGGTTTGCATAGCATTTGGCTGAAGGCAGCTGAATTCTCTTAAAAGCTTAGGGCATAGATACAAAGAAATGTAAAGTAGTTTATCTAAATAGCTTGTTTACTCATGTGGTCCTAAGACCAACCTTTGATCAACTGCGGGTGCATAATTGCTCTCTACTGGGGAGGGGGGTTGGCAACCAGGTCAATTACCCTTTAGTGGTGTTTACTCAAGACCTTTGTCATTTAATCTGTACTGAATAAATGCGAGCTTCACTGGCTGAACAGGGCCATGGTTGCTACTCTTTACTGTACCTTCCGTTGTGTCTGTGAGGGGCCTGGACCCTTAGGTGGACTGACAGGCAGAATACCTGTGTCAATGTATGTTATTCTTCCATCATTGGGTCAGGGTCTGTGGGACAGACCCTGCAATAGGTGAAACACAAGTACAAATGCTCCTCAATTTACAATGGGATTACATCCCAATAAAATCACTGTAAATTTAAAATATTGTAAGTTGATAATGCATTTAATACACTGAACCTAAATATTATATTATTATGACAAAAGCAGCTATAATCTACTTAACAAAAATCCTTAATACAATTTATTAACTATAGTCCTTATGTTGTACATTAGATCTCTAGCCTTGTTCATCCTACCTAACTGCTATTATTCAGCCATTAAAAAAACAGATCCTGCCATTTGCCACAAGATGTATGGACCTGGAGGACATTTTGCTAAATGAAATAAGCCAGGCACAGAAAAATAAATACTGCATGATCTCACTTATGTGTGCAATCTATAAAAAGCAACAAAGGTCAAATATACAGAGTTAGAGAATAAAACAGCTGTTGGTAAAGGGAGGTAGGAGAGGAAATGGGGGAGTTTTAGTTCAATGGATATAAAGTAACAAGACTAGATTCTCTGATTCTGGGTCAACCCTGTTTCTACTGACTCTAATTGACTCTGTACAGGAGTGAGGCATATACTGGCTGTATTCTGTGGCTATAGAATAAACTAGATAGAAAAGAGAGACAATCAAAGTCACAAGAAAAATCTAGGGATGACATGGTGGAAGTCTAGAATATGGTTGCTGTGAAGCTATTAAACATCTATATTTGAGGCACCATTTTCTGATCAGTGAGCAAACCAATTCTACAATCCAGGGATTCTACTGTATATTTCTTTGGCGGGGTGGGGGAAGAAATGCACTATGTGTTCAACACTGTGCTAAGTGCTGTGAGTAGCTAAAGTATATGAATATGACCTCAAAGAACTTACACTTTTCTTGGAAAGAAGTTTTGTGAAACAACTGTAGTTACTAGGAAGAATTCCCCCAATAGCCACGCCATCAGCTGCATGATCATATCATTCACAGTAGTATAGAAGACACTTAAGGAAGTTTAGTCCTATTGCAAGGATGGGGGCAAGGAGGGAGCTTGTCAGTTGGCCCAAGTTAAGTAAACTCTTGGAAGAATTTTTAAATTATACATTACAGATGCTTACCAGGCACATTATGCCCATGTTATGTGTGCCTGTCAGTGAAAACATGCTGAGCTTTTTTCCTGAAGAAATAGGAGCTTCTTGTCTGTTACATCTGTTCAAGCAAATGCTCTAAGATCAAGCAGGCAACCCAAAGTGAAATATCTGAATAATTGGTGAAAGTAGCTCTAAGTAGGATCAGCTATGGAGGTCTGTATCTGTGCTGTAAGATGTCTGGTTTATGAAGTAACCAGAGGGAATGGATCAACTCCTTCACTCCATTCCACCAAGTGAATATTCTATGAACAATTGTTCTACCAGGTCCTCCATGAAATGGCATCTAAGGACATATTTTTTGCTAAGACATCAGTACATTGGATTTCATTCCTTAGGAATTTATGCCCCAAGATTTTTATTTTAAATGCCTCTGTTATTATTTAGACTTAGTTCTGGGGGAAAATAAAAAGAATACAGGAATAGATATTGGCAGACTAGCACTTACACTGTCTGGAACTTTTTGTGAAGTTTCCTCGGGCCTCTCCCAAGCATCTCTGTGCAAAAGTCACTTTTCTTTTCCTATTGTATCTCCCTCCCTCACTTCTTTAGGTGATAAATAAATGCAGTGAGTGGTTAATAAATATTACCTAAGATGAGTTGGGTCATGGTTCCCATAACCATCACCATAGCTTGCTGATTCCTGCCCCAGAGCTTGTTACTGCTCATTCTGACCCAAGCAGAATGCCAGTGTCCTCCTCTAGCTTACTCCAAATCCCACTCACTATAAGAGCCCAGTCCCAGGCTCATGTTCCAGAAGCATCATGAGACCTAGAGCTAGACAGAAGGGTCTAGACTGTAGAGGATCCCTGGTTCACTACATATGAAGTGGGGCCCTGGTATTTATTAAATATTTTCCAGGTGATTCTGATGACCAGCCAGAGTTGGTAATGACTAGTTTAGTTTTTCCTCAGTGGTTCTCAGTGTGTGATGAGCCATCACCTTCACTGGGAACTTGTTAGAGATGGAAAATTTCAGGTCTCCACCTTAGACCTACTGAATCAGAAACTCTAGGAATGGGGACCAGCAATCTGAGTATTCGCAAGTCCCAGGGGCTTCAAGTCTGTGAACTACTGGTTCGTTTCCGAGGTGCTGTCTCTCCAGCCCTAGGGGAGTCTATGTTTTAAATGTTCCACAGACATTTGTGATGCCAGCTCAGTCTGGGGAAGCACTTAGCAAAGAAAGCCAAGACCCAGGAAGTTACACGGCATGGCCAAGTTCATAGTCATGTAGTGACCTAACCAAGGACTAGACACCCTGACTCCTGATTCTCACTTAGAACTCAGGCCTACTCTGTGCTTTCAGCCTGTGAGGAGTCCAGCTTCTGAGAGCTTTTCCATCTCTAAACTCTCATTAATATTTACTATGCTCTTTATCATTCCTTTGAGCTCCAAACCAAGTTCTGCCTTGCCTTTCTCATTAACTTTTCTTGAGATTCAAGCTGGGGCAGGGTGTGGCCTCCTAGTACAAGGCATGCTGTCAATGTTTGTCTTCTATGAGCTCTTTGAGCAAAGCAGCTATCCCAACTCCCACTTTCCCACCCTGCTCCCGTCCTTATCACAGCAGTGAGCAGTTTGTTTGCCTATCTTTCCCCCTCTAGTTGAGAACAGAAGGCTTACTTAATATTAACAGAATGAATTGAATACACCTGTCTGTCAGTCTGCTTTAATTATAATTTTTCTTTAATATTTTGAGTATAATATTTATATTTAAAAAGTTTTTATGTGACATCATGACAACTGTGACTTGTAAATATTTTTTGGAGAGAGTTTTTTCTTAAAATTCTTTTTTTACTTTTAAATTTATTTACTTAAATTGACAAATAAAATCGTATATATTTATCATTTACAACACGTTGTTTTAAAATATGTATATATCATGGAATGGCTAAGTCGAGACAATTAATATTTATTACCTCACATTCTTATAATTTTTTTTTGTGGTGAAAACACTTAAATCTACTCTCTTAGCACTTTTCAAGAATATGGCAAGGCACAGTGGCTCATGCCTGTAATCCCAGCACTTCAGGAGGCCAAGGCAAGGAGGATCACTTGGACTCAGGAATTTGAGACCAGCCTGAGCAACACAGCAAGACCTTGTCTCTATCATAATATATAAAATTTTTAAAAGAAGAATATGGGAATTTCAAAAATTGAAGTAAAATTTACATAACACAAAATTAACCACTTTAAAGTATACAATTCAGTGACTTTCAGCATATTCTTTTAGCACTTTTGGCACATAATGAAAAGTTCCAGAACTTTTTCATTGCCCCAAAAGGAAGCACCATTTTCCTTAGTGGTCATTCCTCACTGCCCTCTACCTCCAGCCTCTGGCCATCAACAATCTGCTTTCTCTTTCCATGGATTTGCTTTTTCTGGACATTTCCTATAAATGGAATCGTACAATGTGTGGCCTTTTGTGTCTGGCTTCTTTCACTTAGCATAATTCTTTCAGGTTAATTTGTGCTACAGTGTTTATCAGTACTGCTTTACTTTTTATGGCTGAATAATTTTCCATTGTATGGATAGACCATATTTTGTTTATCCATTCATCCACTGATAAATATTTGGGTTGTTTCTACCTCTTGGCTATGGTGAATGGTGCTACTATGCACATGCATGTACAAGTATTTGTTTCTGTCCCTACTTTCAATTCTTTTGGTAGCCTACACAATTTTAAACATAGGGTGGATACATGTTTTGGTGGGTAATAAGGGACAGTAGGCACCTATTTCACCAGAGGGGTGGCCCCCAAATGGACAATACAGTGTCATGCTTACCTTCACAAGCATAGTCACAAGTTTTGTCCTCTTTTGGAGTCTCACATCATTATTCTTTTGTAAAAGCCCACATAGCTATAGTAGAGAAGTTGCGGGGACTCTAACTCAAAGGTGGGGACCCAGAGCAGCTTTCAATTTACGTGAGTGACTCATTCCTGATGAAGGACTTCCACATAACTAGTACAGTGTCAAGGGAAGGGTTTTTTGCTTCCTCTACTTAATTATAACTTTCAGTTTTTTAGGAAGGAGAAAAAGATTATTATTAGTGTGAAAAAGCACCAGATATTAGATAGCGGCTCAGAAAATATGTTCTGAGGATAGTTTTCCTGACTGAGAAAATGAATTTCCATTTAACATGACTGTTAACTGAAGAATTCCAGTCTTAGGCTCATATACCCAGCTGTGGTAAATAAAAATTTCCCTAGTTTTGGGGTGTGTAAAGAAAACACGGCTTGTCTCCAGTGGCTACCAAAAGGAAACAAACACAAAAAGAAATGGAAGCTGTGAAATGCTAACATCTCTTCAGAGACTTGGAGCCATTTCCAGAACCCTGGGCTTCTCTTTGTAGTCTGGTTGCTATGGCTCTGTCTTCGTTACTGCAAAATACTGTCTGATATACTCTGGTAAGTGGTTACATGAAAGAGTCGATAACCACAGAGGTGCTGGCAGATCCCTATCTTTCAAGCTCTCCTCTCAGCCTGAAGCTTTCTGACGAAGTCTTTCCTCCCAGCTTCTCATTGCTTCTGGAGCTGCCAGTAATTAAAGAGACACAGGAAGAAATAAAAGAAAATGCCACTCACAAGGAATCAAAGAAAACAACACTCAGAACACATCAGCCAGTTCTCTGCTGAAGCTCTCAGGGGCTCTGTGTGGCAGGAATACCAAGCTGAAGGTGGGCTGAATTTTGATTTAAAAGGAGAAGGGTAGACCTTGCAAATATTCTGCCTGGATAGTACACATTGTGGGTTAAGATGTGTCAGTGAGAGTCTCCAGTCTTCAGATGCAAGTTGAGCTCGTTATGATCGACGTGAATCTGCATGTTAAAAGGAGACTCGTTGCTGTGGGCAGTAATGCAGGGAGCTTCTTGAAATTGCCTTTGCGAGAAAAGTTGTAACGGTGAGCTGAGCTAACCCACCCCACAGTTTGCCTTTCCTTTAATTATTCCTGGGCTTTTGGGCCAAGCTGATTTTGAGAGACATTTAGGCTGCAGTTTAAATGATAAAAAGCCTCCCGTAAAACTCAATCGCTTTTGTAACGCTAATGGAAGGCCATCAGGCTGCGGGGAGGAGAGCAGCCTGGGTTCTGCTAAGATGCAAACATGAACAATTGCCAGCCATTATTCCAGAGGTTATAAGATATGCAATTTCCCCAATTACTCCTACAAATAACATCACTATTGTAGAACTTAAGATTGGCCTTTTGAGATATCTTTTCAGGCTTTTTGTATGTCTGACACCCATGGCTCCACCTGGACCCTCCAACTCTGCTCCTGTGGTCCCACCCAGAAGCAATTCAGCACACAGGAGAACAGGTGCAACTGGCTATGATTTCATCTCTGCACCAACCAACCAGCTGCAAGCCTAGCCACCCCCACCCCTTCCCCCAAAGATGCCTTTGAGAAACGCCTAACTTGTGAGCTTTGGAGAATGATTTGAGTACTAACTCCATCTCCCATGTGGTGTGGCCAGCCTGTCTATTAAACTCTTCCTTTGCTACAATACCATGGTCTTTCTTTGTGTAGGGGGCAGGAAAGAACCCCTTGGGCCATTACATTCTAAGAAAACATTAAGAGTATCATGGCTAACCACTTTCTTCTCTCTGCAGCCCCTCCTCATCTATGAATGGATCTGTGACCATTTCTGCTTTGGCCTCCTTCTGAAACCACCTTTGCAAACATCATGACAGTGACAGAAGTCTAGCATGGCTGGCTCCATCTTGCTTCTAGCCTCACAATCTGGCTATTCTTGCTCATTCCTGGGCATAGGCCAAGCTAACCGTGGGAGGAATTTAGTTTACAGTTTAACATTGAAGCAAGGATGATAATAGTTCCTCCCAGAACCCCTCCTTGTTCAGGGACTAAAACTACCTTTGTAAAACTAATGAAGGGCCACAAGATTAGGATTATGGGAGGGGCCTGAATTCTGCTGAGATGTAGGTGTAAACGATAACCAGCCATTGTTCCCTAACTTGCTTTCTATTTTATTTTTATTTTTTAAAGAGACAGGGTCTCACTATATTGCTCAGGCTGGCCTTGAACTGCTGAGTTCAAGAGATCCTCCCACCTCAGCCTCCCAAAGTGTTGGAATTACAGATGTAAGCCACCATGCCCAGCCTCCTAGCTTGCTTCTGTAATCCCTTACTACTCAGGAGTCATGTGGCAGAAATTATAAGATTTGTGACTTCCCCAATTGCTCCCGTAGATAACATCACTAGTGTAAAACCTAAGATTGGTCTTTTGAGATGGTTTTCAGATTTTTGCATTATGGCAACCAACTGACTCTACCCCGACCCATGACTCATGACTCAACTAATCCCGTGGCCCCCACCCAGAGGCTGAGTCAGTGCACAAGGATTGTTTTCCACAACCCTACAATTTCATTCCTAACCAATCAGCACACCCAATCCCTAGCCCCCTGCCTGCCAAAATATCCTTGAAAAAACCCTACCCTCCAAGCTTTTGGGGAAGCTGATTTGAGTACTAAACTCTTGTTCTTCCACTTAGCTGGCCCTGTGATTATTAAACTCTTTCTCTACTGCAGTACCACTATCTCAGTGAATTGGTTTTATCTGCGCAGCGGGCCAGAAGAACCCATCAGGTGATTGTACTTCCCTTCCTTCCCAGTGGAAAAGGGGTTCCTCATCCAGTCCAGGGGCCCCCAAGAAGCTTCCCTCTTTTTGTAAATCAGCTTTATTGTAGTATAATTTATGTACAGTAAATGGTATCCATTTAAAGTATACAATTTGTTGAGTTTTGACACCCATGAAACCGCTGCCATAATCAAGACACAATATTTCCATCACCTCCAAAAGTTTCCTTGTGCCTCTTTGCTGTTCATTCCTTTCTCTCTGCTTCTAACCTTAGACAACCACTGATCTCCTTTCTGTCACTATAAATTAGTTTGCATTTTCTAGAATTTCACGTAAGTGTACTTATGTAGTACGTACTGTTTTGTGTCTGGCTTTTTTACTCAGCATAATGATTTTACAAGTCATCCATTTTGTGGGTAGCAGCAGTTGATTGTGCCTTTTTATTACTGAGTTGTATTCCATTGTATGGATGCAGCAGTTTTTGTTTAAGCATTTTCATGATGGTTGAGTTGTTTCTAGCTTGTGGCTATTGTTTCTCCTCTATCTTTAATTGCTTTCTCTCTTCTGCCTCTACCACTTAATATAGAGATATGTTCAAGTGTCTTTCATTTAAAAAAATACTCTCTTGACCCAGCAACTTTAGGTACTCAGTCTCAGAACAACTTGGGATTTTCTGGTGTATTCCGGGGATTTCTAGGCATAAAATCTGAATAAACCAGGCAGGTAAATTCAAGTGGTCTGTTGCAGTCATGGGACAAGATTATCTTTCCAGATACAGTTTATCTAATCTGGACATTTCTCAGAGCTGGCCCACAGTCTCTGGAAGTGGCTGCCTCAGACTGGCATCCCCCTGGGTTATTTTTCTTCCTCTTTCTGGACTGAATAACGATTCTGTGCCCCAGTTTATCACCTGGAAATCAGGAAGGATCTTTACTTATAATTATTTAAAATTATAACTAAGTTAAAATTAGTGAACCAGGTAAAAATCAAAGAATATTGTCATGGATGGTTTATTACTCCATTCTCACACTGCTATAAAGAAGTAGCTGAGACTGACTTATTTATAAAGGAAACAGGTTTAATTGACTCACAGTTCCACATGGCTGGGGAGGCCTCAGGAAACTTACAATCATGATGGAAGGTGAAGGAGAAGCAAGTACCTCTTCACAAGGCAGCAGAAGAGAGAGAAAAGCTTAGGGGAAACTGCCATTTATAAAACCATCAGATCTCCTGAGAACTCACTATCATGAGAACAGCATGGGGGAAAATGCCTCCATGATCCCATCATTTACCAGGCCCCTTCTCAACAGGTGGGATTATCGGGATTACAATTCAAGATGAGATTTGGGTGGGGTCACAGCCAAACCATATCATTCCACCCCTGGACCCTCTCAAATCTCATGTTCTCACATTTCAAAACACAATCAGGCCTTCCCAACAGTCCCCCAAAGTCTTATATCACTCCAGCATTAATCCAAAAGTCCAAGTCCAAAGTCTCACCTGAGATAATGCAAGTTCCTTCCTCCTAGGAGCCTGTAAAATCAAAAACAAGTTAGTTACTTCCTAGATACAATGGGGGTATAGGCATTGGATAAATGCTCCCATTCCAAATGGAAGAAATTGGCCAAAACAAAGGGTCTACAGGCCCCATGCAAGTCTGAAACCCAGTGGGGCAGTCACATTTTTTTTTTTTTTTTTTGAGATGGAGTTTTTCTCTTGTTGCCCAGGCTGGAGTGCAATGGCACAATCTCAGCTCACCGCAACCTCTGCCTCCTGGGTTCAAGCAGTTCTCCTGCCTCAGCCCCCTGAGTAGCTGATATTACAGGCATGCACCACCAAGCCTGGCTAATTTGTAATTTTTTTAGTAGAGACGGGGTTTCTCCATGTTTGTCAGGCTGGTCTCAAACTCCTGACCTCAGGTGATCCACCAGCCTCAGCCTCCCAAAGTGCTGGGATTACAGGCATGAGCCACCGCACCCGGCCAGGGCAGTCAAATCTTAAAGCTCCAAAATGATCTCCTTTGATTCCATCATGATGATGATGATGATGATGATGATGATGATGATGATGATCACTAATCAAGGAGTCTTCCTTTTTGTTGTGTCTCTGTGGTAGAATAAAGGCCCCCAAAAATGACCGTATCTTAATCTCTGAAACCTGTGAATATGTTGCTTTACATGAGAAATTGGACTTTGCAGATGTGGTTAAGGTTATTGAGATGGGAACATTATCCTGGATTACCTTGGTGGTGGGCCTGATGTATCACAAGGGTCCTTATAAGAAAGAAGTGGGGATTGAAAGATGTTATGCTTTGCAGATGGAGGAAGGGGCCACAAACCAAGAAATGCCAGCAGCCTTTAGAAACTGAAAAGGGCAAGGAAATGGATTATCTCCTAGAGCCTCCAGAAGGAACCAGACCTGCTGACACCTTTATTTTAGCCTAGTGAAAGCCATTTCAGGCTTGACCTCCAGAACTGTAAGATAATAAATGTATTCTGTTGTAAGCCACTAAGTATGTGGTAATTTGTTATGGCAAAAAGAGGAAACTGAGTCTCTAAGTCAAAGCCAGTGCAATTGGCTAGGATTCCAATTTCTGAATCCTTGGTCACAACTATTATGA
Organism: Homo sapiens; assembly: GCF_000001405.40. Classification (NCBI taxonomy): domain Eukaryota; kingdom Metazoa; phylum Chordata; class Mammalia; order Primates; family Hominidae; genus Homo; species Homo sapiens. Next base: position 13,156,880 of record NC_000023.11, read on the forward strand.
GTTCCCAGAGGAGATACAAAGAGAGGACACTCCAAGCAAGTCAACGATGCTTTTTACTAACTACAACCATGGTCCCATGTTTGTAGGTGGACACTGTGGCTTTTGGTGAGCTTTGGTGAGCCCTGGATGGCCCTCTGTGGGCTTAGTAACCTTGAAAATGAGGGTATAAAGCAATCTGTGGAAAACTGGCCTTTCAAGGGTACTGCTTTGCCTATAGCTTTGACTTTTCATTTCACCTACTGAAAATTAGGTAATTCAAATAGAGACACTTGAGAGACAAATGGTGTTAGACTGCACTCCCCCAAAGTCAAGCCTTAGAGTAATTTAATATATTGCTGCCACTTTAATCTGACTAGTATTCCTGGGTAGAAAGTCTCTTGGGGCCCTAGATTACTATTAATGTAACTTAACCCTTGTGTTGGCAACATTTACTTGGATATAATTCATGGATGGATCATGGATGCTCTCCAGAGAAAATGCTAAACACAAACAGGATCGTATTGGTTTCCATATACTTAATTTCTTGCTGACCTACTCAATATGGTTGAATATAGACCTATGATATACAGTTTCAAGTGTATTTTTTGATATTTTTAAAGAACCCATGTGCCAAATATAAGCATTTAGAAAAACTGTTAGCAAATGGAATGTAGAGTACCACAAGCTGAGTATGCAGCAAGCTGACAGCCACACTAGCATGGTCATTTATTGCTTATTGAATTTACTCAGATCATCTTTGAGTCCAATGCCATGCACACAGTAGGTTCTTCATCAGTAGTTGTTCAAGTCAGAAATAAATTTTAAAAATATACATGGCTCCATTATATATGCGGAAACTGCAAAATAAGCATAACTAAATACCTGAATTTCCAGGCACTCTGCAGTAGATCAGAAAGCCCATGTCCATTTGATCAAAGTCCAGGGGATACACAATGTTAAGTGCAAGATGTATCAATTCACCAGTGAAACTCCAGATGGCTTTCCTTCCCACTTCATCATGTCACATCAATATGGTAGCTTGTGAGTTGTATCCACAGTTGACATCCTATAGTCTTCAGCTCTAGTAATTTAAATTATTGTACTTTATTTTGACTACTCAGAATTGTCTCCTGAATTAAATCAACAAACACAAGCATATTTATATACATACACCCACACGTATATGAAAGTATGAGTTTACAGTGTAGTTGGAAAATTAAAATATAGGCAGAAAAAAATTACAAAGTAAAATATAATGTCAAGTGAATAAAACAGATAGTTACAAAATAAAAATAATATTTTTAAAGGTCAAATTACAATGATCTGGTTTGGCCACGAGCCTTTTAAAAATATATATTGAGTTTTAATTCATATGCCATACAATTCACTTAAAGTTGCAATTCAATGATTTTTAGTGTATTCACAGGGTTGTGCAAACATCACCACAATCAATTTTCAAATAGTTCATCAACCTTAAAATAAACCTTCTACTCATTAGCAGTCACTCCCATTTTCTCTTGACCCCTCACTCCCACCCCAGCCCATCACAAATCTACTTTCAAGTTCTATAGTTTTTTCTGTTCTGGACATTTCATAGTAATAGGATCATATGACATGTGGGGATTTGTGTCTGACATCTTTTCCTTAGCATAATGGTGTCAAGGTCCATCCATATTATAGCATGTATCAAAACTTCATTCCATTTTTCTTTTTCTTCTTCTTTGAGATAGAGTCTCTGTTGCCCAGGCTGGAGTGCAGTGGCATGATCTTGGCTCACTGCAACCTCTGCCTCCCGGGTTCAAGCAATTCTCCTACCTCAGCCTCCCGAGTAGCTAGGATTACAGGCGCGTGCCATCACACACAGCTAATTTTTTGTATTTTTAGTAGAGATGGGGTTTCACCATGTTAGCCAGGATGGTCTCCATCTCCTGACCGCATGATCCGACCAGCTCGGCCTCCCAAAGTGCTGGGATTACAAGTGTGAGCCACCGTGCCCAGCTCCATTTTTTGTACTAATAATATCTCATTGTATAAATAGACCACATTTTGTTTATCCATTCATCAGTTGTCAGACATTTGGGATGTTTTTACTTTTTGGCTATTGTGAATAATGCTACTAATATTTGTGTACAGGTTTTTATGTGGACATATGTTTTCATTTTGCTTTAGTGTATATCTAGGAGTAGAATTGCTGGGTCATATGGTAACTCTATGTTTAACCTTTTGAGGAACTGCCAGATTGTTTTTCCAAAGCAGCTGTATTATTTTACATTTCAACTAACAGCATAGGAGGGTTCCAATTTCTCCACATCCTTGTCAAGTCTTGTTATTGTCAGTCTTTTTATGATAGCCACCCTAGTATAAGTGAAGTGGTATCTCAGTATGGTTGGTCATGAACTTTTTGATAGGTCCAGGGGTGCAGGAAAAGGATTTCACAGAAGAAAAGATCAAGAAGAAAGGCATAGAGGTAGGAACTCCCTGCCTGACCCCAGCATGTTAATTTCACCTGTTGAAGGCAAGTCATTTTTGTTTGCACAGAAAATCTGTGTAGGAAAATAGTGGAAGATGAAACTAGAAAACTCCCTCAAAGGGAAAACTGCATATATATATAAGTGCAGGGTGCTGCAGGCTGGGTTACTGTGTGCAGGAAACAGTAGAGACCTTGAAGTGTGTTCTTTAATAAAAATCTTGCTTTAGGAAAATTAATTTGGATATACAGAACTTTGAGGACAGGAGAGAGAGAGACAGATGCTGGATGCATTGCATGTGGGTCAGCAATGGGATTGGGGTACTGGTTTGGCATAAGGGATGACAAGTGGAAACCAAGGAAACCCTTGGAGTTCCAGCTGGGACTCTGGGAGAATTCTGGTATCCTAAGACAAAGAAGTCAAGAAGAACAGCTGTTTTGTGGGGTGGGTAAAAGACAGAGCAATTTTCATATTAGAAACTTCAAGTCTGAGGGCATTTTTGAGAGCAGGAGGCCTGGAACTTGGAGAAAGGTATTGGTCAGAACAGAGGTTGACTGCCTGCTTTTCTAAGGTCCATGAGCTAGAGAATAGTTTTCACACTGTCAAGTGGTTGGGAAAAAAAAAATCCAAAGAATAATATATTGTGACAAGTGAAAATTACATGAAATTGAAATCTCAATGTTCATAAAGTTTATTGGAACACAGCCATGCCCATTCATTGACATATGGTCTTTGGCTGATTTCATGCTGCAATAGGAGAGTTGAGTGGTTGCAATAGATTGCATGGCCTGCAAAGCCTGACAAATTTACTATCTGGCCCTTTACAGAGAAAGTTTGTTGGCTCCTGAATTAGTGACAAACTTGGGAGGTATGGCCTCCCAATTGTGATTCTTAAACCTGAAAGAGTGAGAGTGATCCAAATTAACAGTGTATAGAAAAAAGGAGCCAGGGCCAGTCCTTGGGGCTGCTTATGTTTGGGGACCAGAGATAGGTAAAAGAATCAGTGAAGATAGTAAATAAGTTGAAATAAACCTCAATTTAATTAAACATGTCAACTCCCAGACTATTTTATTGCTTGGTACTTAAAACACACTCCCAAGAGGAAGATTAATTAATAAAGCTGCAGTGTGGGATAGCTATCCAGCTGGAAGCAGCACAGGCCCCTAACAAGGTTTGTTTTTGGCAAATTCCCATCTCCAGTCTTCTCTTCTCCCACAATAGGGTGAAGCATCCCATTCCTGCCTTATCCCCAGAAGGCCTGGCTTCCAGACATCTGTCTCAGAAAGAGGTATGAGGCAGAAGGTTCCACTAGGTAAATTGTTGATAAAAGCTCAAGTGCAATTCCTGCCCTAGGATTTGGACTTGAATAAAGGGACTCTCAAGACACTGAGGAATGACTCTCAATTCTGGAAAGTGTAGGCACTTGCAAAGGGGCAGAGAGTTGTGTGAGAATATGGAGGAGGAAGATTCTTGGATGGTCCCTCCAATCAGGCCAGTTGTATGTGCTACGTATGTAGGGGTTGGACCCACCCCCTTGTCCAGTGATCTTGGAGAAGTCACTTAAACGTTCTCTTTTGGTAACTCATCTGGAATTAGGGAATAAATTCTAAGCAACTTTTAAATAAGAAGCATAAAAGCATTTGAGTCTTCAGATTTGCTTAATTGATCATTGCAGACGGTTGTGTCAATAACAATGACGTTTAGAGGAAAAGGTGAAATTGGTTTCTTTTTCTTTTCTTGGACTTAGCTCCAGGAGCAGGGAACAGGAAGCCATTCCCAGAAGTTGCTTTCCCCTCCCACCCCTGAGTACGTGGCAGGGCCAACAGATGTGGCTGAATGCCCAGGCCCAGGGCCATGAGTACTAACCTATGCCCTGGAAAGCAGGAAACACATTGTCTTCATGTACTCTGCAATTTGGGAGCAAACACCAGCAGCTCTTGCAGGGGGCCTTTGTGGGTCCAAATTCAATGGACTGTCTGCTCTCTCTCACCACTGCTCCACCTTTCATTTGTCTGAACGTGGAAACACACACACACACACACACACACACACACACACACTCCAAGCGCTTTTACTTTTCCTCACTCAACAACAATGCAGAAAACTTCTGTGACCAAATATGTGTGTGTGTGTGTGTGTGTGTGTGTGTGTGTGTGTGTGTGTGTGGCGGGTGGGGGGGTGGGGCATTTCTCTACACATCAAGGAGCAGATCAGCTGCATGTCCTCTAATTCAGTTCTGACACTCTCTACCCAGAGAGTGTCAGATCCCACAGGTTGAGGGCTCAGTCCCCAAGACTGCCCCCACCCCCACTTCTGATACCAATTAAAAGCTGCAGGTTATTTTTCTTGTGCTTCTGACCGACTGGCTATAATCAGGTTGCCCACAATCCCCCTTTCTTGGGTTCAATTAATTTGCTGGAGTGGCTCACAGAACTCAGAAAAACACTTATGTTTACTCATGTATTATAAAAGATGTTACACAGGATACAGATGAAGAGATGTGTAGGGCGTGGTATGAGGGAAGGGGTGCAGAGCTTTGATACCCTCCCTGGGCACCACCCTCCAGGAACCTCTACGTGGTCAGCTATCTGGAAGCTCTCTGAATCCTGTCTTCTTGGGTTTTTCTAGAGGCTTTATTACTTAGGCGTGATTGATCAAACCATTGGCCATTGGTGATACACTCAACATCTCCTCTCCCTTCCCTGGAGGTTGGGAGTGGTGCTAAAAGTTAGTCTTTCTGGGTGACAAACCCCCATCCTGAAGCTGCCTAGGGGCTGCCTGCTATCAGTCAACTCATTAGGGTACAAAAAGACAACACTTTGGAATTTCTAAGGATTTTAGGATTTGTATGCCAGGAAACAGGGTCAAAGACCAAATATACATCACAATATCACAATTTGCTTGTTTTTTGTTTCAGCTTGGGATCAGCCTTATTTTTAATACACAGATGCTCTCCTACACAGGAACCCCTTACTTATTAGGGACCTTTGAGATTCCTTTTCAGATCCCCCTGTTGCCATGGAATTGTAGCTGGAACATCCACTCCACTTCCTACTGACTGGCTCCTGACATTTCTCAGTCCCCAAATATCTCACCTTCTCCCAACAGCCTGAATTTTTGTTTTCTTCACCCAGTTTCTGTTTGCAATGGCATTTGTCAGATTTTCACATATCAACATCCTTCTTAATAATGAGAACCTTTTAGGCATTCACATTCTCATATAGATCCACTCAGTCAGATTGCTTTCCACTTAGCTGAATCCACCATATAGAGAAAAGGAAGCTTCTATTGCAGGAATCAGAAGACGAGATGATTCTAGAACATGAAATATTGGTAATGGCTCATCAGGATGGGGTGCTAGTGGGAGGGATAGGAAAGCCTGGGAGCCCTGGGAAACCTGATAATCCCAAAAGAAAGGCAATAGAACGTGGCAAAGGAGCATAGGAAAGGAGCTTGTTGACCCACACCTGCGCTGCACTATCTGTAAGAGTAGTTCTGCGACAGCACCATGCAGAGGAAACTCCTTTAGTCCACTTCTTCACCTGCTCCTCTTCCCCTTATTTTCTTCTTTTCCCTCTGCCTCAGTAGAGTGAGTCAAAGTGGAGTCCTCTGAAATGTACTTTGGCCCTAGAGTCCTATGGATCCGTGTTCACATTTTGAACAAGTTACTCAATCACTCTGAACCCTAGTGTGTACATCTACAAAACAGGGGATCTACCCTGAAGGGATGCTGTGAGAATTAGGTGGAATAATACATGTAAAGGCATCTGCACAAGTTAGTTTTTTTTCTTCTCTGAAAGCACTGACTGGAGCTGCTCAGGAAGTACCAACTGGTGCCAGTTCCCCAATGAAGTATGTGTGTGATAAATTATCCTGCATATCTATATGCACACACCCCTATTCACTTAGCTTATCCAAAAAAACTAGAAGCAGCATAGAGGAACAACATTAGCAGACTTTGCTTGGGGGAAATCAGACCTTGGATTCCCCTGCCTCCCAACCCCCAACCTCACCAAATTAGTATATTATCAGGTTCCATCTAAGCGTGTACCCATGGCAAATGCACTGTTCACTGGTAGTTAATGGAAATAATGCCCATCCAATATGGGGCCACCAAAACCTTCATAATACAGTGCGGTTGCTGACCTGGAAATGATCTCAGCAAGCATCTGGCCCGCTAACCATCAAACCCTCCCACTTCCTTCTATATATAGGAAAATGGAGGCACAGAGAATTTAAGTGCTTTTAGAAGGTAATAGTTGAGAAAAAACTAGGACTAGAACTCAAGGCACCTTGACTCACAATCCAAACTATCTTTCTACCACTCCTGGCTGAGTTCATGAATGTAAAAAGAGACTGTTAAAAAAAAAAATTAAATATATAACACCTTGCAAGATGTTAACCGCCATTACTTATTGTTTTAATTATAAATTACCCATCTTTCTAGATGCTTCTGCAGGGATCTTGACAAGTCATTTCTGATCCTGCCCTATGAAACAATCTCTCAGAGACTCAAGGAACTCCAGAGGCTACATCTGGAGGGATATAAGGGGGAAACTGAGCAAAGAGGAGGCAGTGGAACATAATTTTGCAGGCAGAAATTTAAAAATATATGTTTAGTGCAAACTCTTCTAGTTCTGTGTGATTTTGTTTCTGTTTGTTTTAAACCAAGAAAAAACACCACATTCTTGATTGCAAGGAAGTTTTTACCAGAATAAGAGGCCATGAATTCCCATGAGCCACCCTGCCTAACAAAGCCAGAAGACCCCCTGGCTTAAAGGTTGCAAGTTAAAGATTACAGGTCAAAACATTTTAAAAGCAGCAACAATGCAAACTTTATATAACAAATGACAAAGATATATAACGATATAATAATAATAAAGAAATAGCTATATAAAAAGAGCTAGGTAGATGATGGATAAATGGATGGGAAAGAAGGAAGGAAAGAGGGGAGGAAGGAGGGAGGGAAGGAAGAAAGAAAGAAGGTAAGAAGGAAATAGGCCTAAGTGCTGTAGTTGATCTCTGGTGGCAAGCAATTTTAGTTTTCCAACTTTTGCTTCTCTGCATTTTACAAATTCTCGTACGTTCTTAAACAACAACAACAATAACACCCACCCTAATGATCAATGTTATTTGCTAAAAGGGTTGACAATGACAAACACAAACCCCTTGAAATTTCCAGTTCTCCTTTCCAGTAAATCTGCTTTTGCATGGGCTCCTCCGCATTCCTCATTCACATCAAGGATTCAAGAAATTCCACTCAACTGAAGTCCAGATCACATCTAAGATTGATCGTTCCACATTTAAACCTTTCTCTGATCCCTTCAGTGACTTTGCCTCGCTTGAGAGAAAATGACAACCGACTCACTGTTTCATTTTCCCTTCCATTCAGCCAAGCAATCCAGGGCCCTATTCCGTCGTTTGCTTTTCATCCATAGGGCTTCCAATTCACCCATGTGAAAACATCTTTGCAATTACAGCCTTCACTCAGTGTCCCCAGGTTAACTTCAGGACCCTGATTGAAGAATCTGAAACCACTTGACAAACTAATTTGAATTGCAAACAGCTACCAACACAAATCCAAACCCTTTCTTTTAGCTCTGGGAAACTAGCTGTTTTGATGTGTTAATCATTTAGCTAGTAAGATAACTTAGCTCATCGTTTTATCTACGAATTACTTAACAAAATTCCTTTTAGTACTCTGAAGGCTAAAATACTGTATATGATATATATCTCAGCTACTACAAAGTCATGAAATAATAAAAATAAGCTTTGACTCCAAAGAATGTGAAAACAGGAAAATAAAGGTTTTAGTGATACTGGGATCTAGTTTGTTTTAAAATCCAGATGAAAGAAGGCTACTTATACTGGGAAAAATATGTTACCCAGCATGTTCTGGAAAATTCATTTTAGAGCCTTGGAAACATTTAGGTGGGATTGTAGGAATCTCTGAGAAGTATGAACTGTATTTTTTTAAACTTCTCTAGAGTTTATGACATTTGTGTTTAATTTTGTTTGGTTTCAGAGACTGAAACATCAGCTATTTTAAATTTTTAAACACGTCTTTTTATCTCTGATATGTGCTAGGAACTGTGCTGTTATTACAGGGAAATTAACATTGAGTAAGACTTGGCACAGTGAATGGCACATTGTAGAGAGAAAATAAATATTCAATTAATGAATCACAGAAATCTGATATTATTCATGTAAAACTGAAAGTGTTTCCTAACCGTATTTAGGAGTAAGATTTTAAGATTTATGTACCAGGTTCCTGGAGGCCTAATGAGCCACATATATTCCTTGTAGAGGGTATTCTAACTACAGTGTTTGCTCAGCTGTGGGTTAATGAATACGTATCTGTGAGAAGAGCTCTTAATGTTGTAGTGACAATATAAACAATAATACATCTGACATTTATCAAATGCTTACTTCTTGCAAGATGTTTCCCACTTATTATTTCACTTCATCCTCACCATCAGTATTTTTGTTGTTGTTGTTACAGATAAGGAAACTGTGGAACAGGTAGGTTAAGTGACTTCCCAGCACCCAGAGCTAGCAACTATTGAGGGCAGGAACCAAAACCAGGATTCAGATTTCGCAGCCAGGCCTCTAAGCTACTTTGTCTCTATTGTGTTTTTCCTATAACAATGCAAGGGGGATTGATTTGAAAGGCAAATGTCCTGTGTGTCCCATGTGTCTGCAGCACCGTGTCTTTCTCCTATCATACACTGCTCTCAATTGCTTAACTATGTGTAAATGTCTGCTTTATCCACTAGACAAGGCAGGGCACGCCTTGTGTCTGTCCCATCTTCCCTACATGCCACCCCTACCACTGGACCTGACACATTGAAGATGCTCAGTGTATATTTATGGAACTGAATTTGTTTAAAAATCCATTAAATAGGAAAAGCAATAACATGTGCTATTGTACTGTCTGTCTCATTGGGTCGTGAGCGTCAAGGAGAAAAAAATCCATAATCCATATAGTAACATTTATTGAGGATGGGCTCTGTGCCCATTATCATGTGGCCTGCTTTACATATTAGCCTCAATTTAGACTTTTTGAGTATACGACTTAGATAACAAATCATGAAATGAGTGTCACGTGGAAAAGAACCCAGAGTCTCAAGCAGCCTGGGGACTGGTTGACCAGAAAGGCGGCCATTACAGTAATGCAAGGGATGGAAGATATGACCTAAGGAAGAACATGGAGAGAAGGGGGCTCATTCAAGCAATAATTCTGGAAGAATTTGGTGAATCCATTGAAAAGGGGAAGAGGAAAGTATCTAACATTACTTCAAGGTCTCTAGGGGGACACCTGGGTTAATGGTGGGCCATTTTCCTGAGAAGATTAGAAATAGGGTGAGAGGAGGGAGTTTGGGGATGGTGAGCACAGAGTGGCAGATGAGCTTGGGAGGCGTGTCTCTGGGAGTGATTATCCGCTGAAGAGGTGGAATGGCCAGAGGGCTGGGGATTAAGGGCCACATAGGCTATAGATTTAAAATTCTCCATCCCCAAATAGCACATATGTCAGAAAGTAAAAGGGCATGGCTATTGAATCTTAGGATTTCCTTTGAGTTTTTTGTTTTTGTTTTTGTTTTTGTTTTTGAGATAGAGTCTTGCTCTGTCACCCAGGCTCGAGTGCAGTGGTGCAATCTCGGCTCACTGCAACCTCTGCCTCCCAGGTTCAAGTGATTCTCCTGCCTCAGCCTCCTGAGTAGCTGAGATTACAGGCATACACCACCAAGCCTGGCTAATTTGTAATTTTTTTAGTAGAGACGGGGTTTCTCCATGTTTGTCAGGCTGGTCTCAAACTCCTGACCTCAGGTGATCCACCAGCCTCGGCCTCCCAAAGTGCTGGGATTACAGGCGTGAGCCACTGCTCCCAGCTCCTTTGAGTTTTAACTCTCAATGACGCTAGGTAGGAAGCCAAACTAGATGCTAGAAGACAGTGTACTTTTACCAATTTTTGTTCAGAATGAGCTGCTTTCCATTTGCTCACCAAGCCACGCAAAAGCCTTCCCTGGCTTTGCCTGGCAAGTTTATGCAACTCCTTGAAAACATCCACTTTCCCAGATTTAAATAAAATTTCTCTCCCTGAGGGAAGGTAGAATTTTAACATCCTGAGGCTTGCCTGCTGGCTACTGTGTGTCCCTAGTAGGAGAAAGCCCCTTTGTTGCTGGGTTATGCTAGCTTGTAATTTGGACTTAAATTTAAAATTACAGTGTAGGTTGCAGCTGCAGCCTGGGGCTTTGTTCAGAGTCTGCTGCTTGGCCCTTTCCTCCATGACATCATCGCCTTTCTAATTACAGACAGCTTCACTTTTACTTAAGACAAGTGACACAACAGAACAATGGGCATTGGCATCAGTGAGGCCTTAGTGTGAAGAAATCAACAGCTAGCCTTGGGTGAGCAGACTTCCTTATCCCACTGGAAACTCGCAGGAAAAAAAAAAGGTTTCCTTCTAGTTTAAAGGCAAAAAGTAGTTTTTTGACCCTCTCTGTGTATCTTCGTACATTCTGGCTTCCACTGGGGCAGAAACTTCCCTGAACTTTGCAAGGGCAGACAGCTGCTTTTCATTATGAAGAATACATCCCTGATGAAGGTGATAATGTTTCCAGCGGAGCCCGTTCTGAATGTCCTTCTGCATTGAACTTGTGAACCCTTCCACTTCCTGCTCTCAGAGGAAGTCTGCCCTCTGAAATGCTCTTATATTTCTCCTTTCTTTACCCAAACTTTTAGTTGACTGTGGAGACTTTCCAGAGTTTACATTCTGGTCTCCACCTATCCCGCCCTCTCGGCAACCTAGAATGACAGCGTGGGGAAAACCCACTAGTTTCCGTGGTTTTTATATGAATTGTTAAAGCACACTTCCAAACAGAATAATGAGAGTTAGTTTAGGAAATATTTGCTTCTCCACTCTGACTTGAAAATCAATTATCACCCAACAAGGATTTCAAATTATATCAATAGGAAGGAGAAGGGGATGTTTGAGATTAAATAAACACTTTGGTATTACGTATTAGGCAACTGGACTCGGGTACCATTGTGTAAGGCTTTTTGGGAAGAGAGCAATTCAATTTTGTAGTTTAGTCATAACAATATTGAAAATGTAAGTTACTTCTTCTAAAGTTTAGCATAGACATGACTATCTCCCTAGGATTTCTTTCTCTTATACTTTTGTGTCAGATCCCCTGAATCACTGATACCATATGCAGTGGTTTTAAAACACAGTTGTGTATTAATCTGTTCTCTCATTGCTATAAGGAACTACCTGAGACCCGGTAATTTATGAAGCGAAGAGGTTTAATTGACTCACGGTTCCACAGGCTGTACAGGAAGCATGGCTGGGGAGGCCTCAGGAAACTTACAAACATGGCAGAAGGTGAAGGCTTCACATGTACAGAGAAGAAGGAAGAGAGTGAAGGGGAAAGTGCTACACACTTTTAAACAACCAGATCTTGTGAGAACTCACTCACTATCACAAGAGCAACAAGTCTGCCCCCATGATCCAATCACCTCCCACCAGGCCCCTCCTCCAACATTAAGGATTGCAATTTGACATGAGATTTGGGCGGGGACACAGAGCCAAACCTTATTAGGTTGCAAATTCTGTGACAATTTTTTCATCAATAATGGTGTCTATGTCCTGTCCTCTTGAATCAGGTGGGCTTGTGACAGCTTTAAACAATAGAGGAGGCAGAAGTGATGTTATGTAAATTCTGAGGCTAGGTAATAAAAAGCTCTGAAGCTCTGTCTTGTTAATTGGGGACATTTGCTCTGAGAGACCTAAGCTACCATGTAAGAAGTCCAATCACCCTGAGATCACCATGTTGGAAGAACACATGTATAACATATGCCAATGTTCCAGTAGACAGTTCCAGTAGACAGTCCCAGTAGACAGTAGACAGTTCCAGTAGACAGCCCCTTCAGCCATGGTGACCCAGGTGTCATATATGTGGATAAAGAACCCATCACAGAAATAGATTCTCTGGCTCCAGCTATTCCAGCCTCCAGCCATTTGAGTTACTGCTGGTCATTTAAATTATCCCAGCTGAGACCCAAGATATCATGGAGGAGAAAAGAGCCATCCTTGCTCTGCTGTTTTTGGATTCCTGACCACATAATAATTTTTTTCATGGTCCTACTTCTTGGGATATATAACCAACAAATCACATTTTTCTTCATTCTTTTGTCCTTTTTATTTGCTTGTTTATTCTCTTGTTTTGGTAGAACATTTCCATCAGTGTTTTTCTGAGAAAGAATATATGAGAGGTAAATTTTTATGTATTTTTCTATCTGATAATGTTATTATTTTAAGCACTCATTTGGTTGATACTTTGGCTGGATATAGAATTATCTGAACATTTTAAGGCATTGTCCCTTTGACTTCTAGCATCCTATGTCTCTATTAAGAAGTACAAGGTAATCTGATTTCCAATCTATTATATGTTATTTTACCACTTCCACCCCTCCTACAGGAAGCTTTATGCATTTTTTTTTAAAAAAATTTCTGGTGGCATGAAATTTCGCAATGCCGTGTTGTCACTCAGGTCTTATCTGTTTATCTATCTATCTATCTATCTATCTATCTATCTATTTATCTATTTACTGTCTACTATCTATTATCTATTTATGTTAGGCTGTCAGTGAGCTTTAGTCTGGAGACCCTTCTGTTTTAGAATATATTAATATATTATTTTATGAGTTTCTTCCTCTGCTTTCCCCATTCCCTCTTTCTAGAGCTTTTATTTATTAGATGGTGGACCTGCCAGACAGATTTTTTTTCTTTTCTTTTTTTTTTTGTAAACTGGGTCACACTCTGTCACCCGGGCTGGTGTAATCATGGCTCCCTGCAGCTTCAACCCTCCAGGCTCAAGCAATCCTTCCATTTCAGCCTCCCAAATAGATGAGACTACAGGTATGCACCACCATGCCCATTCTTTCTTTCCTTTTTTTTTTTTTTTTTTTTTGTAGAGATGTGATCTCACCATGTTGCCCAGGCTGGTCTCAAACTCTTGGGCTCAAGTGATCCTCCTTCCTTGGCCTCCCAAAGTGCTGGGATTACAGGTGTGAGCCACTGTGCCCAGCTTAGACAGATTTCTCTTATCCTTTCGCTCACATTTTCCACCATTTTGATTTTGGATTTTATTCTCCTGTGGATTATTTAGTTGTACAATTTCATGGGACACCAGATAATGGCAGTGGTTTTCCAATGGTAATGAGTTTGTTCAATAGAGCAGTATGACTGGGAGATCACCTTGACTTTATCATCTAAAATTTTCACTGAATTTTTTCCTTTGGGCTAAGGAACATTTTTCTGTTTCTTTTTTTAACATGTTATCCTAGTTTTGTTTCATGCATAGAGTACCGTTCATAACTTATGGTTCTGTGAATATTAATTTTAATTTATTTAAACTTTGTATTCCTCCTGATTTATCTCCATCTCCTTCAGCTTCCTTTATTTGTGTGTGTTTTGTTTTCTGTCTCTCATGTTGCAGGCTTTTCTTGGTTGTATGTTCATATTTAATACTAAAGCACAGAAAATAAAATTCAAAGCTTTGTGAGCAGAGGTGGAACTTGATGACAGTTGACTTTCATCGTGGGGTGTGGGGTGATTTTTTGTTGAGTTACATTTCATGTTGGTGGACCTCTAGATATTAGTATCTATAGAATCTTTCTGTGAGAAATTTACTTTCTTCAGTTACCACTCCACAATTTGTATTGGTGAGCTATTGCTATAGCCACAAATGCCCCCCAAATCTCCATGGCTTACGACAGCACTGATCTTTTGTTTAAGTTACATGACAGCTGTTGCTCCTCTAGGCTCCATTGGGCCTGGCTCCACATGACTTTGCATTCTGGCTTTCTAGCTTGAGAGCAGACATCATCTGGGGAAGTTTATTCTCCTGGTGAAGGACAGAAGCACAATGAAAAGAACTGAACCACAGAAGTGCATTAATGCTTCTGCTCAGACATGTCTTATGTAGTATTTGCTCACACTCCATTGGCCAAAGCAAGTCAAATGGCCATGCCCAAAGTACATGGGGTGGAGAAGTAATTCCACCTATAGGAAAGCAGAACAAGTATTGGCAGGGAAGAAATGATTATGAACAAATAATAAAATCTCTCATGGTATCTCATGCTGACTGGTTTCATTTCTCCTGTTCTCTCTATCGTGTAAAGTTATACTGTTTTCATTTTTTAATATAATTTTCATGGGTTTATGGGAGGAGGATCAGAAATCATTGTGCGTGTTCAGTCTTTAATATTTAACTAAAAGTCTGCTGTTAACTTAAATTCTAGGTGATATTTATATTGTTGGACCAAACTTAGCATTTGCCAGAAATAACTCTTGTATAAAAAAGGAAGATGCCAGAATCAACACTCAGATTTGTTTGCTTGAAATTCAGAAAAAAAAAAAAAAATGCATGTGAAACTAAGGAGAGTACTCACCTGAGGATGGAGGTGGGTGGTAGGAACCAGGATATGGCATACAGGAATGCCAGGAAGATTTGTACTGTATAATAGTTACACATTCTTTTTTGTGTAATACGCAGACGTATTACCAAAAAGTTACATTCACCAGTAAATTTTAGCTATGGTAAACCTTAGAAGAATTAACTTTATTTTTAAAATATTGTTAGGAAATTCAGGCCAAGAGAAGCAAACCTTTCCGAAACTAACTCTCATTACTCTGTCTGGAAGTATGCTTGAAAAATTAATATATTTCCATTTTTCAAAATGAGAAAAAGAAACTCAGAAAAAGGAAAAATAAAAACCTGCTTTGTTCTATCCAGTACATTAGCAGAAAGCACTGGAACACAAATGGAAATTGGTAAAAGATTCACTTCAAATGTCACATTTCTGGAGATCTTAACCCACCCCTACCCACTCCTGCCCCAGGAGAACTAATATTTTGTGTCTCTGTGTCAGGCAAAGCTTTGTTTGTGTTTTCACCATGGCACTCATAAATCTGTAATGCAATCATTGATCTATGTGTCTCTCTCCTCCACTAGACTGGGTTTCCTATAGCTTTGTAATCTTAGGACCTACCTTGGTGCCTGGCACTTAGTCAAGTGTCAATGAGTTGTTAATGAATTAATGTACACTATTTTTCTTCAGAATCTAGTGTAGTAACATGAGTAAAATACTAGCAAAACAAACTACTCTCTTTTTATTTCAGGACGCTCTAAATTCCAGTGCTGATATTTGTGAAAATTTCATTTCTCTTACTTATTTTCTTTTTTTCTTCCTTAACTGTTTTTGTCTTCTCTGAACAACCACAAGAAATAAATGTCATTGATACATTAGTGTTTTCCAAGATGAAAGCTTTTTTTTAGAATGTAAAAACAATATGTATTTATTGAATAATACAAAACAAAATGTTAAAACAGGAGAAAGTATATGAAGTGGAATGTGAATAACCATGCAATAACATATCCCAGGGACAACAGCTATTAACAGATATGAAGACAATTGCAATTAACACACACACACACACACACACACACACACACACTCTCACACAAACACACAGTAAAAATTAGGAAATAAAAATATAGCCATTAAAATAAACAGTTGATAGATGTACTGGCCTTCTGATTAAATGTGATAGATTGAACACCCACATTTATGTCTACTCCTCACAAAATCCTACTAAGATGGAACTCAAAAGATTATTTGTTTAAAGGTATAGAACTATAAGATAGAATGGGGGAAAAAAGATGATAGTAAATTAAAAGATGATAGTAAATTTTGGAAAGTGGACAATGGTTACACGAGTGGAAACTGACCTAAAAGACTTGAAAGCTGAAATCTAAGTTAGTGGTGGTAGAAATCTCCAAGGAACATGATTCCCATGTGAAACTCCAGACAGGCTCTCACTAGTTGGTGAAGCTGCCCATTCCTTTAGAGACCGCTTTGATCCTCAGGTTAAATTTACAAACCATATATTTCATTAATTACCGAAACATGAGAACATTCTCATTTTGGATAATAAACACCACCATCTCATTACGCTAAAGAATTTTCAAAGTTTTCGGAAGCACTAATGAGTCTAAAATGATGACAGATAAAAACTTTTGAATGTTTTGAATGTTAAGATGCTACTTCTGTCTGTATAAAAAGTTGGTCACAGTCAACTTCTCTTCAGCCACTTTCCCCTTAACCAACTGGTTTCCCTCTATCCTCATCAGTTTTTGAATTATCTATAAGCTAGGTGCAAATGTAGAATTACTATTCAATAAATTCCATAAGGAAGTATTATATCCAGTCTATTTTACATTCTAGTATATTTCCATCTGGTTGGGCCCAGACCATAGTCCATTCTGTTTTTAGAAAGTGAAATTCTCTCACTCCCTTAATTATGGATCCAGCCTCATTCATTAGATAACCCTTTTTCATTCTTTGCCTATTTCTTCCTTTGGATTAGAAGCCTGGATTTCTCAGTTCATAATTTTCCGTGAAGAACAGGCAGACTTTAGGAATTTCTGTCTGTAATTGACAATTGTTACAGCCCTAGCACTTTGAGAGAAATGTGTGAAGAAAAACATTCATTTGTCTGCAGCTTTCTTTGGTCATTTCTCAGCCTTTGCTTCTATGGATGGAAATCAGTTAAGTGCTAAATTATACCAATTACTCATGCAAAACCTACATTTGTGTAATCTTGAAGGTCAAGCTCGGCACAAAAAGTTCCCTAAAAGAGCAAATAATACTTATCTTGTAGGGTTGCCCTGAACATTAAGTGGCCCATATTTGAGTTTTGGCTATTCATTTATCTGTAGTTTGGAATAGTCCAGAACCGTTTCTTAAGGGAGCTACTGATCCCTTTCCATGGAAGCGATAGTTAATTTTATGTGTCAACTTGACCGGGTTAAGGATGCCCAGAAATGCTGGCAAAACATTATTTCTGACTGTGTCTGTGAGGAAGATTCTGGAAGAGCTTAGCATTTGAATCAGTAGGCTGAGCAAAGAAGATCCACCCTCACCAATGTGGGTGGGCACCACCCAATTCATTAAGGGCTTGGATAGAACCAAAAGGCAGAGGAAGGTCTAGTTTGCTCTCACTTCTTGAGCTAAGGCATCCATCTTCTTGTGTCCCTGGTTCTCAGGCTCTCAGATTCCAGGACTTACACCAGTGCCCCACTCCCCCAACTCCCACCCTACTCCCCACTCCACCCCTGGTTCTCAGGCCTTTAGACTCAACTGAATCACACCACTGGCTTTCCTAGTTCTCCAGCTTACAGACAGCAGATCATAGGACTTCTCAACCTCCATTGTCATGTGAGCTGATTCCCATAATACATTTCCTCTTATGTGTCTATATACATCCTACTTGGTTTGCCTTCCACATGTGATGGCTGTGTGGACCTTCATCCAAACACCTGTCTTGGACTGGCATTTTTAAATTTCCTAAGATGAACTTAACATTACCTATCTTAAGCAGTTTTCTGTTGCTTATAACAGAATACCTGAAACTGGGTAGTTGATAAAGAAGAGGAATTTATTTGTTACAGTTAAGGAAGCTGAGAAGTTCAAGGTGGAGGGGTCACATCTGGTGAGAGGCTTCTTGCTGGTGTAGACTCTGCAGAGTTCTGAGGTGGTTCAAGACATCACATGGCGAGGGGGCTGAGCATGCTAGCTCGGGTCTCTCTTCCTCTTCTTATAAAGCCACCACTCCCCACTGCCATGATAACCCATTAATCCATTAACCCATTAATGTATTAATTCATGAATCAGCTCTGTGCCCTCTGACCCAATCACCACTTAAATGCCCCACCTCTCAATACTGCCATATTGAAGGTTAAATTTCAACATGGGTTTTGGAGGGGACAAATATTCAAACCATAGCACTACCCTATCCTTTTGATGGTTGAAACATATGGATCTTTCCCTAATTGGCAACAGAAAATGTCTGGCACTGTGTTCACAATCTGCTCTGCAAATCTTGTCGAAAGCACATTTTACAAGAAATAATATTTTTGGAGCACTGCTTAAGAGAAATGAAGTCCAATCCCAGCACTTTGGGAGGCCAAGGCAGGAGGATTGCTTGAAGCCAGGAGTTTGAGACCAGCCTGGATGACATACGCCATAGTGAGACCCTGTCTCAAGCTAAAAAAAAAAAAAAAAAAGAAAGAAAGAAAAGAAAAGACATAAATGAAGTCCATCCTCAGATATTTAATTTTTTTTCCTTGGACCAAGTTAATCCATTAGCAAGCTTTGTATTTGATCATCATTGTTTCGGCCCCACACAGATCACTTAGTGAATTTACATCTGCCTTATACATTTACTCTATGATGAAGGTGTCTTATAAGAACAGGTGTCTTATAAGAACAGACTTATGAAGCTCATTTTTATGTGTTGCAGAAAAGTTGCCAAAGCTGCCTTACATATTTGCTTTTCAAAATGTGGTCCTGGGAACAGCAGTTTTGACATCACCTGGAAATTTGTTGGAAATAGAGAATCTTGGACCCTACTCCAGACCTGTTGAGTCAGAATCTGCTTTTTAACAAGACCCCCAGGTGATTTGTGTGCACATTAAAGTTTGACAAACATTGCCTTAAACTATATTCTTCTTTGCCAGAAATCATAGACAAAAATAATAACAAAAACCAAAAACCATACAAACAAAAAATCCCTCGTATTTCAGAAATAAATAAAGCTTTGGTTCCCCCCAAACTCTTCTTGTTGCTAGGTTTATTCCTTTTCTAGTTTTATTTTCCTTTTACCTTATTCTCATAACTATGGTATGAGTTTATAGTAGTGTTTCAGTTATCTAGTCTTATATACCAAACTATCCCAAAACATAGTGACTTAAAAAAAATCCATATTTATTTTGTTCACAAATACACACTTTGGGCAGGGCTTGGCAGGACAGCTTGTCTATGCTCCACATGGCATCACCTGGGGCCGCTCAAAGGCTGGAAGCTGGAATCATCTGAAGGTTTGCTCACTGATATGGTTTGGCTGTGTCCCCACCCAAATCTCAACTTGAATTGTATCTCCCAGAATTCCCACTTGTTGTGGGAGGAACTCAGGGAGAGATCACTGAATCATGGGGGCTGGTAATTCCCATACTATTCTCGTGATAGTGAATAAGTCTCATGAGATCCGATGGGTTTATCAGGGATTTCCACTTTTGCTTCTTCCTCATTTTTCTCTTGCTGCAGCCAGGTAAGAAGTGCCTTTCACCTCCCGCCATGATTTGGAGGCCTGCCCAGCCATGTGGAACTGTAAGTCCAATTAAACCTCTTTTTCTTCCCAGTCTCATTATGTCTTTATCAGCAGCGTGAAAATGGACTAATATATTCACTTATATGCTGTTAAGTGACAAGACAAAAACAACTGGGGCTATGGCCAGAACACCTACATGTCACCTGTTCATATGACTGACATAGTGGCTGGGTACCCACTGGGTACCACAAGATTCTATCCCAAGATAGAATGAGCTGGGCAGGAGCTATATTGCCTTTTATGACCTAGCTTTGGAAGTTAGGTAGCATTACTGCTACCACATTTTCTTCCTCAGGGTGGAAACACAGTCCTTCCCAGGGAAGGAAAATAGAGTCCATCTTTCAATTGAGAAATGACAAGATTCTGGAAAGGATGGGAAATACTGCTGTGGCTGTTTCGGAAAATAAAACCTGCTACAACTTCTCACACTTTTAAAAATGGTTTTAAATTTTTTTGTGGAGAGAGTTGGGCATGAATTAATAATTAACAAATTAATAAGGATATTTATTAGAAGTAAATGGCTTTGGGCCAGGCATGGTGGCTCATGCCTGTAATCTTAGCACTTTGAGAGGCCGAAGTGGGCAGATTGCCTGAGCTCAGCAGTTCGAGACCAGCCTGGCCAACGTGGTGAAACCCCATCTCTACTAAAACACATACATACACAAAAAAAATTAGCTGGGTGTGGTGGCACGTGCCTGTAGTCCCAGCTTCTTGGGAGGCTGAGGTACAAGAATTGCTGGAACCCAGGAGGCAGAGGTTGCAGTGAGCCAAGATTGAGCCACTGCACTCCAGCCTGGGTGACAGAGCAAGACTCCGTCGCAAAAAAAAAAAAACCAAAAACAAACAAAGAAATAACTTTGTTTTTTTTTTTCTTTCTAAACCTGTTGTACATCTTTACTTTCTAGTAAAGCAAATAACGTGGGATGACCAGGAAAATCATTAAAATTTATGAAAATTTATCTCTTGCTCCTGATGTTAGCAGCTGATCTAATTCCAACAGTTTCTAGCCCATGTATTATTTTGAATACATATTAGGGTCAGAGTGTCTGCTTTAAAGTCTCAAATTCAATGTGCATATAGGTCACCTAGGGGAGTCTTATTAAAATGCAGATTTTAATCCAGTCTGAGGTAGCCCTGAGATTCTGCGTTTCTAATAAGCTCCAAGGCGATGCTAATGCTGCTGGTCCACGGACTACACTTTGAGTAACGAGGTGTCAGATAGAAGTAGCTCTAAGATGTGTGCCCTGGGAATCTTAGTTGCTGGGACCTGTCCCATGTTCCTGGATGATAATCACAAGATTGAGGTTAATTCCTTCCTTCAGTTCTGAGGGCAAACCAGAGTCCCATTGGAGATGGCTGATTTTACCCTAAGTCTACCCAGAAGATGAGGCTTTAATTTCCTCTGCTGAACCTAAAGCCTCCTCTGTGGATCTGAAAGACTCAGGCCTAGGTGATGTGGAGCAGCAAGAAAACCACATTTCACCAGTTTGTCTGAAGCTCTCTTTGATGGGCTGCAGGTTCTTCTCGCATCTTTTCTGCCAGTGTGAATCTTACCAAGTTTGGTTTTTCTGATCCTAGACTCTGCGAGCTGGATCAGCAGCTGTGCAAACACTGGCCTTTTCAATAATGCCGTTTTCCCCTTCTACACTCTCAAACCACACTGACTGTACCTTGAAAGATTTCATCTCTGTTTGGGGCTGTGCTACTGAATTGTCATATTGCATGCCTCCTATATATAAGATAGAGCAGCTTCTGATTTAGTCCTGAGTCATTCTGGTCCTCAAAGACCCAGGAGATTTGGGCAGGATTACTAGATCCTACACATTTTCATTTTTTTTGCACAAATATCTGATGTAATAGGGCGAGAGCACTGACATTGTGCTCAAAAGGTCTCAGTGCTGTGAGCTCAGCCGTTTATTACTCTACATGAAGTGTTGTGAACCTCGTTTAAAAGTGATTATAAAAATTCCTATCTCAGAACATGGTTGGAAAGAAAATTAAGGCAAATAGTACAAAAGTTATTTTAAGATTAAAAATACGAAACAAATGAAAAAGCCCAGGTTGGCGGCCAAGCTACCCCAGTAGCAGTTATAGATACGATAGCAGAGAAGACATAATTTTATCTTATGTCTAGTCTTCCCAAAAGCATAGTTCAAGGACCAGTGCATCAAAATCACCTGGAATGTTTTTAAAAAAGGAAATCTTCAAGTCCCATTTTAGCTATAACTGAATCTGAATCCCTGAAGAGGAAGGTGGGTGTCTAGTAATTTGCATTGTAAGTAAGCCCATCAAATGACTCTTATGCACACTGAAGTTTTGAGAACCAGACTGTAGTCCCCACCAAGGGGGTGTTTGGTTGACCTCTGCTGGGTTAGGCTTCAGGGCAAACTCATAGACAATTTGGATTTTTTTCTACTCATTCCCAAACCCCAAACCCCAAATCCTGCTCGTCTCAGCTCCAGTCCTAGCTGGATTTCCGCAGTCTCCCATTTGTAAGTTTCAACCCTTACTCTAGTTTCTATCTGGCTCTCGTTCTAGACCTCCTGGGTGCCCTTCCCTGAAGCCTCAGCTTTTAGTCTTCCTCTAAGTTTTCCTCCTAAAGTGTGCCCTTAGGCTCCCCATACTAAATTCTCAGGCAAGTTTCTGCCCCGGGGGAGTAATTATCACAGCCTTCTCTTTTTGGGCTAGCTCACAGGGTGTCTGGGCTACAGTGCATCCCGTGAGTCAGCCCAGTTAGGGGAAAAGAAGGCTTACCAACAAGTCAGTTCATGTGGGGATCATCTCTTCACTCTGAAAGAAGGTACAGTGACAAACCATCCCCACCCCATTGCTTGCTGGGAAGCCAGAAGGACTCCAGCAATGAGCACAGAAGTGGCCCATAAGCACTCTTCTCCTGACTCATTTCAGAGGACAATTCAGACCTCTAGGGAGTTCTGAAATTGATCCAGTACAGAGTAGTTCCCATTTACTTTCACCATCCTAGAACCAGGGGAAACTAACTAGGGACCACTCAGTGTGATCAAGGTCACTTCCAGACGCTTCATCCATACCAGGCCTCAGTGATGTTCTCTGTTCTTAGCTTTCATAGAAAGAAATATATGTTAGTAAAGTGAGCCTTCGTCTCATAGATAAGTACCAATACAGCTTCTGCTGACTTTGCTAGCAGATGTATATAAGTCAAGTTCTAGTTAGTCTAGCTTGGCTTATTGTCCTGGAATCTTTTCCTGGCACATATATGTGTTCCTGAGGATGTGGGAATATTTGAGGATGTAGATTTTATTCCAAGTAACATTCATTCCCCTTGTCAGTGACTCTATAGGGTACTATCGATTACTATAGTCCTCTTTATTCTTTACCAAGAGAAATGATAGTTGCTTAATGTAGAAATCTATATTAAAAAGAAAAAATTTTAATTGACAATAAAATACAGTAGTTATTACATTTTAATCTACAATAAAAGAAAATATTTTGTTGGTTGGCATTAAAATGCTGACCTGCTGGTTTTGTGTAGGGGATGGTAGCTCAGTCTGCATGCTTACGTTTGTAAATAGTTTTATTGGAACACAGCCACATATATATATTTTTTTTACATATGGTCTATAGCTGCTTTCTCACTACAGTAGCAAGAAGGGAATATTTGTGACAGGATCGTATGACCCTCAAAGCCTAAAATATTTACTATCTGGCTTTTTACAGGAAAAAGTTTGTAACCCCCCTATAGACGATAAGCACCTAGAGATCATAGAACAGGTTTAGTTTGATTATTTTGTAAAGAACTCAGCACAACTCTATACAACTAATAAGTACATCTTGGTGTGTTTGGTGATTTCCAGAGGTTAAGTAAATAGGGCTTTTAAACTTCTATATGGAAGGGGAAAAAAATTGAAGACACAAAAAATGTTAATCATGGCTATCTTTGAATAGTAGGATTATAGAGCAGTTTAATTTTCTTCTTTTTTCTTTCTGGATTTGCTAGATGTCCTTCAATGAATATTTATTACACACACATACACACACACACACATCCACACACACATCCCAACAACTCCCCCCACTCCCAGGATATTTGGTGGGGTCTAGTTCTTTAAACAAAAAAGACCTAAACAATATGGAAATTACTTTTTTCTAAGTCAATGTGGAGATGAGAATAGAGGGAAACTGTCTTTCATAATCAAATCATAATTAAATTAAAACAGTATTATTCTAAACCTCTTTTAGCATTTTGCTCCTTTTATAAATATTCATGTAGGTTTGTCAATCTAAAGAAAAATAATGGATTAGGATTATTCTATAACGTATTTTACAACCATAAACCCAGGTCATAATCCTTAGTAGGTAACAGGCAGTCATATTTTCTAGATTACTATTGCTGAGTTGTGTATTAGGACACTGTGGTTGCAGTTGACAGAAAGCTGACTCAACCTATGCCAAAAAGAGGAGGCATTTATTGGCACACACACTCAAACCACAGGAAGGATGTAGGAGCAACTGGAACCAGCTCAAACACCATCAGCTTTCCCTTTCTCTCCCCCTACTTCTTTCTATGGCATGGGAATCATTCCCTCAAGCCAGCACACTAGATCTAGTTTGAAAAATGGCAGGAGGATTCTGATAGGTCTTGCTTGCGTCATGTGCTCATTCCTGGTTGCGGGAGGGGAGGTGGAAGTATATTGTGCTGGAAAGTGTTGGTCAGGGTAAAGAGAAAGTGAGTTTTGGCTGGGTACGGTGGTGCACTCCTGTAATCCCAGCTACTCAGGAGGCTGAGGCAGAAGAATCACTTGAGAGATCTGGCAAGATGGCTGAATAGGAGTGGCTCCCAGTGAGACCAATGCAGAAGGTGGGTGATTTCTGCATTTCCAACTGAGGTACCTGGTTCATCTCACTGGGACTGGTTAGACAGTGGGTATAGCCAATGGAGGGTAAGCAGAAGCAGGGCAAGGCGTCGCCTCACCTGGAAAGTGCAAGGGGCCGGGGACCTCCCTCCCCTAGCCAAGGGAAGCCATGAGGGACTGCGCTATCCAGCCCAGATACTATGCTTTTCCCACGGTTTTTGCAACCCACAGACCAAGAGATCCCCTCGTGTGCCTACACCACCAGGGCCCTGGGTTTCAAGCACAAAACTGCGCAGCTATTTGGGTAGACACTGAGCTAGCTGCAGGAGTTTTTTTTTTTTTTTGTACCCCAGTGGTGCCTGGAACCCTAGTGAGACAGAACCATTCACTCCACTGAAGCCAGGGAGCCAAGTGGTCTCACTCACGGGTGCCACTCCCACGGAGCCCAGCAAGCTAAGAACCACTAGCTTGAAATTTTTGCTGCCAGCACAGCAGTCTGAAGTTGACCTGGGATGATCAAACTTGGTGGTGGGAGGGGCGTCCACCATTACTGAGGCTTGAGTAGGCAGTTTTCCCCTGACAGTGTTGAGGAAGCTGGGAAGTTCTGATTGGGCAGAACTCACTACAGTGCAGCAAAGTGGCTGTGTCCAGACTGCCTCCCTAGATTGCTCCTCACTGGGCAGGGCATCTCTGAAAGAAAGGCAGCAGCCCCAGTCAGGGGCTTATAGATAAAACTCCCATCCCCCTGGGACAGAGCATATGGGAGAAGGGGCAGCTGTGGGCACAGCTTCAGCAAACTTAAACATTCCTATCTGCTGGCTCTGAAGAGAGCAGCGAATCTCCCAGCATGGCACTCGAGCTCTGCTAAGGGACAGGCTGCCTCCTCAAGTGGGTCTCTGACCTCCATGCCTCCTGACTGGAAGACAACTCCCAGCAGGGGTTGACAGACACCTCATATAGGAGAGCCCTGGCTGGCATCAGGTGGGTGCCCCTCTGGGACAAAGCATTTAGAGGAAGGAGCAGGCAGCAATATTAATTGTTCTGGGGCCTCCGCTGGTGATACCCAGGCAAACAGGGTCTAGAATGGAGCTCCAGTGAACTCCAGCAGACCTGCAGAAGAGGGGCCTGACAGAAGAAAAACTAACAAACAGAAAGCAATAACATCAACATCAACAAAAAGGATGCCCACACAAAAACCCTATCCAAAGGTCACCAGCATCAAAGATCAAAGGTAGATAAATCCACAAAGATGAGGAAAAACCGGCGCAAAAATCCTGAAAATTCCAAAAACCAGAATGTCTTTTCTCCTCCAAATGATCACAACTCCTCTCCAGCAAGAGCACAAAACTGGACAGAGAATGAGTTTGACAAATTGACAGAAGTAGGCTTCAGAAGGTGGGTAATAACGAACTCCTCTGAGCTAACGAAGCATATTCTAACCCAATGCAAGGAAGCTAAGAACCTTGATAAAAGGTTACAGGAACTGCTAACTAGAATAACCAGTTTAAAGAAAAACATAAATGACCTGATGGAGCTGAAAAACACAGCACGAGAACTTCGTGAAGCATACGCAAGTATCAATAGCTGAATCGATCAAGTGGAAGAAAGGATATCAGAAATTGAAGATCAACTTAATGAAATAAGGTGTGAAGACAAGATTAGAGAAAAAAGAATGAAAACGAAAAAAACAAAGCCTCCAAGAAATATGGGACTATGTGAAAAGAAGAAACCTATGATTGACTGGTGTCCCTGAAAGTGACAGGGAGAATGGAACCAAGTTGGAAACACACTTCAGGATATTATCCAGGAGAACTTCCCCAACCTAGCAAGACAAGCCAACATTCAAATTCAGGAAATACAGAGAACACCACTAAGATACTCCTCAAGAAGAGCAACCCCAAGACACATAATTTTCAGATTCTTCAAGGTCGAAATGAAGGAAAAAATGTTAAGGGCAGCCAGAGAGAAAAGTCAGGTTACCTACAAAGGGAAGCTCATCAGACCAACAGCAGATCTCTCTGCAGAACCCCTACAAGCCAGAAGCCCCTACAGGCCCACTCAGTGGGGGGCCAATATTCAACATTCTTAAAGAAAATAATTTTCAACCCAGAATTTCATATCCAGCCGAACTAAGCTTCATAAATGAAGGAGAAATAAAATCCTTTCCAGACAAGCAAATGCTGAGGGATTTTGTTACCACTAGGCCTGCCTTACAAGAGCTCCTGAAGGAAGCACTAAATATGGAAAGGAAAAACTGGTACCAGCCACTGCAAAAACATACCAAATTGTAAAGACCATTGACACTATGAAGAAACTGCATCAACTAATGTGCAAAATAAACAACTAGCATCATGATGACAGGATCAAATTCACACATAACAATATTAACCTTAAATGTAAATAGGCTAAATGCCCCAGTTGCAAAACACATACTGGCAAATTAGATAAAGAGTCAAGACCCACTGGTGTGCTGTATTTAGGAGACCCATCTCTCATGCAAAGACACACATATGCTCAAAATAAAGGGATGGAGGAATATCTACCAAGCAAATAGAAAGCAAAAAAAAAAAGCAGGGGTTGCAATCCTAGTCTCTGATAACACAGGCTTTAAACCAACAAAGATCCAAAAAGACAAAGAAGGGCATTACATAATGGTAAAGGGATCAATGCAACAAGAAGAGCTAACTATCCTAAATATATATATGCACCCAATACAGGAACACCCAGATTCATAAAGCAAGATCTTAGAGACCTACAAAGAGACTTAGACTCCCACACAATAATAGTGAAAGACTTTAACACCCCACTGTCAATATCAGACAGATCAACAAGACAGAAAGTTAACAAGGATATTCAGGACTTGAACTCAGCCCTGGACCAAGTGGACCTAATAGACATCTATAGAACTCTCCACCCCAAATCGACAGAATACACATTCTTCTCAGTACCACACAGCACTTATTCTAAAATTAACCATATAACTGGAAGTAAAACACTCCTCAGCAAATGCAAAAGAATGGAAATCATAACAAACACCCTCTCAGACCACAGTGCAATTAAATTAGAACTCAGGATTAAGAAACTCACTCAAAACCACACAACTACATGGAAACTGAACAACCTTCTCCTGAATGTCTACTAGGTAAATAATGAAATTAAGGCAGAAATAAGTAAATTATTTGAAACCAATGAGAACAAAGAGACAGTGCACCAGAATCTCTGGGACACGGCTAAAGCAGTGTTAAGAGGGAAATTTATAGCACTAAATGCTCACATCAGAAAGTGGGAAAGATCTAAAATCAACACCCTAACATCACAATTAAAAGAACTAGAGAAGCAAGAGCAAACAAATTCAAAAGCTAGCAGAAGACAAGAAATAATTAAGATCAGAGGAGACTGAAGGAGATAGAGACATAAAAAACCCTTCAAAAAAATCAATGAATCCAGGAGCTGGTTTTTTCAAAAGATTAACAAAATAGATAGACCACTAGCCAGACTAATAAAGAAGAAAAGAGAGAAGAATCAAATAGACACAATAAAAAATGATAAAGGGGATATCACCATTGATCTCACAGAAATACAAACTACCATCAGAGAATACTATAAACATCTCTACACACACACACACACACACACACACACACACACACAAACACTAGAAAATCTAGAAGAAATGGACCAGCACAAGACAAGGATGCCCTCTCTCACCACTCCTATTCAACATAGTATTGGAATTTCTGGCCAGAGCAATCAGGCAAGAGAAAGAAATAAAGCGTATTCAAATAGTAAGAGAAGGAGTCAGA
The DNA here is from genome assembly GCF_000001405.40 of Homo sapiens. Lineage (NCBI taxonomy): Eukaryota > Metazoa > Chordata > Mammalia > Primates > Hominidae > Homo > Homo sapiens. Next base: position 13,185,198 of record NC_000023.11, read on the forward strand.
TTGTCTCTGTTTGCAGATGATATGATTGTATATTTAGAAAACTCCATCATCTCAGTCCCAAAACTCCTTAAGCTGATAAGCAACCTCAGCAAAGTCTCAGGATACAAAAATCAATGTGCAAAAATTACAAGCATTCCTATACACCAATAATAGAGAGCCAAATCATGAGTGAACTACCATTCACAATTGCTACAAAGAGAATAAAATACCTAGGAATACAACTTACAAGGGATGCAAAGGACCTTTTCAAGGAGAACTACAAACCACTGCTCAAGGAAATAAGAGAGGACACAAATAAAGGGAAAAAAATTCCATGCTCATGGATAGGAAGAATCAATATCATGAAAATGGCCATACTGCCCAAAGTAATTTATAGATTCAATGCTATTCCTATCAATCTACCATTGACTTTCTTTGCAGAATTAGAAAAAACTACTTTAAATTTCATATGGAACCAAAAAAGAGCCTGTATAGCCAAGACAATCCTAAGGAAAAAGAACAAAGCTGGAGGCATCACACTACCTGACTTCAAACTATACTACAAGGCTACAGTAACCAAGATAGCATGGTACTGATACCAAAACAGATACATAGACCAATGGAACAGAACAGAGGCCTTAGAAATAACACCACACATCTACAACCATCTGATCTTCGACAAACCTGACAAAAACAAGTGATGAGGAAAGGATTCCCTATTTAATAAATGGTGCTGGGAAAACTGGCTAGCCATATGCAGAAAACTGAAACTGGACCCTTTCCTTACACCTTATACAAAAATTAACTCAAGATGGATTAAAGACTTAAATGTAAGACCTAAAACCGTAAAAACCCTAGAAGAAAACCTAGACAATACCCTTCAGGACTAAGGCATGGGCAAAGACTTCATGTCTAAAACACCAAAAGCAATTGCAACAGAAGCTAAAATTGGCAAATGGGATCTAATGAAACTAAAGAGCTTCTGCACAGCAAAAGAAACTACCATCAGAGTGAACAGGCAACCTACAGAATGGGAGAAAGTTTTTGCAATCTATCCCTCTGACAAAGGTCTAATATCCAGAATCTACAAGGAACTTAAACAAATTTACAAGAAAAAAACAAACAACCCCATCAAAAAGTGGGCAAAGGATATGAGCAAACACTTCTCAAAAGCAGTTATCTATGCAGCCACCAAACAAATGAAAAAAAGCTCATCATCACTGGTCATGACAGAAATGCAAATCAAAACCACAATGAGATACCATCTCATGCCAGTTAGAATGGAGATCATTAAAAAGTCAGGAAACAACAGATGCTGGAGAGGATGTGGAGAAATAGGAATGCTTTACACTGTTGGTGGGAGTGTAAATTAGTTTAACCATTGTGGAAGTCAGTGTGGCGATTCCTCAAGGAACTAGAACCAGAAATACCATTTGACCCAGCTATCCCATTATTGGGTATATATCCAAAGGATTATAAATCATTCTACTATAAAGACACATGCATATGTATGTTTATTGCAGCACTATTTACAATAGCAAAAACTTGGAACCAACCCAAATGCCCATCAATGATAGACTGGGTAAAGATAATGTGGCACATACACACCACGGAATACTATGCAGCCATCAAAAAGAATGAGTTAATGTCCTTTGCAGGGACATGGATGAAGCTGGAAGACATCGTTCTCAGCAAACTAACAAAGGGATGGAAAACCAAACACCACATGTTCTCACTCCTAAGTGGGAGTTGAGCAATGAGAACACATGGACACAGGGAAGGGAACATCACATACCAGGGCCTGTTGGGGGATGGGGGCAAGGGGAGGGAGAGCATTAGGACAAATACCTAATGCATGCGGGGCTTAAAACCTAGATGATGGGTTGACAGGTGCAGCAAACCACCATGGCACATGTATACCTATGTAAAAAACCTGCACATTCTGCACATGTATCCCAGAACTTAAGTTAAAAAAAAAGAATCGCTTGAATCCAGGAGGCGGAGGCTGCAGTAAGCTGAGATTTCACCACTGCACTCCAGCTTGGGTGACAGAGCGAGACTCCGTCTCAAAAAAAAGAATGTGAGTTTCTATCAGCAGAAGCAGAGGAGGTGGAGGAGTCGCAGTCATGTGTGGGGCTTTATTTTGGAGTGGCAGTCACTGTGATTAGCATCAACTCACTATAGATACATGGCCCAAATGTATGAAGAGAGCCTGGATTCTATATGTAGCCTCCCCCTATGGGAGGTGTCGATTTCCGAGGTGTCAGTTACCCACTGTCAATCAACCACGGTTCAAAAATAGGTAAGTACAGTACAATATTTTGAGAGGAAGAGTGAAACCACATTCATGTGACTTTTATTACAATATATTGTCATAATTGTTCTATTTTATTACTATTTATTGTTAATCTCTTACTATGCCTAATTTATGAATTAAACTTTATCATGGGTATGTATGTACAAGAAAAAAACAATGTATATATATATATGGTTTGGTACTATCCATCGTTTCAGACATCCACTGGGGGTCTTGATACCTATCGCCCTACAGATAAGGGGACTACTGTACACAGGTAAATGGTGAATAAAGTTCATTTCCGGAACCCCATGTTATTTAAAATCCTTAAAGGCCATTAATCCTTTTCACAGGAAATGGACAATGCCACTAAAATCAGGCCTCCACTCCCTTCTTCCCCTTCTCATTGATGAAAAACCATGTGGAACCCTGTTTCTTCTCTTCCCCCAGCATTTTGCTCTCCACCCTGCCTGTCAGAATCCTGATCACTCCCATTACCTTCACCTCCATTCAAGAGGGAAGAAAAGCTTAAACTGCTCCCCGAAGAATCAACTCCAATGCCGCTAAGACTTCAGTGAGCATCAGAGTCACCCGGAGGTCTTGCTAAAACACCGGTTCTTGGGCCCCACCCCCACAGAGTCTGAGTCTGTAGGTACAGGATGAGTACGGCCCATGCACAAATAATGCTGATGCCGTTGGTCTGGGGACCACACACTTTGAGTAGCACTATATCGTCCATGCCTCAAAACCCATGTTTGCATAGTTATCTCAAAACATCAGTGGTTTTAGCCCAGGAGTGATTTTGCCCCCTAGGAGATACTTGGCAATGTCTGGAGACATTTTCGATTGCCACTAATTGGAAAGGTGGGAGTTAGTCCTACTGGGACCTAGGAAGCAGAAGCTAGGCATGCTGCTAAACATCTTATACTGCACAAGACAGCCCCCAAAAGAAAAAAGTATCTGGCCCAAGATATCAATAGTGCAGAAACCTTACTTTAGTTCCTAGGGTCAGGAGATGGTAACCCACGGGCCAAATATGAACTTTGCAAGTAGTACTGTTTGTCCTCTACCTAGTTCTAATAGGCCAAACCAAAAAGCAGATTATAGCACAATCAGCTTAACATCTGTCTGTTGTCTTATACAATGCTTAGTTGTTGTATTATCAGCGTGGCCCCTGGAGGCATCTGAGTTTGCAACCCTCCGATCTCATCTAATCTCTTTTTTTTGTAGATGAGGAAGGAGCTATGATATGGTCCAAAAATTTGCCTAAGGTTCAATGGGGAAACCAGATCGAGAATCTAAGCCTGTGACAGTGATCACAATGTCAGTTTGAATCAATATACACACACAGGTACCCTCTAGTGCATTCAGGTATAGCTATGTTATTCATTCATTTATTTATTCTTTCAGCGTTCATTCCCCATACAGTGTTCTTATATGCATACACAAGATCACATAGTTATACACATAAATCAAAGGTTCTCATGTATTATCTAACAATAGCATTGGACACATGACATATTTGGCTCATGATTTATTTAGCATCCCCTCCAAATGTTTAAAGATAGAGATGTTCCAGCAACAAGTTCTATTTTTGAAATACCAAATTGAAGCCTGGAACTTGTTATGAGACCGGATGGCTCTTCCAGCTAGCAATGCAGAGTGAAAACAGCTGGCCCTTTAAATTGTGTGCGCTGTGGCCAAACCATTTCTCTACCCTTCAAAGACGCTTTGCACTGTCTAGGATATTTTTTATCCTCATCACTTTAGCATTTAAAAACTTGTTTTTTAAAAAAGAAGGAAGGATAGCATTAGGAGAAATACCTAATGTAGGTTAAGGTTGATGGGTGCAGCAAACCACCACGGCACGTGTATACCTATGTAACAAAACTGCACATTCTGCACATGTGCCCCAGAACTTAAAGTACAATTAAAAAAAAAAAAACGAAAAAAAGAAAAACAACAAGACCACAAAACAAAAAAAAATCAAAATATTAAAGAGCAAAGAAAAATACTGAATTACACTTGAGTACTGCCTCTAGATCAGGGGCTGCCCGACTATGGCCTGCAGGCCATGTTCAGCCCACTGCCCATTTTTATAAATAAAGTTTTATTGGAACACAGCCACGCCCATGCGTGTACATATTTTACACGGTTACTTTCATAGAATTGAGTAGTGCAACAGAGACCTTCTGACTGGCAAAGCCTAAAGTATTTACTGTCTGGCCGTTTGCAGGGAAATTTTGCTGACCCTGCTCTTGATTATGTATTAGGTTGTACCATATGAAATTGCCACCACTTGGCAATTTTGACCTACACTTTCATAAATTCATTCTAAAAATCAAAGGATAGTGATTCCACTAAAAAATGGCATTTCTTTTCTTGCAGGTTAAAATTTGCTGTGGCTCTTACGGCTCAAAACAGAATTTCACAATAGCTATGCTTATCTGTAAAATCACTTTCTCATATACAAAAAAAATAAAAATAAAAAAATCTTCTTTCCTTTTCACAGGAAATGGACAAAGACTAGACTGGCTCACTGGTCCTGAAACAGAAATTTCTATTGAAAGGTTTTGCAGCTCTCTATGGACATAGATCCGCCCTGCTCCATCTATAACATCTCTCTCAACTGCAGTTATTCATTCATGAGAACTTTGTATTAGTTCCTTCTGCCCATGCCATCTTCTGCAGACACAAATGTTTATGCTTCACTTAAAAGGTGGCATGAATATGTTTGTATAATGTGGGTCATTGCAGGTCATTGCTAATATAATAGAGTAAACCTCTGCTCAGCTGGCCTCAAGTTACACCACACCCATAGCTGTCAATTTCTATCTTCCTCTAGACATATACAACGTGGTGGGAGGGAAACAGCCTAGGGGTAGGACTTAAGCCAACCTACTTTGGATTTCTGGGACTACTCTTACCAGCTGTGTGAACTTGGGCGAATTTTGTAGCTTTGATGAGCCTCACTTTCCTTAGCTATAAAATGGGGACGATGCCTATTTTGCAGAGGTTTGAGAGGATTAATAATTGTTTGAGCAAAGCGCCTGACAATTAGTAAATTAGTAAATAAATATTAAGTTGAATCATATTAAACCGCCGATAAATGGCAATAACTAGTCATTTTACCTAAAGTTGTTAGCCCTGGGATTGTTACCATGATTGTGTGTACACAGGCTGAGCCCAGGTACCTACCATGCAAAGTTTAAGGGGGTGTTCATTCTCAGGTGCCGACTCCATACTTGCATGACTCTGAGAGCAAATATTTCCTTAAATTTTGTTCCCAACCACCTCTCTTGGCTCTTCTCAGTCCCAGACCTGTTGCCAGGTTCCCCTTATTCAGCTGAGAAATTCCTCCTCTCCTCTCAGGTGCCTGGTGCCTCTCTGCAACCTGAAAACCATCTCTTGGATGACCCTTTAATAACTACGGGATAAATGACTCATAGCACTACACCCTCCCAAAGATGCTTGCTTTAAAAGAGGATTAAAATCTTAATTAAAAAAGCACCAAAGCAGGATTTCAGGCATGACTTAGTAGAACAGAATATCGTGGGGGCCAGCAACCTCTGGGGATTCTGAAATCTGTATCAGTTGGCAGGCAATGTCTCATGTCACTCTGCATGTCTAAGCACAGAAACGTGGAGCCACAGGGAAACTGATGCACTGGGGACTTGAATTGAATTTTGAAGAATGGCTAAGTAGTCAGATGAGAAGGGAAGACATGTTAGCATGATTGAAAGCACATCCCAAAGGATTTTTTCCTCACCGTTTCCTTTTTTTCTTTCTTTTCCAAAAATGACTTGATATAACTGACTCATGTGGTAGCCAGCCTCCAAGATTGCCCCCGTGATGGTTAATATTAGGTGTCAACTGGACTGGATTGAGGGATACCTAAATGGCTGGTGAAGCATTGTTCCTGAGTATGTTTGTGAAGGTGTTTCCAGAAGAGATAGATGCATGAGTCAGTAGGCTGAGAGGAAGATCCACCTTCAATGCAGGGTGGGGGGCCGGGCTAGGACAAAGCAGGTGGAAGAAGGGGGATACTCGACTGGCTCTTGCTCCCTCGCTCTCATTTCTGGAGCAGGATGCCATTTTTTTCTTCTTGCCCTTGGACATCAGACTCCAGGTTCTTTGCCTTTTGGACTCTGGGACTTGCCCCAGGAGCCTCCTGGGCCTCTCTGACCTTCAGCCTCAGAGTGGGGGTTACACTGTTGGCTTCCCTGGCTCTGAGGCTTTCAGACTTGGACTGAGCCACACTACTAGGCTTCTCTCGTTCTCTAGCTTGCAGACGCTCTATGGTGGAACTTCACCTTTGTGATCGTATGAACGAATTCCCCCAATCAACCCCTTTATATATACATATACATATATATATATGTGTATATATATATATACATATATATATGTATATATATATACATATATATGTATATATATATATACATATATATGTATATATATACACATATATATGTATATATATATATACATATACACATATATATGAATATATATGTATATATAAATATATATACATATATATACATATATGTGTGTGTGTGTGTGTGTGTGTATATATATATATATATATATATATATATATATATATATATATATAAAAAACTTGTTCTGTCCCCTGGAGAACCATGACTAATATGGCTTCCAAGGGTTCTCCCCTCATGGTATTTGTGCTCATGTGTAGTGCCACATTGAATCAGGGCTGGTCTGTGTGACCAGTGGAATATGGCGGAGATGAGGGTATATGACTTCGTAGTCTAACACACAAAGGGTATTGTGCCTACTGCCTTGCTCTCTTAGATTTCTTACTCTTAGGGAAGCCAACCACTATGTCATGAGGACACTTAAGCAGCCCTGTGAAGAGAATCACATAGGAAAGGAATTGAGGCCTCCTACCAGCCAGCACCAACTTATAAGCCATGTGAGTGCATTATCTTGAAAGTAGATCCACCAGCCCCAGTCAAGTCTTTAGATGACTATAGGCCCCGCTGACATCTGACAATCTCTGACATCTGGCTTGAGATCACAAGCCAGAACCAGCCCAATCAAACTGTTCCCCAATTCCTGACCTACAGAAAATGTGAGAGAGAATATATGTTTATTGTTACACTATTGTTTTAAGCAACCTGTTACACAGCAATACAACTAGAATTCGGAAAAAGAAATCTTAAAATCAGCAAGAAAAAGACAAACAACACAATAGGGAAATAGGCAAAAGACCTGAAGAGACACTTTACAGAATAATAATAATAACCAAATGGCCAATAATCTCAATGAAAGTTGCTCAACTTCATTAGCTATCAGGGAAATGAATAAAAACATCAATGAGATGCCACCGCACACCCACCTGAATGTCTGTAATGAGAAAGATGAAAAATACTGCTTAGAAAAGATGTGGAGAAAATGGAACTCTCACATACCACAGTGGGGTATATACCACTTGAGCAAACTACTTTTGAAAACAGTGTGTAGAAAACAGTCTACTAAACCTGCCCCAGCAGTGCCACTCCACTCTTAGATATGGACCTAACAATATTTGTACATATAGCCATGCACTGCATTATGATGTTTTGGTCAGTGACAGGCCACATATACAACTGTGGTCTCATAAGATTATGATACCATATTTTTACTGTACATTTTCTATCTTTAAATATGTTTAGATACATAAGTACTTACGATTGTGTTACAGTTGCCCACAGTGTTCAGTACAGGAACATGCTGTACGGGTTTGTAGCCTAGGAGCAACAGGTTCTAGCATATGGTCTAGGTGTATAGTAGGGTGTACCATCTAGGTTTGTGTTAGTCTGCTTTGTGTTGTTCTCACAACGATGAAATTGCCTAACAATGCATTTCTCAGAACATATCCCTATCATTAAGTGACATATGACTGCATATTTTCTGAAAGACATGGATTAGACTTTTTATAGCAGAACTATTCATAATAGCAAAATAACTGGAAACTATCTAATGTCCATTGCAATAGAATGAATAAATAGAATATTTACACAGTGGAGCACTATACAGAAATAGCATTGAATGAGTTCCAACTACACACAGCAACAGGGATGAGTCTCACAGACATAATGTTGGACTTCTGAGGGGCTGGTATTGCTCTTTCTGTATTTTGAAATCTGGCTGCTTGTTACATGGATGTGTTCAGTTTGTGTAAATCTACTTACATGTGAAAAAAAAGATTTTGAAAACACCTACTTTCTGTGATGTGTTGAGAGGGCAAAAAAAATCCCAGGTCAGATCATGACATCTGCAGTTTTAATGTTCAAGCTCAAGGTGAAGCTATGTTTGGACGTCTATTCCTCTAACTCAGTGGTAGCCAAATTATAGTCTGCAGGCAAAATTTAGCCAGCCATCTCTTCTTGTAAATAAAGTTTTATTAGGGCACAGCCACACCCATTTGTTTATGCGTTATCTATGATTGCTTTCTCCTGACACCAGCAGAGTTGAATAGTTGTGAAATAGTTTGCGTGGCCCCCAAAACCATCTGCTCTGATTGATTGAGAAGCTTCTGATGTTGTTGCATTACTTCTTTGTCCTCTTCACTCCTTGTCCCCTCTTGCCCTAGCTCAGGCCTGTATATCAAGGCCTTTTCCAAATACAGACAAGCTCTGTAATTTTCTGAAGAAAGGACAAATTGGGCCAGTGCCATGCTCGCCATTGCCCTGCCTTTGTCATATGTCTGTTTATTGGGACACAACCCAGGTGTTCCCATGATGTGCACCATGAAATGGAATGATCAGATTGTTCATTTGGCTCATTACTAAGCTGCTTCTGAAGATAAGATTGAATTTGACAACAATGGCAACACAAGTCTTGCAGAACACCTGCACACACTCAAGCTATTTAAGTGGAAAGAGATCTGTAAGTGTAAGTGCATAGTTTTTGGAAAAGAACATCTAGACAGACTCGTTTTGATTATTAACTTCAGTCCTTCTCCAGTACATGATCACAGATGGGCTCTTGATTCCCATGGCTCTGTTTTTAGCTAAGAGTATGTGACACATGCCAGGTGTTTGGCAATTACATCTTGTTGAACGTGGTCACTCATGTGGAAATACAAATATCACTCACTGTTTGAATCAAGAAAATTGTCACTGCCAAACATGTTTCAGATATTCTTTTTTCTGAAGTGTTTTCTCACTGCCCATTTATAACCAGCTGTCTTTAAGTCATTATTTTTCCTTAAGAAAGGACTTATTAAAACGGAAGAAAACAACTTTGGCAGGGATTGTTCAATAGTTAAACTCTAAGTTTCAAGTAAAAACTTTGGCTTTCTTTTCTGCATTCTTTCAAGTCCTTGCTCTGTGACCCTGGGCTTGTTTAGCTTATCTGGGTCTGCCATCTGTAAAAAAAAAAAAATTTAAGTTTATATTCACTCACTTCCTCAAGTGATCTAGTGAATGATTGTTGTCCATGAAGTACTTTTAGACACCTTGCTGAAAGAGATGATGGAATTTCAAAATTAACCCCCGTGACAAGAAGAGCCAGTACATTTCCACTGCCAGCACTTTGTGATAAAGAGTGATTTATGTCCATACATGCTCCCAACTTGCAGAGTATTTTGGAGTGATACAATCATTGTATAATTTTATGCATCTTTACCTAAAGGGAATGAGAAGGAATCTGGCTAAAGAGAAGAATTTTCTATGGGGAAGGAGAAATTGTACAGAAATTCAAAAGGGAAGACTTTAAAAAATTATTTGTTAATTTTTTTTTTGGCTTGTATTGGTTGAAATTTCAATTAAGTCACCAGAAACACATATTGAATACATGTTACATTCAAGGCACTATTGTGGATGCAAAGACATTTTAGAAAATCTCTTTTTGAAATACAAAAAGGTTTTTGGAGTAAGAAACCACAAGTTCAAATCCTGGCTACACCTTTTACTGGATGTGTTACCTTGGGGAGCTTACTTAATTTACCTGAGCCTTAATTTTCTCATCCAAAATTGGAGGGAATCATTATACACCCATCCCTTACTGTTCGAGTGAGGAGAAGGAAATGAAGTAAAGTATGTAAAGTGCTCAATAGAGTGCCTGGAAAGGAGCCAGTAGTAAATACTAGCCATGCGATTGTTGTTGTCGTATTAAAAAGTATTTCACAATTGAATCTGCTTTTAAGAAAAACTTTCCAAAACTTAGATCATAGAAAGATTATAGTGTGCCCTTTCCATGTCATACTAGAACATTATCTTCATGCCCACCTAAGGTACAGTTAATGTAGGCAAACTTGATTTCTTATTTACTTGGTTAGACCCAAGACTTTATAAAATTAGATGACAACTTGTAAAAAATTGATAAACTGAAAGAGATGGGAAGGAGATTTTGTCAGATAGAGATGTAGATGATTTCTTTCCATTAGAAAAGTATTATGGGTTTTCTGCCCCATCTGATATTAAGCATTTTTGTCTCTAGCTTGGAGATCTTGTTTCAGCATTCTTTCTTTCAGAGACTATAAATGCTTAAGGATTAAGCATTCTCCTTTGGACCAGCTATACCATCCTACTGGCTCCTTCATTTGTGAGTTAAATAAATCTTCAAAACATGTTCATTTATTGTAGGTATAACTATGTTTTTAACTTCTTGAAAATTATAATTTGATAGTTTCTAGCCTCATCTTTTCATCTTGTCCTTCTCCTCTTTGAACTTATTAGGAGAGAATAATATTTGAATGTTCCAGGATGCTCACTGAAAGAGCTGAAATTGTCTTGGTATTAGAGGGTTAGGATCTTTCATACAAAAGAGCTATAGTTAAGACAAAAAAAAAAATCATTGTACCTCAGTGCCCAACACACAGTAGATCAAATGTACTCATCCACACGCAGCATAGACTCCAATCCTTAGACATGAACATGCCCTTACAATTTTGAATCCTAAGTGTGTCTACTGTGGACAGCATATAGTTAGATCTTGTTTTCTTTATCCAATCTGATAATCACTGCCTTTTGATTGGATTGTCTAATCTATTTACATTTACAGTTATTATTGAAACAGTTGGATTTATGTCTGCCATTTTGTTTTGTTTGCTTTCTACATGTCTCAGGTATTTTTTGTTCCTGTCTTCCTTCTTTACTATTCTCTTTTGTAGTAAGTTGATATTTTCTAGTGTATCCTTTTAATTCCTTTAATTACATTTTAACTTTTTTAATTTTTTTTTTTAGTGGTTGCTCTGCAGCTTACAATATACATCTTAATTTATTATAATTCACTCCTAATATTCTAACCTAATTCCAGTAAGATATTAAAACTTTATTCCTATATAGCTCCATTCCCTTCCCCTATTTTGTGCTATTGCTACTATATATACCATGTCTGTATATGTTAGAAACCTAAAAATACATTGTTATAATTATTGCTTTACATAATCTTATGTCTTTTAAAGCGGCTGAGAGAAGAAAGGACAGCAAGTATATATTTACAGAGTTTGTTATATATTAACCTTCATATTTATTACTTCTGGTTATCGTCACTTCTTGTGGATTGGAGTTAGCATCTGGTGTCATTTCCTTACACCATATCCTCACAATTTAACTTCTTCATTAGAAGTAGACTTCACAATTTTTATGAGATGTGATAAGAAGTCTTAGACTGTTTCTTGTGTGTGGGGGTGGGGTTCTAGAGAAATATCCATGCCTTACCTAATTCAGTTTAAGACCCTTGTCAATAAGTTTTAAGATATTCTTAAGAATATCTTGTTCTTGGATGTGAGCTCTTCCACATACAGAAGGACAAATACAAATATTTCATTATTACTTATTCCCACCCTGAATCTTTTCTTCCTTAGAAATGCTTTTAAAACATGAAATAATCAGAGGTTTTTTTTATTGACACTAATTTATTTAACAAACTTCAAGGGTTTTGGTAATCTAATGGAATAGCCTTTGACTCTTTGACCTAAAATGTTTTCCTGGGAAGAGACAACTTTGGGCCGGGCGCGGTGGCTCACGCCTATAATCCCAGCACTTTGGGAGGCCAAGTCGGGTGGATCACGAGGTCAGGAGTTCAAGACCAGCCTGGCACACATGGTGAAGCCCCGTCTCTACTAAAAAATAAAAAAAATTAGCCGGGCATGGTGGTGTGCACCTGTAATCCCAGCTACTTGGGAGGCTGAGGCAGGAGAACTGCTTGAACCCAGGAGGCAGAGGTTGCAGTGAGCTGAGATCATGCCACTGCACTCCAGCCTGGGTGACGGAGTGAGACTCTGTCTTAAAAAAAAAAAAAAAAAAAAAAGACAACTTTGTTTTTTGGTAGGGGTGGCTTTTGCTCTCGGTTTTCTTTTTTCCTTAAGTTTTTGGGAATTGTGATAAGCAACTGCACTGTTCATGACCACACTATACCTTTTAATTTTTAAAAGTCTAGCTCTGGTGACTAATTGCTCAGTTTCTCCAAGAGAAGAAGGCCTGAGCTGTCACCTCTAGCAATGTTTACAGTCAGTTGATGAGATGAAGGCAGGGAGAAGAGATCTCTTCTTTGGGTGGCAAAATGGGAAATAATACTAGTGTTTCTCCTCTTCACAAAGAGACCACACTGAACCAATTGTTCAGTAGTGCTTCCCAAACTTCAAGGCGCATACTAATTACCTGGAGCTTAGTTGAAATGCAGATTCTGATTCCAAAGGTGGAGGGTGCAGCCCAGTGTTCTGAAATTTTAACAAGCTCCTGTGTGCTGCAGATGTTGCCAGTGACTGGGGAACCAGACTTTAAGTAGCAAGGGTTAGAGCGCTCATTCTCAAACTTCCTGTACATTACAATCGCCTGGGGGATTTCTAAAAATTACTGATTCCTGGGGCCCATGCCCAGAGATTCTGATTTAATAGATTGTGGTTGTCATAGTAATGTGCAGGCAGGCTGCAGAGTTACTGAGAATTACAAGTTAAAAGTGCAGGAGACTGATCAAGCCAGGAATATCATAGCTCAGTCTATGCATCACCAGAACCCAGGTTTTGTGTCAGAGTTTGAGTGTCTTCATGGCCAGGATGTCCTGAATATGGCTACCAGATAAATCAGATTTCTCTTTTTTACATTGTAAACCAAAAGTAAAATTCTAAGCCTCCAACCAACTGAATGGACCTCCCTTTCGGCCAAGGGAATTCCAAAGTAAACCTGAAAAACTAGTTCAGGCCATGATGGGAAGTGGGAGGGTCAGATGGGCCTCATGATACCCTCCTCCCTTTGGAGTTCAGGCACAACTGACCAGCATTAACATTAAAATGGAGCTCTTAAGACTGACAAAGCAGACTCTTTGTAGCAAATAAGAAACTAAATTCCAACCTGACTCTAGTATAGCATCACATTGACAAATAGCAGGCCCTGAAAGAAATCAAAGTATTTTACGCCAAAATATATTTCTTTGACATATTTTGAAATGGCCCTAAAAAGCTGTCTCTTGTGGGGAAAATTTACGTTCTGCAGAGAATGCCCTTCTCTTCCCAGGTCTTTTCCTGATCCAGGAAAGATTAACTAAGATTATAGCACTTTTTTAGGTTTGGTAAGAGACATTTACCATCGAATCTGTCTGAAGCCTGCTACCTGGAGGCTTCATCTGCATAATAAGAACCTTGGTCTCCACAGCCCTTTACTTTAACCCAGATGCTCCTTTCTACTGATACTAGGTCTTTAGATAACAACTTAACTCTTTCAACCAATTTGCAATCAGAAAACCTATGAATCCACCTATGACCTGGAAGCCCCCAGCTTCCAATTGTCCCGCCTTTCTAGACTGAACTAATGTACACCTTACATATATCAATTGATGTCTTTCTGTAACTTCTGTCCCCCTAAAATGTATAAAATCAAGCTGTAACCCAACTACCTTGGGCACATGTTCTCAGGACTGCTTGAGACTGTGCCTTGGGCCTTGGTCACTCATATTTGGCTCAGAATAAATCTCTTCAAATATTTTACAGAGTTTGATTCTTTTTTGTCAACAACGTTGATCCATATTCAGTACAACTTTAATACAACTACAGTCAGATCTCTATATAGTTGCAGCATACCAAGAGAGCCATCTGCTAAGGTGCAGGCAATAAAGGAATGCAAGTAGAATATTTAGAAACAATTGAGAGACTGACAGACAATGGCTATCTCATATACAAATGGACAATGGTCAGATCATATATGACAACAGAATCCTAACCAACAATCTCTGCCAAGAATGGTCAGGACTTGGTCAATGACTGCCAGCCTCCCTAGTTTTTACCTCCACTTTCAACTCAGGACCAACCAGAGAAAGGCAAATATGCTCCCCAAATCAATCCCGTAAGATGCCCCATTTCTAATTACCTCACCTCCAGCTTCCCCATGCCAGCAATCTCTAATCAGAGCACACTCGGAGCCTTTTTTTTCCTACCATAAATCTTTCCTACTCCTCTGCCCACCTTGGAGTCTCTGCAAGTGATGATGGCTGACTCCCTTGCTCTGAATAAAGAGACTCTGTTTGTTTTCTTTTGGGTGGTCTTTGTTAATTTCCACACAACAATGAAACTAAGAGTCAGTTTGCTTTTCATTATCACCATCCACCAGAATTTCTGAAAAATTACAGAGATACAATACGCTGCCTAGGTGAGGGTGGACTGCTCCCATCACCTTGGCCCCCTTGGTAATGTCACCGCTTTGTAACACTTTTTCAGCTAACTCTTACAACACAGCTTGATATCCAGGCTGCCCTGGAACTCCACACAGCTTTTCTCTTTCTGAATCTGCTGCTCTTTGTGACCCCTATCTCCATACCCAGGGGCTTTCCTCCACTTCCAGAGACCTTCATTCAGCTTCCGTTCTAACTGTTCAATGTCATGTTGCTTCTAGGAGGTCACAACCTCTAACTCCTCTTCTTTCCTTTTCCCAGCACTTTCCCCCACCCTGAGCTTGGCTCCAAACCTCAGTTTTTCACTTTGCTTTCTATTGTTCTGTTTTCTGCAAATTGGTCCCTAGCCCGTTACCAATTAACATTTATAGAATTGCATAATTAACATGAGATAAATCAAGAGGCTCTTATCTATGAAAAAATGAGCATGTGCATTCTCCATGTGTTATTCAAAGTCAAAATGCAGTTGATGAACTGCTTCCCAAAGTAGTTTATCAGATTATGACAAAGCACTTTAAACCTAGAGGTATAGTCAGTTTAAAAAGAAAAAAAACCCACTTATATTTGTTGTTTAGTTTTGCCTCAGTCCCCCTCCCCTATTCCGTCTACCCCAACTCCAAAATGCATCTCAATTCTCTGAATTTCTGGTGTGTGTTGAAAACTTTCACATTGTGAAATCTACTTGCCAGCACATTCTTCTGACCATCTTCATAATGGATGGAAATAGAGCAGGGAAGGATTAATAACAAAAGTGCTAAGAAAAATTATCCAGAACTTGGAAATAAGGCCAGGAGAGTTCAGGATATCCTTTCAATGTCATAATAGTGTGTTGGTTTATAAGCCCACCCCAGGGCCTTCCATAGGAAGATACCTTTGTATAACTTGCTATATACCATTTGCTAAAGATCCCAGACTTTGTGAAGTTACTTGTTAACTTGTATAATGTCTAGTAGAGATGCAAATCATTTTCCCAAAGATTATAGTTTTATTGCCTTGTAGGACAGTGAGCAGTTTTGTATCCAACCTAGCAATCTCATTCAAACACTCTTCTTTTTTAATGCCTATACATTTCCAATGCTCTTTGAAACACTTTATTGTCTCATTGGTTCCATCATTAATGAATTGAATTAAACCTTTGACCTGAGCCATGATTTTAACTTTTTGAAAATGATACTTTGAAAAGAGTCATGAACAGTTGACATGGGAGCCAGTCATGGCAGATGTGATGAATGAAAAAGAGAAGCCAGATTTATCAATGTAGCTATTCTAATCCTTTCACAGATTCCTGCTTCTAGAGTTATTTTTTTGTAACACATACTATTAACTTCCCTTCAGGAATTATAGCCTCAGAAAAACTTTTCCACAACATTAATTACAAGAGGAATCTGGAAAGGTACGTAACATCTGTGGCCTCTAACCTGTGTGGTAATGGGCTGGTGGGAGTCTTGGGGATTACAAGAGTAACTGGCACACAATGGAAGCACCCCTCCCATCCTCACTCCACGGGGAACCCACGGGACAGAGGACTGAACCGGCCCACCATTTCCCAGAGCCAAAATAGGAAAGAAAACTGGCTTTTCCAAAATGATAATGAAGTAGCATTGTTGTGTGGGGTAAATACCCGAGATTCATTGTCTCACCGTCACAGAAAACTAGAACGTGGATACACAATGAGTGAGCTTTAGAGCAGAAGTTTAACAGGTGAAAGAAATAGAAGAGCTCTCTCCTGCAGAGAAAGGGGTCCTGAATGGGTTTCTGCTTCTGAGGTGAAATGCAGTGTGTTTTATAGATGAGCTTGAAGAGGCGGTGTCTGATTTACATAGGGGACGAAAGATTGGTCGGACCAGGTGTTCCATTTGCATAAGGCACGACAAACTGGTTAGGACTAGGTGTGCCATTTGCATAGGGCACGAAAAGCTGGCCACCCGCATCCTGATCTTTTATTATGCAGATGGGTCATCTACCCGGCTGGCGCCATGTTGCCTGTTCCTTTACTCTACACATGGTGACAAAGAAAGGGGAAGATGGGCCTCCACGTTGAACATACCTGGCCCCCAGGTAGCCCTTTTCTTTTGGCACAACTGCTGGCATTCACCTGGGCAAGCTTCCACCTTGCTTATCTATGTCTGCAGCTCGATTTTTCAGGCTGCTCTTTGTTCGAAGAGAATAATTTCTCGGGCTGATTTTTGTTAGAAGGAAAGCCTTGCCGAGGACTCTTTTACCCTATCTGCCTAAATACTTTCTTTCTACCTCCCATATCAAAAAGGCAGCTTAACTTGTGCCTGAAAGTCAATCACGAAGACCCATGCTGGAGCAGTAGCTATTTCATAACAACCTGGAAAAGCCCAAACACCCAGCAAGTTCTAATATCAAACCCAGGAGAAACCTTAGCCTCCATGAGGGAGAGAAGTACTTGTCTGTGAAATTTGTTGGCAATAAAATATTTAAACAGCTAGGTCCCTTGATATAGTTCTGACATTGGCGTGTGTGTGTGTTTACAAAGGGATCTTTTTGTTTTTCCTACTCAAAAAAGGAAGAAAGATCTTTTCATGTTTTTATTTTAAAAGAAGCCATTAAGTCCTACTAGGTCAGCCGGCGTGCTTGTTTTCTGGTTTCTTATCTCACGAAATTCCTTGTCATTAACTATGTGTTTTCGATCACCTAGTGTGTATTTAAGTGGCTTTTTCTGATTTAAAAGATATTTCATTTTTTGAAATATTATAAGGCATGTTCATCTCTTTATTGCAGTACGGGCATTCAGGCTACTGTTTGCACTGTGGTCTGCTATTTATGTGCTATTTTGTATTTATCTGGCTCTGAAGTGTGGAGTCTATCAACAAAATAGGTACTGGGTAGGTATAGTCTGAAATGTTGATCTAAAACATTCAGATCTCAAATCTTATGGAGGTTTATTTAGGTAGGCATGGTTTGAAATACTAAGGTGAATGAGTGAGAAGATAAATGAAAATCTTATTTTTAAAAAGTCTCCTTAACTAAAAATACCCAGAGTCGTTCCATATTTTGACAACGCTTTAACAAAGCTGTTTGGCAGTTATTAGCCAGAAATGCAAAGGGGTGAGCCAGTTGCCTAGAATGACGCCCTTTTAATTATTGGATGAACTTTCTTAAATACTGAAAACAACCTAAGTTTGTGTACATTTTGTTTTGCTTCAGTCTAATAATTTATCTATCCCTGAATAATCTAGAAAGCAGATCTGAGGGATCGAGCAGGTGGAGGGTTTTGCTATTACAGTTCTGCAAGACCAAGCAATACTTCCTTCTATGCTTTTACCCTGAAAAAGATATCCTGAACAGGAGTCTCCCAGTGCTTGAGGTCAGTCTCCAGATCAGAGCTGTGTTCTCCGGACACTCACTGTTTTCTGAACCAGTGAGAGGTGAACAGTCTCTGTTGTCCCCTTGCTTTTCCTGGCTCCCCCTCCTCCCACGTACCTTTGCTATTTGTCCGGAAACACAGGCAGGAATATAAAGAACTTAAATATACAGTGTTTTCCTTAAGTGGCTAGTTATTTTGCAATATATTGTTCGAGAAAATCTCCCTGAAAAATTGCTGCTTCCTTTTGGGGGTGTTAGCTCAGGCTTTCCCCTTGTGTTTTCCAAAAAATTCCATGTTCAAGAAGCTGAACTTTCTTGCTCCACATAAAAGCTTCGGGATATGCTTAACCTCCTCCATCTTCTGAACTGCGTCTGACATTCAAATATTCCCTGTCCTACTACAGGAAGATCTTCACTTACTGCTTCTAATTGGATTTGTAAGGATGAACTTGTCTATTTTCCCCTTTAGTCCAGCCATGAGGCTAAGATGAATGGCCCCTCATAAATTGCTGGTCTGGTCATTTATCTGCAACACGTGCGAGTTATTATCCCATAATAACACAGATAATGAAACTGAGTGGTATAAAACCAGCATCGAGTGGGGAGGCTCATTAAAAGAATGACTTTGTTACATGTGTCTTGAACCTGTGGAATTTCTGCTCGGCCCCTTCAGTTCTGAGGCACCCCTGCCCAGGCTCGCACCTGGCCCCTAGTGCATGCTACTCTGCCCCTCTGGGGGACCACAAGCTCCCTGTTAGTGGTAGTCTTTTATTCTGGCATGGCCCTCCTTTTTCATAAACCTGGGGCCTTTTAGGCGGGACCTGGCTTTTTTTTTTTTTCCCTGCCCCAAGGTATAGAAGGAAGAGTTGGCCTTCTTCCAGTCTACTCAGCCTCTAGACTGTGCTGTCCAATATGGTGGACATGAACTGCATGTGGCTTTGAAATACTTTTGAAATGTGGCTAGTCCAAATGGAGATGAGCAGTAAGTGTAAAATTCATACCAAATTCCAAAGACTTCATAGAAAAAGGTAAAAGAATATCAAAT
This sequence comes from Homo sapiens, assembly GCF_000001405.40. Lineage (NCBI taxonomy): Eukaryota > Metazoa > Chordata > Mammalia > Primates > Hominidae > Homo > Homo sapiens. The sequence continues at coordinate 13,204,472 of NC_000023.11, forward strand.
ACCTTGATATTTTTCATATTGATTATATTGAAATGATAATATTTTACATATTATCACTTGAACATCGACAGGGTTAGGGGCACCAACCCCTGCACAATAGAAAATTCAAGTATAACTTTTGATTCCCCAAAAACTTTACTAATAGCATACTGTTGATCAGAAGCCTTACCAATAACATAAACAGTCAATTAAAACATATTTTGTGGCTGGGCGCGGTGGCTCACGCCTATAATCCCAGCACTTTGGGAGGCCGAGGCAGGTGGATCATGAGGTCAGGAGATCAAGACCATTCTAGCTAACATGGTGAAACCCTGTCTCTACTAAAAATACAAAAAATTAGCCGGGTGTGGTGGCGGGCACCTGTAGTCCCAGCTACTTGGGAGGTTGAGGCAGGAGAATGGCGTGAACCCAGGAGGTGGAGCTTGCAGTGAGCTCAGATCGCACCACTGTACTCCAGCCTGGGCGACAGAGTGAGACACCGTCTCAAAAAAAAACATGTTTTGTACGTTATATACTGCATTCTTACAATAAAGTAAGCTAAAGAAAGGAAAATGTTAGTAAGAAAATCATAAGATAACATATATTTCGTATTCATTAAGTGGCCGTGGGTCATCATAAAGGTCTTCATCTTCATCGTCTTTGTGTTGAGTAGGCTGAGGAAGAGGAGCGGTGGGTCTTGCTGTCTCAGGGGTGGCAAAGGTGGAAGAAAATCTACATATAAGTGGACCCACACAAGTCAAACTTGTGTTGCTCAAGGGTCAACTGTATTAGGTTAAATAAAATACATTATTAAAATTAATTCCATCAATTTATTTTGCTATTTTTTTTTTAAATATGGTCACTAGAAATTTAAAATTCCATTTGGCTTGTATTTGTGGCTCACATTCTGTTGCCATTGGGTATTGCCATGCTGGACAATCGTCCACCATCTTCACCCAACAGCTGTCTACCTTTGCAGACCACATCATTCCGTTGTGGTGGCCTCTTTCCACCTACATGGCTCCCCAGAAACTCCTTAGTCGTCCTCAAAGTTGGGCTTACCGTTTTCCTCCACCCAACTCCAAACTATCAACCAACATAACTTTAACATGTACTGATATCAAACCAATAAGCATTCATGAGTTGCTTACTGGCTCTGGATTTATATTTTTAATGAGTAAAAACCAGATTGCAAAGAACATATAGTTTATTAAGGGAGAAAGGACTACAAGCAAACAATTATAATAAAGTGGGAAAAGTTCTAAAGTACACAGTATGTATAAAGTACTACTATTGGAACCAAGAAAAGCAAGATTAATTCTGTCTCTGATTATCAGAGGAAGGAGTTCATAGAGGTGGAGGTGGAAAGTGCCCGTTAGATGACAGAGCTGCAGGAGGCCATAGGAGGCAAGGCTGCAGAGGTGTGGTGGGACCATATGATGGCTCTGGTGGGCGCCCAGGGGGTCAGGCTGCATAGGACCAGATGATGATGCTATGTAGATAAGGATGCACAGATGATGGAGCTGCATGGAGCTGTGGGAGATAAGGTTGCTGTCCTGCCAACTTCAGAAGCATAAGAGGAGAGTTTTGGTGGTGAAGCTGGAGCAGAGTAGGGCACAGAAGTTGTTACGGAAGGAGGGTACGGTGCTTAGTGGTCTCAGCTGTCAAGCTGTATTGGTCCCCACCCTGTGCACACACTTCTTTTCGTGCATACCTGCTAGACACTCTCAGAAGGAAGAAGCTGGAGAATGTGCTAATGTGTCACTCAGCTTCTGCAAAGATGTGCAGATCTGCTCTCTAACAGGAGAGCTGCTTTTGCACTGAAAAGTTTAGCAGAAACAATGACCTAGTTCACCTGCCTCAAAGCTGGCTGGCTTGCCCAGGCAATAGGCTGGATGTTTATTAAAAGTGAAAACTCATTCTCCGGTAAACGTCTTACTTGTCAGAACCTTTCCTCTACCTCTCCATGACACAGAATCCAGGGTAATGAGCAGTTACAGAATGCATGCACTTTCTTTGCTCTTGAAACCCAAAGACAGAACGTAGGAGGACCCTCTCCACCTTAGTGTGTTACAGATCATTTTCTGGTGCACCCAGGATGGGATATTAGAGAGCAGTCAGTCAGCTCCATAGCTGTGTGCCCAGAACTGACACACACCCTCATCTCTGCCTTCGTGATCACACATGGAGAGGGCACACATGATGTGGGGTGGAGGGTGCTGGGAGAGAGAAATGCCTTACTCCAAAAAAAGCCAATGTTGAGGTTAGGTTTATTTTATTAAAAAAAAAAAAAATTGAGGGCAGAGTCTCCCTACCAAGCCAGAACCAGAGTGTTGATTCTCTAGAAGATTGTTGGCTCATGGGATTACCTGCGGAACTAAAAAACAAACAAGCAAAAAGCCACATCCCCAGAGATTATAATTTAATTGGTGTGAAGTTTTTTTTGTTTTGTTTTGTTTTGTTTTGTTTTGTTTTGTTTTGTTTTTGAGAGCTCACTAGGTGCTTCCAATATGCGGCCAAGGTTGAAAAACCACTGGCTAGATTTTGAAAGTCCATCGTTTTGTTTGTTTGAAATGCAGTCTCACTCTGTGGCCTAGGCTAGAATGCACTGGTGCGATCTTGGTTCACTGCAACCCCTGCCTCTGGAGTTCAAGCGATTCTCATGCCTCAGTCTCCCGAGTAGCTGGGACTACAGGCGTGTGCCACCACGCCCGGCTAATTTTTGTATTTTTAATAGAGACGGGGCTTCACTATGTTGGTCAGGCTATTCTCGAACTCCTGACCTCAGGTGATCCACCCACCTTGGCCTCCCAAAGTGTTGGGATTACAGCATGAGCCACTGCTCCCCAGCTGGTTTGTTTTTTTGTTTGTTTGTTTGTTTTTTGTTTTTTGTTTTTTTTTTAGCTTACTGATTGCCACTGACTTTCACTTAAAGTGGGAGGAGGTAAAATTGAGGTCATTGATTCAGGGTTTGGGAAACTGCATGGGCAAGTACAAAGTAGCTGAGAGAGTCTAGGCTGTGTCCAGGGGTGAGAAATCAGGGCTACAGCCTGAAACCTCACAGCATTAGCCCTAAAAGGGCAAGAAGAAGCAATTGCAGATCTTATCTTTCTCTAAGGCCTGTGATTCTCAAATAGAATCACCTGGAGGGCTTGTTAAGCCACAGACTGTGGGATCCCATCCACCCCCCCACTTTCCAGATTCAGTGATGGGGTGCAGCCAGAAAATGTGCGTTTCTAACATGCTCCCAGGTGATGCCAATGTTGCTAGCCCCAGCAATACAGGGGAGAACAGGATCACTTAAAATGAAAATGCAGCAAAAAGCCCCAGGCATTTTTCCTGAGCACCTACTATGTACCTGGTACCATACCGTACCTGGGGATACAGAGGAGGAGCCACAGTTCTTGCTGTCCATAGCTTGGCAGTGTCTTGATCCAGAGACCCATAGACAAACATTTCCATTTTGTTAGGTTCTATGGAGGAGACTTCCAGTTTCCTCTTGGAGATGTGGGAGTTAGAAATAGCGTGGCTCTAGGCCGGGGGCAGTGGCTCATGCCTGTAATCCCACCACTTTGGGAGGCCAAGGCAGATGGATCACTTGAGGTCAGGAGTTCGAGACCAGCTTTGCCAACATGGTGAAACTCTGTGTCTTCTAAAAATACAAAAATTAGCTGGGCATGGTGGTGCACACCTATAATCCCAGTTACTCAGGAGGCTGAGGCATGAGAATCGCTTGAACCTGGGAGGTGGAGGTTGCAGTGAGCCAAGATATCGCACCACTGCACTCCAGTCTGGGCAACAGAGCAAGACTTTGTCTCAAAAAAAAAAAAAAAAAAAAAGGAATAGCATGGCTCCCACCCTTACAACATCAAAAAGCCGTCTGGGCTTAAAATTATTTTAAAAAGAAAAAAAAAAACAGACAAACTGCAAGTTCAAACCTTTCTTGAATCCATCAGAAAGCTGAGGTCACAGGGCAAACAACTAATCCAACATCAAAGGACAGACAGACAGTGGCAGGGGCAGATGAGACATGAGCCCTTGCTTACCTGAGTCAGATGCAGCTGGACATGAGTAAGAAGAATTCACTAGAATTTTTTTTAGCTTGTTTTAAAAATTATTTTTTGAAGTCTCATGTGGGTTTTGAGCCACAGTTTGAAATTCATTTTGAAACAAGACCCCCAGCTGTGCCACTTCTAGCTTCCCCACAGTGAGAGCTGGGCCATAGCGGAGGAGTGAGGGGGGAATATGGAAAGAACCCAAAACTTCTATTCTATCAAGATCCTTCAAGCCAGGAATGAAAGTGGGTGAGTTTGTACTGTTGGGGAAAGCCCTGGGCAGCTCTGAGCCTTAGTGTTTTGGGTACCCAAAGGGCAGCAGGAGGAAACCCAGTCAAAAGCACCCACACTAACTGCCACAAATGGTATTTCTTCCCACAAGACGTCTGAAGTCCAAGGATTGGGCCAACCACAAGGATCAATAAGGATTCGCTTTGCTAGCAATTTCTACCACTGATGGGCTTGTCCCTTTGCAGATCTGGAGACACCCCCAGAGCTCTTCTCTCTGACAGTGTTTCCATTCTAGGGTCATCCCAGGCACAGCCTCCCAATAAACTCACCCTAAGTTTCCTTGCAATAAAATAAGCCAAGTGAAGGCAGAATCTTTAATTGCCAATCGTTGGGCAACTCCTGTAAGCTTTTCTGCACATAAAAGTTTTAGCCCTGTAGATTTGAGATAAAACTGGATTGTTATTGGAAGATCTGAGATCTGGAAATAGTTTTGCCGGACTTTCTGAAGTCTTTAATCCCACAAACGTATATCATTTTTCTTTTCTGTGGACTTTTAGATAACATAAAAGAATTTAATGGAAAAAATGTTCATTTTCCAGGAAAACACTAATAATTAAGATTTCCTTCTTAATGAGAGGCCAACAGGGGTCAGGCTAACTGGAGAGGAGAAAGATAATTCCTCATATATTTTATGTTCCTTATTCTTTGTACCTTATTTTTCATAGCTCTTATGATCCCTGAGCCTCTCTGTGAACCATACTGCCTGGGAAGATACTCAACTCGGTCCTTCCCCTCAGAATTGGTGTGGATTACTTTTACTTACTGTGAATCCTTTACTTCCAGACCACCCCTTCTTTACTGTTGCCCACAAACCAGAAACTCAAGGAGAGATGTAGCTGAATTAAGAAATGTTCTTTTAACTTAAACAATTTTACAAGAAAAAACCAAACAACCCCATCAAAAAGTGGGCAAAGGATATGAACACACACTTCTCAAAAGAAGACATTTATGCAGCCAACAGACGTATGAAAAAATGCTCATCAAATGGTCATCAGAGAAATGCAAATCCAAACCACAATGAGATACCATCTCATGCCAGTTAGAATGGCGATCATTAAAAAGTCAGGAAACAACACATGCTGGAGAGGATGTGGAGAAATAGGAATGCAATGAATAAATGATACATATAAGTATTTATTAATGTAGTTAAGATCAGTTCACTTGGGTTTTCTGACTCATTTTCAGTGGACCATATATTAGTATTTCACCAGGATAATCCCTTTCCCATGCAGTGAAACTCTTCTGTGACCTGTGACTTCTGTGTTGGTGGGAGTGTAAATAGTTCAACCATTGTGGAAGACAGTGTGGTGATTCCTCAAGGATCTAGAACTAGAAATACCATTTGACCCAGCAATCCCATTACTGGGTATATACCCAAAGGATTATAAATCATGCTACTATAAAGACATATGCATGTGTATGTTTATTGCAGCACTATTCACAATAGCAAAGACGTGGAACCAACCCAAATGTCCATCAATAATAGGCCAGATAAAGAAAATGTGGCACATATACACCATGGAATACTATGCAGCCATAAAAAAGGATGAACTCATATCCTTTGCAGGGACATGGATGAAGCTGGAAACCATCGTTCTCAGCAAATCACCACAAGGACAGAGAACCAAACACTGCATGTTCTCACTCATAAGTGGGAGTTGAACAATGAGAACACATGGACACAGGGAGGTGAACATCATACACCAGGGCCTGTTGGGGGGTGGTGGGCTGGGGGAGCGATAGCATTAGGAGAAATACCTAATGTAAATGAAGGGTTGATGGGTGCAGCAAACCAACATGGCACATGTATACCTACGTAACAAACCTGCACATTGTGCACATGTACCCTAGAACTTAAAGTATAATAAAAAAAATTTAAAACCCACTAGCAAAAAAAAAATGTTCTTTTTTTGGTTATCAACATAAAATAAACTTTCTAGAATTTCCAAAAATTTAATCAGATATCTCAAATTTCCTGAAGTCCTGTTTGTTGGTGAATTCTTGGTATTTCTTTGAATCGTTCACTTTCAGTAATCATCCCCTCAAGCTAATTTTATCATTCAGAGAAGAATCAAATCTAGTTTCCAAATATCCAGAGTTGTGAGTCTAATTTTATCCCCAAACTGAAATATTAGCTAGTTGTCCCATAGATTGCCCCTGGTCTCACCAACCTTGTTTTGGATCTGCTGAGGAAGTCTCACATCTAGTATCTTTAAAATGAAGTTTTGATCCTGATTCCTAGTTCCATATTCTGGTCTCTATATAAATTTCCCACCACATTAATTGATAGTTAATTACAGGACTCTCTTGGAACTGGCCAACTTCTTCCCACCAGTAATTGACTCAGGCCCAAATTGGATGTCGTGAACTGGCACTGGACTCAAGATGCCCCTTTGTGTCTACTCTCATTTGAACCCTAGAGCTGAAGCTTGAACATTCTGAATTGGTATGCAAGACTGGAGTCCACTGAAATAGGGCTGGGTGAGAGCACCTGGATTAAATTCCCCCCACATTTTTCCTGGCAGTTGTGTTACCATTTAGGTTGAAGGAGGCCATCTTTGTGAGTGGAAATCCTCCAATACACTCATGACTTCACCAAAGACAAGTGTGACATATTCTTCCATTCACTTGAACATTCAAATGGATTTTCTAGAAATTTCTAAATACTACCAGAATTAAACACTTCATGTCCTAGGAGAATAAATACAAAATAATCTGGGGTTTCACTTTCCATGATTTCAGTTACCCATGTTCAACCAACGTTGGAAAATAAGTATGAGTATAGTATAATAAGATATTTTGAGGCTGGGCACAGTGGCTCACGCCTGTAACCCCAGAACTTTGGGAGGCCAAGGCGGGCTGATCGTTTGACATCAGGAGTTGGAGACCAGCCTGGCCAACATAGTGAAACCCCATCTCTACTAAAAATACATAAACTAGCCAGGAGTGGTGGCACACACCTGTAGTCCCAGCTACTTGGGAGACTGAAGCAGGAGAATTGTTTGAACCCAGGAGGCAGAGGTTGCACTGTGCCAAGGTCACTCGACTGCACTCCAGTCTGGGTGACAGAGTGAGACTCGGTCTCAAAAAAAAAAAGAAAAAAAAAGATATTTTGAAAGAGAGAAGGAGACACCACATTTATTTAACTTTATTGCAGTATATTATAATGGTTCTATTTTACTTTTAGTTATTGTTCATCTCTTACCATGCTTAATTTATAAATTACACTTTATCATAGGTATGTATGCATAGGAAAAAACAGTTCATATAGGGTTCAGTGTTATCCAGGGTTTCAGGCATCCACTGGGGATCTTGGAATGTATCCCCCATGGATAAAGGGAGACTATATCTACAGACACACACTCACACAAATAGGTCACAGAAGAGTTTCACTGCATGGGAAAGGGATTATCCTGGTGAAATACTAAGCCAAGTATCGGTGTCCATTTGCTCATTCTCATTAGGATTAAACTGAAAGCTGTTTATCTGCTGCTAGTTGCACAGGGATATATCTTGGCTTTACTTTCCAAATGGATTCTTGGCACAGTTGCATTGTTAGGGATATGGGATCCAAGACAAAAAGAAAAAAAAAACCAACATTGTGCTTAAGGAGTATACAAGAATTATGATTCCTAGATCTTTATCTACCTTGATGTTTTGAAAACTTGCTTTAAGAGAAATACCATGGGCCTGGAGTAGAAGGACAGGAAGGAAGGGGAAGCTGAGAGAACAGCCAGGAAGCTGGGACTAACAGCTGTTCTATTTTTCTGAACAGGGGGAATAAAATTAGGCAAGAGTTACAAATGCATGAGTGTAAAATAACAGCATGTCCAAGCAGGGCAGGGGGGTGGTGAGTCCTTATTGCTTGTGGGTAAAGGACAATTAAAATTAGTTTATGAAAAGTTCATAAAGATGAATAAAGTGAAAGTACTCAGCAAGGTATTCATCTCTCTCTAACACAGGCTTTTCCTGCTGTAGATGCATGAAGGGCGTGCTGAGATTCAATTAGTTTACCACCTCAGTGGATTTCTGCTATACGTACAGATTAAATACCAATTTCTATTCATTTCTGCCTTTCAACATTAAACCAAGGTGTGCGTAATGACGACAACAGCTTTCAACCAAAGGCCACAAAGACAGCTTCACAGGACTGAGCGACGTATCCACCTGGATTTATCTTTATGCAAAAGTCTTCATTTATGGCTTCTTTCTTTGTTCTTTCTCCAAACCAACCACTGTAAACTACACAACATGGCTCTTTTGCTTATTCATTTTTAAAAAGTCTTGTTTATTTATTATATAGAGATGGGGGTCTCACTATGTTGCCCAGGCTGATCTCAAACTCCTGGCCTCAAGCAATCCTCCTGCCTCAGCCTCCCAAAGTGCTGGGATTACAGGCGTAAGCCACTATGCCCAGTCCATGGCTCTCTGTTTATACCTCAGTTTTAAAAATCAGAGTAAACAGTCATTTTGGGCATTTGTTTTTCTGATAAAAGCTTCATAAATGTGCACACTCTTTTGCGTCTGCCTGCTCTCCCCACAGGCCTGTTGCTGCCCAAATCAGTGTGAAGAGTATGCCTTAATGGAGAAAACTACTGCTAAAAAGAGTCCATTAGCCCAATGGATGAATTTCTTGGACTGCATTAAAATCAGTTCAATCATTTAACACAATTATTAAATGCATAATATATAGCGGACCATTTTAGGCATGGAACACAGCACAGCAAATAAAACAGACACAAATCCCTGCCTTTATGGAATTTAGACCCTAGTGGTGATATAGGAAAAAAAATGAATAAAGGGAAGAGGGTTGGGAATGCCCAGGGTGGCGGTGGTAGAGCAGCTTTATAGCAGTTGATCCAGGGACGTAATGTTTGTGGAGATGTTTGAGCAAAGAAGGAGAAGGGAGCCAAGCAGATGTTTGAGAGAGAACATTCCACAAAGGTGAAATAACAAATGTGAAGGCCATGGAGTGAGACTGCCCTGCTGATGGCAAGGCTACACTGATGCCAGGTTGGCTACAGGGAGCAAGGGAGGAAGTGAAGCATAGTTTGGAATTATAATTAAAATTTCAAAAAAAGCGTTCTTTCTCAGCCTGATTCCTACTAGGATAATATTTCTCATTTTCCTTCTCCTTTTAGACAAGATAAATGATTTGAGGTGGGTTATTACTAGAAATTATTAAAAATAATAATAAGGCCATGCTCTCTGATATAGTTTCAATTATTACATTATTATCATATATGAACATATTCAGACTAGAAAAAAGATTATCATAGTCATGATAGTCACCACTATGACCTCTAATGATACAGTTACATCACAGTTTACATCATCTCATTTGAGCTTGTGATAATGCCTGGGTAAGGGGTGCTCCCTTTCTGCAGATAAGGAAAATTTTCCAATGCATTATGTGACTTGTCCAAAATTGCTCAGCTAGTAAATGCTGGAGGAGGGGTATGGACTAGAATTCCAGTATTATTTTTGCTAAATTACACGACTTTCAGTGCCAACATCTGCTCAGAACATCTCTTCTGTCTATAATTTCCCCCTTTAAGAGAGAAAAGACCTGTAGCTAAGAAAGATTGGTTTACCTAATAAGGAAAAAGTAAAATGAACAATGACATTTATTATAATATTGTATATCATACTAAAAATAAGATACCTAAAACTCAGTAATAAGACAGCACAACCTAAAAGCTCAATAATAAGAGACACATAAGTGTGGAATACTTACAGATGTGTGGAACACTATTATTCTATAATAATAAAATAAGAGCCACCCAGAGATGTCTACAACCTAATTTCCAGATTCTGTGTATATGTTACTTGGCAGGGAAAAGGGGAAGTAAGGTTGCAGATGGAATTCGGTTGCTAATCAGGGAGATTATTGAGTGGGCCTATATTAGACCATTCTCACTTTGCTATAAAGAAACACCCGAGACAAAGTCATTTATTTATTTATTTTTATTTTTATTATTATTATTTTTTTTGAGATGGAGTCTCGCTTCGTCACCCAGGCTGGAGTGCAGTGATGCGATCTCAGCTCACGGCAACCTCCTCCTCCCAGGTTCAAGCGATTCTCCTGCCTCAGTCTCCTGAGTAGCTGGGACTACAGGAACATGCCACCACACCCAGCTAATTTTCGTATTTTTATTAGAGACGGGGTTTCACCATGTTGGCCAGGCTGGTCTCGAACTCTTAACCTAAAGTTATCAGCCCGCCTTGGCCTCCCAAAGTGCAGGGATTACAGGTGTGAGCCACCTCACCCGGCCAAGACCAAGTCATTTGTAAGAAAAGAGATCTCGTTGGCTTATGGTTCTGCAGGCGCTACAGGAAGCCTGGAGGAGGAGGCCTCAGGAGGCTTTGACTGGTGGTGGAAGGCAAAGTGGGAGCAGACACCTCACATGGCAAGAGCAGGAGAGAAAGATGGGAGAGGTGCCACACACTTTTAAACAACCAGATCTCACGAGAACTCACTAACGCAAGGAGAATACCAAGAGAGATGGTGCTAAACCATTCATGAGATATCCACCACCATGACCCAATCACCTCCCACTAGGCCCCACCTCTAACACTGGGGATTACAATTCAATGTGACATTTGGGCGGGGACACACATCCAAACTATATATTTTAAGGCCCAGGAGTCCTTAAAAGTGAAAGAGGAAGATGTGACTATGGGAGAAAGGCACAGAGAGATGCAATGTTATTGACTTCAAAGATATATGAAGGAGCCCCGAGTCAAGGAATGCAGGAGGCCTCTAGTAGCTGTAAAGGACAAAGGAATGATTCTCCTCTGGGCCTCCAGAAAGGAGTACAGCCCTGTTGACACCTTGATTTCAGCTCAGTGAGACCCATGCCGGAATGCTGACCTCTATAATTGTCATATAATAAATCTGTGTTGTTTTTCAGCTGTTGTGTTTGTGGTAATTTGTTACAGCAGCAATAGGAAACTAATACAATAAGCCAAAATGGACTATATACTTGAGGCTCGGTCATGTAAATATTTAAATGATACCTTGAGAGCTATGGAATAACATGGAAAATATTTAGGATCTATATTTAAAAAGCAATATACAGACATGTATACACAGTGCGGTTAGAACTAGGTTTGATAAACAAAGAAACAGAAATCTTAGCTGAGTGAATATAAAATCTGGGAGAAAAGCCAGAAAAATGTGAACCGTGAGTAATGTGAGGGGTGGAATGATGCCGATTCATTTTTCTTTTCTTTCAACTTTTATGAATTTTTCAAATTTCCTTTAATGGGCCTGCATGAAGAAAACACTAAAATTAAGTTTCAACTTGATCTGAGAAAGTAAAAATCCTATTTAGAGAGCTGCAGTGATATATGTTGCCAGAGAGGACACCATCAGTCATGACCTCTGTGGTAAAATAGCAGTATTCTTCCTCGTTTCATCTAGGTAGCCAGATGGAGAAACAGTTACCATTTTAGCAGCTGGTACTAAAATTCCTATGTTGGGAGAGACCTATCTTAGTTGAAAAGCTGAAAAGGAGCTTTGTGAAGTTCACCAGCAGAAGGAAGTCCCCAGTGCTGAACCACTCCTCAGATTTCACTTTAAGGAAGGGAGAAGGAGGAGCAATGGGGCTGAGGCTGCTTACGGCTGGAGTCAGGAGAGGGTAGAGAAGTGGCAGCTGAGGCTGGAAGAAAAGTTTCGAAGGAAAACACAAACCTATAGCATATTTTCAAAGGAATTCAGTGTGCGGTAGATGGGATGCCTCCCTGTTATTCCCGATCTTCACCCAAACAGTAACTTGTCCATGTTTGATTTGATTTCACAGGGAAACTAAAAAGGGTGGTGAGATTTGCATCAAGGACAACCCGGTTGTAAACTGGGCTAGCTTGTGTGGATGCGGAGAGTGTGAGATCTAAAATCATGTCTCGTGGTGTGCCTACCATGTGTCTTCAACTTTGCTGGGTGTTCACTGCCTGTTCAACATCTCCCCTTCCTAGGGTACCTCCTAACCCACGTGTAATGTGTGGCCCATTGCAAATTAACAAGTGTTTGCAAAGCTATTTCACTACCTTGAGTTGCATTTCATGTACAAGAAGCCAGCCCTTGGATTCCCTGGGATTTGAGCCAGTTTGTTGCAAAGCAACCACTCAACTGCTGCTCCCCTGAGAACCCGCGGAGGCTCCTCACTGCCGATGTTCCCCAGGGACTGAGAAGCCACTCGCTCTTCAGTGTGAGATGGTTTTAGAGGTAGGGGTCTGCAGTTATTCAAAGGAGCCATAAGTGCTTGTGCTGCCCTCAAAAGCCCAGAAGATGCTGGGAAGTGGTGTTTGTTAGAGGACCCATTGGGGATTCTATATCCTTCATGGGGTCCTTGAGAGTCAAAGGAACTTCACTCCACCAGACATCCCAGAAACAGAGCTCCTGAGGTGCCCATGATTGAAAACGAGGGCTCTTCCCTAGAGACCCTCTGGGCCAAATCCCGCCATTGCTCACAGCGTTCTCTCCACAGTGGCAATAGCCTCTTTGGTTTTCTCCAGTTCTGTCTTGAGGGCTCAATGACCCAGAGCTCCCTTGGAGTCAGGTGATATTCTAGAGGCCTAATGTCTGCCTCTGTGGGTGGCAACACTCACTACCAAAAACGTGGGGGAGTAGTAGTGGTGATATAAGTGTGTGTGTGTGTGTGTGTGTGTGTGTGCACGCGCGCGCATGCCTGTGCCTACATCAAGGGGGAGAGGGAAGGAAGGAAAGATTCCAGATTTTGTAGGCTTGAAGCTTATATGATTTTGAGGGTCCTCTTCAAGAAAAAAAATACTACCTTACAAATTCAAAAGTAGGTACAAAAAATAGAAATATGTATTTACAATGAGGAAAAAAATAACAAATTACAACTATTAAAAAAGCTGGCAAATAACCCAAAGCAACACAAAATCTAGAACATAGCATAATCTTAATTCCCTAACACATCTCTATACTATTTTTCCTACATTTTTTAGCTAAATCTTCTTTGATCACCTCTTCAAATGACAGTGATTTTTTTTTTTTTATAACAGGAATAGATTCATTCTTTCCTCTATCTAGCATGATTGATGAGATGTTTTAAAAAATTATTGATAGTTTAGAAATTGGTTTTCCGGCTGGGAGCAGTGGCTCACGCCTGTAATCCCAGCACTTTGGGAGGCCGAGGCGGATGGTCACCTGAGGTCAGGAGTTCGACACCAGCCTGGCCAACATGGTGAAACCCTGTCTCTACTAAAAATACAAAAATTAGCTGGGAGTGGTGCCACACGCCTGCAATCCCAGCTACTTGGGAGGCTGAGGCAGGAGAATCGCTTAAACCCAGGAGGCAGAGGTTGCAGTGAGTAGAGATCGCACCATGGCACTCCAGCCTGGGGAACAAAAGCGAAACTCTGTCTCAAAAAAAAAAGAAAAAAGAAAAGAAAACAAATTGGTTTTCAGCTTCCTAATTCATTTTTGGCCATGTGGTAAATTTGTAGAATTTGTTGTCCAATTTGGAGAACCTATCAAGTTTTTTCATGTATAAACTGTCAAATTTCAAGGTATTTTAATTTTCCTTACACAGCAACTAATCACAATCTTTGAACTAATGGCACTCATTACAGAATTTGTCATTGATGTCCTTGTTTAGTGGTGTATTATGATTTTTATGTTAATCATTGTCAATATCAGTATTTCTTATCAAATTGGCAAGAAATTTAATTTTCTTCAAATATATTTATAAATTTATTTATTTGTATTAGTTGGATTAGTAAGCAATACAAGAGTCTCTATTCAAAATTTATTTCTTCCTCTTCAAATATTGTTGATTTTGTTATGGTCTAAAAGAATCCTTCAATTACAATTTATTTCTCCATGTCAGAATAATTTCTCATGATTTCATTAATATACATATATTTCTGTATATAATTTATAACAGTTTTACTGTGTAATAAGTTTATAATTGGATAGGTTGAGTATCACAGTCTATTCCTGATGGGAAAGAACTTCTATTTTGACTTGAGGTCATTGAGAACTAAATCTTCTGCTTACAATTTCATATAGCTCATGCTTGGGAGAGGTTTTTCACAAAGTAGCTTTTGGCCGTGTATATTTCAAATCTTGTTTCTCTTCTACCACCCCATACTGCTAGTGCTGCTAGGCACAATGACACACATTACAATTTATGGCCTCTGGCCCTACGCCTTTTCTTTGTGATTCCAAGTGAGACATCACAGTAGATGGTAAAGGTGTTCCTGAAAGCGATTCCTACATCAGGATGGCTGGTAATAACTTAAATATGAAATACAAATATATCCCACTAAACCCAAACTGTTCCTAACTCAACTTCACCTTAGGCATATTTCAAAAATGCCATGGCCATCTTCAATGCCACTCAGTACAAGGAAGGGAAGTATTAGTTTTGCAAATGTTATAAAAACATGACCATGTGAACACGTTGCCTTTGAAGGGGCCCACTATGCCATGGAACATTTATGCTTCCTGATGAATCCACTTCAGGGGCAAGGGTTGGTACTGGATGATATACTACTAGAACCTTCTCTATTGCTAACTCCACCTATTTTTTTTTTAAGAGAGGGTCTCATTTTGTCACCCAGGCTGGAGTGCAGTGGCATGATCCTGGCTCACTGCAGCCTCGACCTCCTGGGCTCAAGCGATCCTCCCATTTTAGCCTCCCAAGTAGCTGGGACCACAGGCACATGCCACCATGCCTGACTAGTTCATTTTTATTTTTTGTAGAGACAGAGTCTCTCTATGTTGCCCTGTTGCCCAGGCTGGTCTCAAACTTCTGGGCTCAAGTGACTCTCCCACCTCAGCCTCCCAAAGTGCTGGGATTACAGGCTTGAGCCACACTGCACCCAGCCCAGAAACAACTATTTAGCAGAGTTCCCCCCGCCCCACCCAAATAAAGCAAGAGTTTTGCTTTTTGGGTTGACAAAGAACTTATTTGACTACTTCACTAAAGCAAATACTTTGCCAGGAATATAGGAGAAGTTAAAGGGAATAGAATTATTTCTACACGATTACGATGATAAAAGTTTCAACTTACTATGAAAACAAGAGTTCAAATAAAGTATTTTTTAAAAAGCCACCAGAAGGTGGTTTAAAAAGGCTTTATTCTCTTGAATAACAATGCTTGCCAGTTTGAATAAGATTAGCTTTTCTTTTTAAATCTAATCTAGAAAGCTTTTATAATTGATTTATAAATCATTTTTATATCTTTCATCAGTGGTCTGAAAAATCTTAATAAAGACTCTGTTGACGTTAGTAGATCCATCTCAAGAACTGTAAAGACTCTTTGTGTAAATACACACTGGGAAAAAAAATCTGAGTCCTGGTTTTTGACCACTTGTTTCTGGTCTGTGTGTGTGTGTGTGCCTTTCTCTTACATACAACCCAACCAAACACTTTCTTTTCAAAATATTATGATCATCACTATGTCTGTTGCACCAGAGGAATTTTCAGTATTCTAAAAATAACTTCAATTCTATAGAGTCAGAGTGTTTTTAGTTACAGATGCCCAGACAGTAGGGCTTCACATCAGATCCATCTTAAAATACCTTAAAAGACATAGAGAATAATGGAAACATGGAAAATGATTTGGAAATTAGGATAACTAACTCTGATTAAAATTAACTTTTATAATGGCCAAAGGATAAAATACTGGTGTTAATGATTAATCTGAGAGGCTTGAGAGAAACCTGATTTTTTTTCTCTTTCTTGTCTTCTGTTTGCTTCCTGCTGCCTTTTTCTCTGTAATATTTTGGCATCAGCTAGAACTGGTTTGAGCCCCATGCTTCTACCAGCCTTCATGAAAAATCCTAAGCCCAGGAGTAGGAAGCTAGGTAGACTCTAGGCAAAAGGCATGACTAAAGCAAGTTTTTCCCTTCTTGTTTTCTTTCTGGGTCACCTGCTTTTGATTTAAAATTTTTGTATAACTGGATTAAAAATTTTCCTCTTTCTCGTACATATATTGTGATAGATATAAGCAATTTGTTTTATTCCTATCTTCAACCACGGGAAATGAATTGTTTGAACCTGATTTATGTTGCTTATAAAAGGCACAATGAAGACTACTTACTGAATTCTAATAACTGCACAATCCTTACGAAAAGCTTGGTGGTAAGAATGAATATTCATGAGACCACCTAAGGAATGTAAAATCCATTGCTTACTACGGATATTCAGGGACTCCAGGTTAGGGGTGCATTGAAACTGAAAGTGTTAATTAGTCATTGCTGTTTAACAAACGATCTCCAGTTCTCAGGAGCTTATAGTCATGTTTCCACGCACAGGTCTATGGGTCAGCTGTGGTTTGGCTGGAATCATCCAGGATTAGGAGAGCTTGCCTCCAGGCTGCACATTGGTTTTAGGCCTGCTTCATGTGTTTCCTCACTCTCTCTGGACCAGCAGCTACTCAGGGTATATTCTCCTCACGGTGAATCACAGGAGCATAAGATGTCATGCCCAATCACACACCTGTGCCTCTTCAGCTTTAAAGTTCCAGTCAAGTTTGCAGAGTTTCCACTGGCTAAGCCCAAAGTCAAGGGGTGGGGACGCACTCTGTACTATTGCAATGCTAGGTCACACGGCAAAGGGAGGGAGAGAAGAATTAATAACAATAATCCATCTGCCACACTGACCAAATTTATCTGTGATTGATTTCCTCATTTGTAAAATGAAACAAAACACACACACACACGAACAAAAAAACTCTATCTCCTGGAGTTGTAAGGGTTAAAGAACTTAGAACAGTGCTTGGCACGCATGAAAAGGTTAATATGGTTACTACTATTGCTGTTGTTAACATTGTTGTTGTTTTTATTGTTTTGCTTCTGTCTTTGCCACAGAAAAGCTTAGAGACAAACTTTCTGCCCTCTTCTAGCAAGCACGTAGGGAAATGGTTTGCACACCAAATTTACCCCTATGCTTTGTCTTACTTTTTAATGTTATTTTCCTTCTTTGATTCTTTCCTAAATTATTTTTTTCATCCTGTTAATTGAATACACTGATGTAAGCAGTCTGTAAATGTTTCCCTATATTGTTAGTTGTAGTATGATGAATAAATAAACAAATGAGCCCTACTGGCTTGTTGCTTTTCTTTTTTATTTTATTTTTGAGACAGGGTCTTGCTCTGTTACCCAGGCTGAAGTGCAGTGGTACAATCACAGCTCACTGCAGCTTCGACCTCCCTGGCTCAAGCAATCCTACCATCTTAGCCTCCTGTGTAGCTGGGACCACAGGCATGCGCTACCACATCCAGCCAATTTTTAAAAAATTGTTTGTGGAAACAGGGTTTCACTGTATTGCCCAGGCGGGTCTCAAACTCCTGGGCTCAAGTGATTCTCCTGCCTCAGCCTCCCAAAGTGCCGGGATTACAGGCATGAGCCACTGCTTCCGGCCTCTTTTTTTCTCTAAACCTTGACTTCCCATGTGTTTGCCATCTCTGTCAATGCTGCAGTAGCCCTTCTTCCGTATTTACACTAGGCAAAATCGACTTTGTTGCTCTTGCTATCACCAAACGTCAGGTTATAAGTTTCTTTGTTTATTGCCTACTCCCCTGCTCTCAACTATGATTTTTACATGTCTCTTTTGTCATTGGCAAGTACAAAATAGGCATGCCATAAATATTTGAATGAAGGAATAAATAAATAAATCAGTGTGTTTGTAATTACTTCTACATGCATTCTAGCCTAGATTTTCTGTTGTGGTGTAGATATTAACAGCATGGATTGGCTGTAGGATCCCCCTTTCTTTCCACAACCTCTAGAGTCTAGTTCTGCCCCTTCCATTGCACTGAAACTGGGTTTGGTAAGGTCATTGAATACTGTCCTATTTGCAATCCAATGGTCTTTTCTCTGACATAACCACTTTGTAAGGTATGCCAGGGTCAATCACTGTTTTCTTCTTAAAATCTTTACTTCTGTAGCTTTTGTGACTCCAGCTTGTCACCTCTCTGGGCAGTAGTCTTTTACCTGCAGGTTAATTCACATCAGGGACACAAGAAATCAGATTCTCCCTGGGATAGGGGCACATGTCCTCTGATGATTCCTAGGGGCACTGCAAGCCGAACTTATTAAAAATTGAATTTACTTCTTCACCCTTTACCCCCAAACCGTCACTGGCTTCCTCATGCTGGTTAACTGCGTCAAAAGCCATCTCATTTTTAAGCTGTCCATCTTTTTATCATTCTTGATTCTTTATCCATGTCCCTCCCCACTCCTCTCTCAACTATAATCAGTCCCTAAAATATTGACTTTGTGTTTGTTTGTTTTCTCAAAGCATCCTCTTTCCTTCTCTCATAAAGTTGTCTTGGTCCAGGACCTCCAGATTCTTGACTTTACTTCAAGAACTTTCTAAGGCATCTCTCAGCCTCCAGCCTCTTCCCACTTCCAACTTACTTTTCACCCTACTGCATGATAATTCTTCTAAAATGCAGATCGGTAGCTTTCCTTTGCCTTCAGTGTGAAGTCCAAACCTTTTGGCATGGCATGCAAAACACTGCCTTTCTCTCCTCTTCCATGATCTCCCAACCTCCACCATGCATACTTTGCTAAACTTGAGCTACTTAGTGTTTCTTGCAATGGCCAGAGCATTCTCTTCTCTTCTCTCCTTTCTTCTCTCCTCTCCTTTCCTTCTCTTCTTCTCTTTCTCTCTCTCAACTTTTTATATCATAATCCTTAAGAATGCCCATTTCTCTTTCTTTGCCCTCTGGGATAATTTCTGCCCTTTCTCCAAGGCTCACTTCTAGAGTTCCCTCCACTGGGAAAGTCCTCTATCCTACTGCCTCTACTTACTCCGTGCTATTGAGTGTTCTTCCTTGGTGTTTCTATCACACCTTATAAGTAACCTCAATAACAGTTCCTTTCAGGTTTAGTAATAATTATTAATTTCTCCACTAGATTGTGAGATTCTTTAGAGTAGAAACTTTTTACATTATGTCTGCATTCATAGTAAATAAGTCTTAGCACATAGAAAACAGTAAAAATAAAAGTGTGGCATTGAGATAAATTGAATTGAGTTAATTAAAAACAGTATTCCTTCCAGCTCTCAATTCTGGAGGGTTACGTCAGTTTTCAGTTCATCAGAAATGGTCACTTCTTTGTTTAAATGGAAATTTAACAAAATAGTGTCTAGTTGATGTTGACCTGAATCAGAATATGAAAAGTGTTTTTTTTGTTTTTTGTTTTTTTTTTTTTTTACAGGTATTTTGGCTTGTGGTTGTAATTTGGCACCAAAATTGGTTTCAGTATGTTTAATGACATCCGAGTATGGAAACCACACTGTCATCTGGCATGGGACAATTGGGGCTAAGGTAGAAGCAGTTATACAAATGAGACCCTGATTTGTTCTCTTCTTCTCTCATCTTTCTTACTTCCATTGTCATAGGAGTTCTTTGTTCCTACCAGATTGAAATAGGAATGCTACTTTTTTTTTTTTTTTTTTCAAGTGGATGGTGTTAATATAGCTCTGGGGAAAAAACAGTGTCACAAAAAGCACTGGAAATGATCTCACCAACCAACCATCCATATGACCTGTATTCTGGGCTATGTTCCAGTAATGGAAATAAGTTTGCTTTGTTCCGGATGCATTTCCTCACCCAGGATCCTTTGTCAGCTCTCCTTCCCCATACATCCCACAGTGGTTATTACAGACTTATTGTTCTGGTGCTACTGCACCTCCAGAGTCACCCAGTGGCCAAGGGCACTGGCTTCAGGGGAAGTATAAACTCAGGTTTGCACCCAGTTGCTGCTCTACTCTCTAGTTGTTGATGAATGACTGAACCTCGGTCGTCAGTTTTCTCATTTATGAGATGTGGATAATAACACCAACTCCATCGGGCTAGGTGAAGCCAATCCTATAAAGTTCTTCATCCAGCCAGTACCCTGCACATAGTAATTCTGTACCATCCATTTCCATTTTATATATAAAAGTCATATAGTTTCAATCAGATCGTTAGCTCCCCAAATCCACTTACGAACTGTTACTTTCAGGAAGTTATTTCTACAGCTGAATATTTCATTTATAAACTGACTTCATCCTGAGGGATTATTCTTGTCATCTGCCACCTAGAACCCCCTTCTTAGTCTCCTAAGGCAGCTGTAACAAAGTACCACAGACTAGGTGGCTTAGGACAACACAAATTTATTCTCTCACAGTTCTCGAGGATAGACATCTGAAGTCAAGGTGTCCTCAGAGCCATGCTCCCTCTAATACTCTGGGTAGAATCCTTTTGTGCCTCTACATAGCGTCTAGTGGTGGCCATCAATTGTTGGCATTTATTGGTTCACAGCCCTATCACTCCAGTCTCTACCTCTGCCTTCACATGACCACCTCCTCCCCATGTGTCCCTGTCTTCACATGGCATTTTCTTCTTTTTGTGGGGGACACCAGTCATATCAGGTTAGGGCTTACTCTAATGACTTCATCTTAACTCGATTACATCTATAGAGACACTATTTCCAAATAAAGTCGCATTCACAGGTTATAACTTCAGTGCTTTTAGATTATCTTTTTGAAGACACAATTCAACCCATAAAACCATTTAATGAAGAACTTGCTATCCCCAGCTATAGGAAGGGGTAATGGGAGATGAGCTTCAGGGACTATTCATCTGTAGAGTCCAGCCCTCTCACCCAAGGTCAAGTTCCTTCTTGAGGTGACCCACATTCAATGACAGATTAATGCAGGGATATAGAGGCCTGGCCATCTCTCCAACCTAGCGTAACTTTGAAGGGCCCTTCCAACTCCAAAGCCCTGTGGTGTCAGTGGAGGCTATTATTGTGCTTGGGTTGCAGGTTGACTTCTCTCTCTGCCTAGTCCTGCTTCTGTCCCTAAACATTCACAGGTATTGATCCCAACAAATGCCCTTGTAATAATCTCTAGCTCAAAGTCTACTTCCTGGAGAGGCAACCTGTGACAGTACTTGAAAGGAGAGAGTGCCTCCTGAAACATTTTATTCACCAGGGTTGCTACTTCCTGGGCACATAGTAAACAATCAATAAATCCTAACTGGACTTATTGGGTCACATTTCTCTGAGTAATTGGGCAGAATTGAGTACGGAATTTATTTGATAGTTGCCTGAGACATGAATGAATCCCCATGTAGATTGAATCCATGATGCATCACACATTCAAATGGACCACCCTTCATTTAGCCCAAGCTCCTTGTTGTCACAACCACCAACAAGACATTCTCTGTAGTCTTATGTGGCATGACAGTCAGATGCTCTCCGTACCTGATAATAAGATAATCACTCAGCATGAATTCAATATAACTGACCATAGAAATAACCAACCTAAAGCAATGGTTTGGAAATTGATGACTAAGAAGTTGAGAAACATACGTATTTCAATTCAGGGACCAGGTGCGGGGTCAGGAAAACATGGGGGCCCAAACACATTGAAAGTTACTTGCTCTGGGCAGGTATTTTTATAACAGAACTTAGCAAAAGGGAGCCTAAAGGGGGAGAAAGTCATTATGTCTTTAACACTAACCAGTAGGGGCAGGTATCTTTGGGCCCTTGGCAAACTCATCCCTATAGAGAAAGTGGAAACATCAATGGCACTGGTTATTAGTTCCAGATGACTCTCCTTGCTTTTCCTTCTTGCACTTCCAGGGAGTACATTGTGGTAACAGCTGACATGAGGACTGTGATCTACTTGGCAGGAGTAGTTCTCAGTGTTAAATGAAAAAGTTGAGATTCTGCTGTATGAACCAGTCTACTGTATGTTTGGTTAGCTTGGATCATCCTGAGAAAGTACTCAATTATGGGTGCCCTATCCTAGTTAGACAGTACTTTGGAACATGGCTAGGTATATATAATCACTTGATCTAGAAGCCAGCTTCTCTCTTCAGCTGACATCTCTGCCTCCTCACTTTCTGTAACTGTATTTTGTTTTTATGGTCTACTGAAAATGAGCCAGAAAACCCAGGTGAACTGATCTTAACTACATTAATAAATATTTATATGTATCATTTATTCATTGAACAAATATTTGTTGAGAGTCTACTATGTGCCAGGAATTGTCATGTCCAAGGGGGTTGATATGGGTTGAATTGTGTCACCCCAAAATTTGTATATTGAAGTCCTTACCCCCGCTACCTCAGAATGTGACCTTATTTGGAAACAGGGTCATTGCAGATATCATTTGTTAAGATGAGGTCCTACTGGAGTAGAGTGGGCCCCTCATCCAATATAACTGGTATCCTTTTAACTTGATCTCAGACTTCTGGCCTTCAGAACTGTGAGATAATAAATTTCTGTTGTTTAAGCCACCCAGATTGTGGTAACTTGTTATGTAGCCCTAGCAAACCAATACAGGGATTCAATAGTGTTTACATTTGAAACCATTCCTGCCTTCATAAAGCTTACAGTCTTCGTATATGTATGTGTTTGTGTGAGTGTGCCCACATGTTCCAGCCAAGACCACCTGGAGACAGATGTGGTCAGTCAACCCATCTCCTATTCTATGTGAAACCCAGTATCCTTGTGGACATTTCTGCAAGTTCCTGGGAACTCGAGTGCTCCAGGCCACTTCTGGCCCTGCATTCTTGCTTCATCACAACTCCCGTCTCCCCATCTATGGCTGATCTCTTATCTCTGCTTTTCTCATCCAACCCAGGCACTGTTTTTTTTTCCCCTCAAGGTCTTCTCACGCACGGCTATTGTGTATATAGATGACTTCTCTGAAAGTTTGGAAAGATTAGAAAAAGGGATATTGTAATCACGTTAATTACTTAAAATTGAGGTAAAACATGCCATCTTCCTAAATATTTTAAGAGCTTCCCTGCACCGGGCAATTTCTCTTGGGGGAATGGTTTCCACAAGCCCGACTTGGCTGCCATTTTGACCTGGCATTTTCTCCCTCTTCACCTTCTGTTCTTTTCCAGCCCCAAATTTGCTGGTCAAGTTTTGTTATAAAATTTAGCTCTTTCTTTGTTTTTAAGTATTCTTATAGATAATGACTCATTTTTCAACCATATGAAAACGCTGATATTTGATCATCTTTGACCTGCAAAAATAATAACTTCATTTTAATTAATCCAAGATTTTTCTTAACAATGACAGCTTTCTTTCTGAGTGACAGCTGCTAAAATAACAATATATCTGAAGATATATGTAGGAACATATATCTTATATCCATGCACATGCATAGAAAATATAGTAAAAAGAAAAAAATGCAAGTAGCCCTAGAGGAATGGAAAAGGGTTTTCTTTCTTTTGCACGTTTCTTTATACTTTTCTATATTTTTCCACGTTCTACAATGAACATACACTGCTTTTTATTATCAGAAAAAGTGTTCCTGCTGGGCGCAGTGGTTCACGCCTGTAATCTCAGCACATTGGGAGGCCGAGGTGAGCGGATCACGAGGTCAGGAGATCGAGACCATCCTGGCTAACATGGTGAAACCCCGTCTCTACTTAAAAAATACAAAACAGAGCCAGGCGTGATGGCGGGCGCCTGTAATCCCAGCTACTCGGGAGGCTGAGGCAGGAGAATGGCGTGAACCCAGGAGGCGGAGCTTGCAGTGAGTCAAGATTGCACCACTGCACTCCAGCCTGGGCGACAGAGCAAGACTCCTTCTCAAAAAAAAAAAAAAAAAAAAAAAAAAAAGGTAAATTGTTCCTTTTTAAAGTAGTGCCTGTGCAACAATAACACCAATAAAACTAAGATATTTGCAAGTTGAGCTCTTCCAGTAGACTTTCCACACTGTTTGATGGATGTAACAGAGCTAGAGAGAAGTCAGTGTGGCAGAAATTGTCATAGCAGTGGGAAATCATCATATTTTTAAGAATGAACATTTATTAATATGGGCTTTGAATTTTGCTTTTAATGTTGTCTGATTAAAAATCTTAATTTTTTCTTGATTATAAGAGCCATACATGTAGTTCTTAAGTTAGTTAAAACTGTACACATGTAAAAAGTCAAAATTGGATGTCCCTCCCCCAATAATTCCCACCCCCATAACTTAAGGTAAAGCCTTCCCCATAATATGAGTTGTGCAATGTATACTACTTTACAATCTGGTTTGTTCACTTAAAATATATACCTTGGGTATCTTTCTCTGAAAGTATTTATAGATTTATAAACACATTTTATTTTTCCTTTGTGCCAGCTCTAAAGGAACGCAAAAATATGGTGGGATAAGAAAATGCATCACCAAATGGTCTTTCTCTCTCTCTCTCTTTCTCATCATATGATGTCATCAGCTGTATTGAACACAATTGAATTGGTGTTTTTTCTCAATCAGCCTACAAGGCCTCTGACCTGTCCCTAGACACTTTGATGTGAATGTGAGTGGAAGAGGAGGATGAAATCTTGGGACATTGAACCCAGTTGCTTGTGTTTCTGACATTTGCATTTTGCCTCATAAACACCTTGTATCACATGAACATATAAAACTTGAATTTATGTCTATTTAAATGTGGATTCTGTTCAGAGATACAAAGATCTAAGTTTAAAAAGATCAAGCAGGTGATTTCAAGCAAGTGCATTTTTATCTTGATGCACCAGATGACGATGGCATTCAAAAAATCTGTTTAGGTTTTAGTGAAAAGAGAGAGAAAGAAGATACAATTATTTCAAGTTTAAGGTAATTTGACCTTATTGAAGACATGGATGGTTTGTGGCCTTATGTAAAAATAACTTAAAATTTCCCCTAACTTTTGAACCAGTAATTCTACTGCATAGAAACTGGCCTAGGAAAATGCATTCAAGCTCATAACGAGCTTTGTACCCAAAGGCAAGCATTGCAGCACTATTAACGATAATAAATAAAAATAGAAATACCCCAATCATCTAATAAGAGAGAGGTGTTCAGTATCATGACAACCATACCTTAAACCATTACACAGACATTAAAAACAGCTATAAAGACCTGCAATAATTTGGGGAAATGTTTCTCCTTATTAGTAAGTGAGTGAAGCAGGATAAACGAGAATATGTGGACAGGGTGGTTCCAACAATGTAAAAAATATATGTGAACCAGAGAGGTAAAGGAAATACACCAATCATTAAAGTGGCTGATTCTGAGTGGTGATTGTTTCCTTCTTTCTACTTTTCTATATGCTCAAACTTTCTGGTGAGCATGTATTTCTTTAATAACAATAAGTTTTTTAAAAACATTGTTAAAAACTGTTGGGCACAGTGGCTAACACCTGTAATCCCTGCACTTTTGGAGGCCAAAGTAGGTGCATTATTTGAGGTCAGAAGTTCAAGAACAGCCTGGCCAACATGGTAAAACCCTGTCTCCACTAAAAATACAAAAATTAGCTAGGTGTGGTGGCGCACATCTGTAATCCTAGCTACTTGGGAAGCTGAGGCACAAGAATCACTTGAACCTGGGAGGCAGAGGTTGCAGTGAGCCGAGATCACACCACTGCACTCCAGCCTGGGTGACAGAGTAAGACTGTCTCAAAACAAACAAACAAACAAACACACACCATTTTTAAAAACCAGAAGATATCCAGGCCTTGAGCACAGAATCCAAGCATCTGATCCCGGCCATCAATTCTTTGTTTCGTGTTTGGGGGTACTTTTTTAACCTCTATGCTTGTTTTCTCATCTTCTTATTAGGGGATGATAGAATCAGTTTGGCTGTTTGGTTTTTAAAATATCCAGGTTCTTTCCTCTTACGTCTGGCTTTGGATTATGTCAAAGGTGCTTTTCATGATTGGAAAAATACAAAACAGGGGTTAACGGTGCTGTAAGCTTAAGAATACAAAGAGGTGGCACCGTAGGCATCAACACAATCCATAAACCTGGTAAAGCAAACAAGAGAGATATCTACAGATATTAATAGATTATATTTACATTATTTTTCTATCTCAATAATTTGTCTTACCCTTGAGTCTTTTTGAATAGTGGTACAGACTATGAACCAGACCTTTTAAGAAAAATGTTACAGTATGGTAATTATATGTTACAGACACAATATTATTTGAATAGGCATCTTATCTCAATATTATCCAGACATATAATATTACCAGGACTCAAAGTATTTGAATGATGCAAATTTTCCTAACATTACTTATCACATTTAGTGTAGGCAAGTTGATTGTGGCCATGTTGTCAGCTCCTATAGGTAAGTCAAATTGGACTGTTTTTTTTATGTTCTTGGGCTTCTATGGCTATAGTATTTTCTGAACTCCAAAGTCTGCTCATGTGATAGCTTGAAACTGTGTTCACAGATTCTTTCATATTGCTTCCTTTAAAAGGTGGAGACTTATTCCTCTCCCATTGAGTGTGGGCTGTAGTTAGTGACTCGCTTCTAATAAATATAGCATGGCAGAAGCAACTGATGGTATGTGACTTCCTAAACTAGGACATAAAAGGCATCGTAGACTCCTCCTTGGTGTCTTTCTTAGATCATTCACTGTCAGAGAAGCCAGCTACCATATAGTGGGAACGGTTAAGCAGTTTCATGGAGAAGCCCCTATGGCAAGGAACAGAGGCCTCCTGCCACAACCACGTAAGGGAACCATCTTGGAGGCAGATCCTCCAGCCTCAGTCAAAACTTCAGATGGCTGCAGTCCCACTGATGTCCTAACTACAACCTCATGAGAGACCCTGAGTCAGAATTACAAAATTGCTCCCAAATTCCTAACCCACAGAAACTGTGAAATAGTAATGCTGATTGTCCTGAACCCACTAAGTTTTAGGGTAATTTGTTAGTCAGCAATAGATAGCTAATACAGCTAGCACAGAACTTTATTGCTGGAAAACTGTATTGAAAGGTTTCATATTCTGATCTTGTACTATCAACCAGATGACAAGAGTCTGGACTATATGGTAGGCATACAATGGGGAGGAAAACAGACGCAGAATCTGCCTTCAGGTACTTTGCAATCAAATTCCACAAATGAATGAAAGGAGTGCTTGAAATTGAGGAAATTACTTAAGCTCACTCAGCTTTCATTTTTGAAATGGAATAAACTTGGATTTTTGAAATGGAGAATAATAAACTTTGATTTTTGAAATGGAGAGTAAATGGAGTCTACTTTAAGAGTTGTTATGAGATTGTAAAATAATATTAAATAAAGTAGCTGGCACTGAGAGTTATTACCCCATAAACACTTGCTATTATCATTACAGAGATAGATTTTCACCATTGGATTTTTTTCTGACCTCAAGTCAGAAGCCCTGCCTAATGACAAAAATGTATAAGCATGGCGCTTGTGTGAAAGGTGACATTTTTCACTGATAGTTTTGAAAAATTAGACACTTTACTAGAAACAGCTCTCTATTGTTTTTCTCAAAACTATTGGTGTGAAAATCTTTTAGGGAAATTAAGGGGCCATGGTTTCCATTTGATTTGGTGCCTATCATAAGTTGCTTGTGAACATGTATTTTCATTACTAATCATTTAGAATAATAAATAAGCTAAGTGCCCACACTGATGTGCCAACATACTAAATGCCATCAGCTGTTTTGTTGAAAGGTAGAGTCATATTTCTTATGCTGGATCATGCATGTAATATTTTATTCCAAAGCAATCCTCAGAGCATTTAGATGAATAATTATCCATTATCACATCATTTAATTCAAAACTATGAGTTCCCCCTTTCCCTAATTGAAGCATTTGCTTCAACTCCATCTTATCAGTTATGTTGAGTTCTTAAGTCATTGAGAAAAGGGGGCCTGACACACGTTTGCTGTGTTTATCTTCTTTTGCTCTAGTATTCCAGGATGATCAAGAGAAATGGCTCAGAATCTACAGTTTAGATAGATGATCAGCAATTTTCAGAGCCCAAATCTAGAAAATTGATGTAAAGGTGAAATACTAGGTGACTATGAGAAAGACAGTTATTTCCAACCAGAGGCTGTTCTACTTCACTGACAGTTTTCTTATATGCATAATTGAGGCCCTGGATGACTGTGTTGTTATGGTAACCATCACTGTATATCACACTAAAATCTGGTGTTGAAATGTACTAGAAGCATGAAGCATACATTTTTCATATTTTTTCCAAGTTCATTTTTCATGATTTCATGTAGCAGTCCAACATGAAACATTTATTTGAGTTTTAAAAATCATAAGTATATATTCTCCCACTTTGAGATTTACTAGCTTCTGTGACTGCAATAGCAATTCACCTTGAAATGGATTTAATACATTTCAAACAATTAGACTTTCTTTCAAAGAAAGAAGATGGAGAGGGATTGTACTTGGTGGTCTTCTATGGGGCTAATCTGCAACCCTCGCTCCCTGATATAATCAGAAGTAGCCTTCAGATTCCAAATTATGGTGAGACAATGTGCAGGGATTTCAAATGAGGTGTGATTTTTGCTTCGATAGGGATAGACAAATGTCAAAATTTGCATGCCACTCTGTTTAATTTATATGACAAAGTCAGGGGCTTCTTGACTTGGGGACTGTTTGCTCCTCCCTTCCTCTTTTTATAGCAGCTACTACCGGATGGGTTTGGCACACGGATGAGACACAGTGTTCTCATTATTGGAATTGCTGGGATTCAAATAATGGGGAGAAAGCTGTAGATTATAATTAAATGTGGAACACTAATACTGATTTTTAAAAAAATCATTCAATAACCTAATTAGGCAACTACCAAGGATGTCCTGAAAATAATTTGTGTGAAGTGTTTATATCAAGAGAAAGATTCATAACCATTTATCTGACACATTTAATTCACATTATTCCTCTTTCTCTAGGAAAAGATTATATAACTGGAAATATAACAAATGGAAATAGAACACAGAAAATCCTGATGTTGAATAAATTGCTGATCTAGTGTGAATTTTTGCAAACATTTCTTAGATAAAACTTAGGTTTTTTAATATTAATATTACATACTCATTGCTGATACT
Organism: Homo sapiens; assembly: GCF_000001405.40. Classification (NCBI taxonomy): domain Eukaryota; kingdom Metazoa; phylum Chordata; class Mammalia; order Primates; family Hominidae; genus Homo; species Homo sapiens. Next base: position 13,233,625 of record NC_000023.11, read on the forward strand.
AGGATATAATTTTAAGAATTTGTAAAGCTCAAAGATTTCGAGTTTTAAACCTGTTTTTTTTCAATATTGAAGATAACTCACTGATTACATCCTTTTCTTATTTTGATTTGTTAAATGAAAAGACTATTCCAATCAACTGGACAATCTTGTTAGAATATATCTTGAGAGAAAAAAAGATTTTCTTTTAATAACTGCAAAGTTCTAGGATTAAATTTATGACCTTTGGAAATGGAAACAAAAATAAAGATTAAACGAATTAAAATGTCCTTGAGCCAGAAAGTAAGATAGGATGGACAGGTGTATCATTCTATTTTCATATTGCTATATACTACCCAAGACTGGGTAATATAAAGGAAAGAGGTTTAATTGACTCACAGTTTCACATGGCTGGGGAGGCCTTAGGAAACTCACAATCATGATGGAAGGCGAAGGGGAAGCAAGCAGCTTCTTCACAAAGTGGCAGGAAGGAAAAGAGAGAGCGAAGGGGTAAGAACCCCTTATAAAACCATCAGATCTCCTGAGAACTCACTCACTATCACAAAAACAACATGAGGAAAACTGCCCCCATGATCCAATCACCTCCCTCCCTCGACATATGGGGATTACAATTCGAGATGAGATTTGGGTGGGGACACAGAGCCAAACCATATCAACGGGTGAATGCCATCTAATTTATTTTGCTTCAACTCAAATACCAGAAGCAAACCCCAGTTATTCAGTGGTCTCATTAAATAAATATCCCACACTTGAGGCCATAGGGAACTGAACTAGGCCAAAGCAATTCCCAATCCATCTACTGTTGAGGAAACTGCTGACTTGCAGTGGATTTCTGGAATGGATGTGTAGTGTAGTCAGGGAAAATTGCCCTATGGCTAGAAAACTAGCATCTGACTTTCCTCACTAGGAGTCACATCCATCACAGCTCCTGATCAAACAGGTTCTGCATTCCTGCTCAGCCTACTAAACCAGGGACTACGTTCTTGGTATCAGAGCACCCAACCATGATGCCAAATTAGAGCAGATCAAGGTCCACACTAGACTGCGTATATTAGAACATTTTAATCATAGCCAAGAATTATATTGGACATCACTGTTTTAGATGTAAAACAAGTGATAAAAACTAATCAAGATTAAAGGTGTGGCTGTAGACAAATTTCCTGACATAACATACAAGCTGTGAGTGTTTCAAATTTTATGGCTTAGAAATGAAATATAAACATGTTTTGGTGACTAAGAGAAAGTAAATAAGGAAATAAAGCCTGCATCTAAAATAGTAAAAACATAAAATTTAACCGAACTTTAAAACTGTATTCAATAAAAATGTATAGCTCTTCCTCATACCAGATACTGTGCTAGGTATGGATTCAAAGATAAAGAGACATAGATCCTAGCCTTGTAGTGTATTCTAAAGTTCAAAGAAAGCCAGGCGCGGTGGCTCACGGCTGTAATTCTGGCACTTTGGGAGGCTGAAGCGGGTGGATCACTTGATGCCAGGAGTTCAAGACCAGCCTGGCCAACATGGCAAAACCCTTGTCTCTACTAAAAATACAAAAATTAGCCAGGTATGGTGGTGGGCACCTGTAATCACAGCTACTCAGGAGGCTGAGGCAGGAGAATCACTTGAGCCTGGGAGGTGGAGCTTGCAGTTAGCCGAGATCGCACCACTCCACTCCAGCCTGGACAACAGAGCAAGACTCTGTCTCCAAAAAAAAAAAAAAAAAAAAAATAGCAAGCACAGAGTGATACAAATGAGTGATGCAAACAATCAATACCAGAGAGACCTTCCCCAGGTGCACGGAGGTTCTCTGGAACATCTGTGAGAACTCCTTCAGGAATGGGCATTCATTTCCCCAGCTGGTGGCCCATTGCCACTGACTGCTCACAGCCATTGCCCGTTTTAGCAAGGGAGCCATCCAGCTCAAAGTTATGCCTCATCTCTGGGGGCAGCCCACATCTGGTGATTGGCCGATGTGGGATTATAAAGGTAGGGCCCCCTGTTGGAGGTGAGACAACTCTGAAGAGCCATCGCAGCTCCAGAGCTCGCCATGTAATTGGCTGCGGCCTCTGTTGCAAATGCCTTGCAGCTGAACTCCACCCTAATTACAGGTGCCAGTCCCAGTGGGCTTCCTGCATGCAAATCCCCATCTCAGAGTGGTATTTACAACGTGAGGGAAATAAAAATGGTCCAAGGTCTAATCAAAAGTCACAGGATCAAAAGTCTGACATGGTCGGCACACTATGGGTGGGACTGTCTTTGAAAGGTGCATTGATATTGGCCAAAAATGATACTGATAGGTAAAATGAGGATGTCAGTGTGTTCATTAATAATGAGAAATGTGAGCATCACAAAGAGCAATATACTCTCCCTGTAGCCCACTATATGTAGAAAACCAAACTGTCATCACCAGCATGGAGTCAGAGTAAAGTTTCTCCCTAGATGACTTAAATGTGTGTTGGAAATAGGCCAAAACAGGAGAGGTCTTGATAGTGGCAGTGAAATGACTTTGAGGAGGAAGTGAGTAGGAATTACTGTAACAGCCCAGGCAGCATATGGTGAGGGGCTGATTAGGGAAGCGTCAGTGGAATGGGAAGGATGGAAACAGATATAAGACTCATCTAGGACTAATTGTGATAATGATATAGACAAAACCTGCTATTCAGAAAACCTGAAAAACCAGTACTATTTTAAACTTCTCATTAAACAGTTCGAATGTATCAAAACTTAATAATTTTAAAAAATTATTACCATATTCACTGTCACTGTCAAATGCTTTATCAGATTTGGGAGTTCCAAATTTTGAGTTCCTCATGAAATTAAAATTTAGACTTGCAACTTTATTTTATTTTCCCTTTATGAGAATTTGTCAGCAGGAATTGTGAAAAGTGATTATAATATTCCTTGTTGTAGGTGGAAAATGGAAAAGGAGTTGATCATTATAGATGCAAAGCAAAATTTGGAAAGCAAGAATTAGCAAATGCTTCAATTTATTTTATTTTTTACAGTTGTTTATGACGGCTTTATTCATAATTGCTGAAATTGGTAGCAATCAAGATGTCCTTCAGTGGGTGAATAGATAAATTGATACATCCAGGCAATGAAATATTATTTAGTGCTAGTGAATACCTCAATTCAAAGCATCATATAAATATTAGTGTTAAATTGGGTAAGTAATAATTCAGATATAAAAATGTGATCTCTAAAAGCAAAAGTAGAAAAAAATAAAAATAAAACAGGAAAAAAATGTGATCTAGGGAAATTAGCTTATTAATAAACATTTATTAAGTGCCTACCAGGTATGTCTAAGGCACTGTACCAAGTCAAAAGAGAAAACAAAGGTTAATTACACCTGATTCCCAACTGCCAGGCACCTAACACCCAGGAGTAATGAACTAGGAACCTCCCCTGAGATGGGCAACAAAATGTCCTATGAGTGGCTCGCCCCAAACTACCTCTCTTATCCTCATCTTATGTTTTTGGGCCTCAGGATAGCATGCTGGATTAGCCATGTTTTCATACTGCAAATCTACCCAAATATAAAATGACGGCTTTCTCCTCTTCCCTTTGATCTCGCAGAATTACCAGTTGACACAGTACAGTGGGCAGCCATTTAAGCAAAGAGAAAATTCAAGGTAAATAGTGATTAATGTCCAAAAGAGGGAGGTCATAGTAAAATCAGGTTTGTGTTATTTACTATGCCTGATTTTGCAAAGTTTTTGGCTTGGGGTTGCAAAGTAAACAGGTTTTAGAAGTACAGCAAGTCCAGAGGGAAAATCCGGCATTGGCTGGAAAAATATCAACTGAAGTGCATAGGATAAGGCCCCCTTATCTCTGCAAGAGAGAAAGGGCTTTCTTGGGGTAAAGTATCTTATGGATTCTGGCTATGTTGGCTTCATGTGACAGTGAGGAGGACAAGCCAAACCAGGTCACACCAAGCCAAGCACATTTCTCAGCATACCTTGGAATCACACTGCAAGTGACATACTGCCAGTTTGACTGTTACTCCTCTGTACTGAAGTGAATAATAGACTTGAACTTGGAACTCCGTGGAGCTGCATGTTCTTTGGGGCCCAGGAATTATTTCATTACAGCAAACCAGCTGGTTGCATATACTATTTCAGAGAGAAGATGAACTGATAGGGTCACTCCCAGAGAAAAGATGGAGTGAGGCTGTGAATCCCAGAAAATGAGGTCTTTGCAGAAAAAATACCTCCACTTTCTGAGGGCAATGCTGACCTCAACAGAATTTTCTATTTGAAGCAACTGCATATCTTGTCTTTTGGTGTTTTTTTAATTGTATTATTGCTTATCCCAGACCTTTTAGGTTGAATTTGAAGTTTTCTGGTTTCAGCTGGTTCTGCACTTAAATTTCGGAATATTCTCTGCTTCCTTCTCCCACCTCCATCTGCATGTGAAGAATAGTACCCACAGATAACCCAACAGTCATCCAACTAGAGGGCAAGATCATCCAATTCCTTGCTACTCAAAGTGTGATCTTGGACCAGCGGTATCAGCATCATCTGGAAGTTCGTGGAAAATGCAGTTTCATGCCATACCCCGTGCCTGCTGAATCAGAATCTGCATTTTAACAAGATCCCCAGGTGATTTATGTGCACGTGGAAGTCTGAAAGCAATGGTCTGACTCAGTGATTCTCACAGTTGAACATTCACCAGGATCACCTGAGGGGGTGACTTGTATACTCTATAGATTGGGGAGGGGGTGCCCCTCCGAAGTTTCTCACTGAATAGATCTGAGATGGGGCCCGAGAATTTGCAATTCCAACACGTTCTCAGGTGATGCTGATGCCACTGGACTGGGGATTCCATTCTGAGAGGCACTCATTTCATTCATTCTACACTTGCTGAGGACCCAGATACTCCGGAGTTCAGATTCTAGCTGTGTGACATCGGGCACTCTCCTGACCTCTCTGAGTCCACATTTCTTTCTGTATCACATACAGATAATACCAGCCTTGCTGGATTTTGTGAGAATTCCAGGAGATTTTGAAAAGCCAAGCACCTCACCCATGCCTGGCCACAGAATGTGCTCTTCAAAGCATGGGCCACAGACCAGCAGCATCAGCAGCATCAGCATCCTCTGGCAGCTGTGAGCAGCGTGTGAGAAATGCTGATTCTTGGGCCTCACCCAAGTCCTGTAGTATCAGAATCTGCGTTTTCACAAGACCCCTAGGTGAGAATGATATGCATTAAAGGCTGAGAAGAGAAGATCTATAAACCCACGGTCCTCATTTCCCAGTTCCAGTTCAGGGTATTGACGCTTAGGAAATAGAGGTTTCTTACCCCAGAGTAGGAATTACAAGCTGGAGTTCCAGCTCAGGACATTGATGCTTAGGAAATGGAGGTTTCTTACCCCAGAAGAGGAATTACAATCTGGAGCTCCTAAATCCCTCCTCAGTCTGCCCACTTTCTCAAATTCCAGCCATGGAACGAGGACTGGAGCCCCCAGCTCAGACCTGGACACTCACCACGATCCACCCACAGGTTTGCAGAGTACAGCGAGGCAACAAAGGTATGAGACGTGCATTCAGATGAGCTTCCCTCCTATCCCAGAGTACGCTAAGATGCAAATTCAGCCAGAGAGGAGGGAAAGTATTTCTAGACCTTGGGGTTTGCTTATTTGACTTTCTGATCGCAGTTTTTTTTGGGGGGTTTTGATTTTTTTTTTTATTTATTTACAAGGAGGCTGTACTTGAATCCTTGTGGGCAGGAGAGAAGTGAGAAAGAGAAGGGATAGAAGCAGAGGCCCCACAGGATCTCAAGATTCTAACATAGAAAGAACGGAGACGCTCTGGGCTGCCAAGGAGAATGACTTGCTCACAGGGAGAGCTGGTTTCTGTCAGAACAAATGGCGCGGCTGAGTTCCCACCACAGAAGTCAGCCCCCTCAATGTTCTGGTGTGTGATTCTTTGGGAACAAAGTACTGTTTGAGAGGCATTACCATTGGTAGCTATTTTATTGTACAGACCAAATAAAAATGAATCTGTCCTAAACAGTCTAATGAACAAAAATGACACAGAAGTGACTTCAGCAGGGGTGGGGAGGCAGCATTGCTTTTTGCATATTTATGAATAATGACAGCTGAAAAACAATCTGACAGGAAATAGAAATAACATGATTTATTTCATGAAGAATAAAATTCTGGAACATTTTGGAGACTATCACCAGCTCCATCCCCCCACCCCCCGCCAATGAAGTGGCCCTTAACTTTCCAGTGAATTTTGTCATTGAACTTTCTCTTGGACACCTTTTGCACTGTGATAGAAGGAGTTTGCTCTCATTTTGTTAAACATCTTGGGCTAGGATCACTTTCTTTCCTTGAGGCTGAAGAAGCCTGAACAAACATAAACAAGCCATCACCCCAAATACCCTAGCTACCAGATTTACAGTGGAAATCAATACAGTGGTATTCACTTTTTAGCTGGAAGAAGTTCAGGGATGGGAAGTAATTTATCCAAGGTCACAGCCAGTCCAAGCTTGGGCTAGGTTTAAAATTTAGATCCCCTGTCTGCAGCCTCTTGATATATAAAACATAAACATAAAAATGATGAGCTCCAAGCAAAAACTAGCTTTTAAACTTTTGAGTCTTGATGTTGACACTTAGCTATTTTTTTTCCTTCCCTATTCCTTAAGCACTGACATCTCCTGAATATAGCACCAGGGTGATGTCCAGGAAACCAGAAGCAACTCTGGGGAAAACAGATTTCAGCTAGCCCTTAATCAAAAGCCCACTTCTGAAAATTTGGCCTCCATTTTGAGACTGAGCAGAGCCCCTTTGGATTAACCCACTGTTCAACTCATTTAATGAATAAGAACTCTGAGAAATTTGCCTCCTACCTGCCCAGTTCCCAGATACACTTCAAAATTCAAAAAGATGGAAAAATCAGACAGTGGTTGCCTCTAAAGGGGAGTGGGGCTGTGATTTTTTTGCTGGGAAGGAAGGGGAAAGAGGAAACTTTTTGGAGTGAAGGTAAAGGTTCATTTTCACAGAAGTCTGGGTTAGGTGGTGGGGTATGTATGCATTTGTCAAAACACGTTGAATGATACGTTTAAGATTTGTGTCTTTCATTATATGTTAATTTTCCCTAAAATAAAATGCTGCATAATAAAACAAACACCCCAAGAAAATATTTGGGACAGTAATAAGGTTAATAGCTAAAAGTGCTAAAGTGGAATTTTTATCAGCTCCTGTCATTATCTTCACCAACCACAAAATATCAAAGTTCTTTGACCATCTCTGTAGAGGGAAGTGGGTAGAAGTTCTCAAAGCCAAAACCTGTATCTAAAGTAGAGAGTGTGTGTTCTGGGGCCATTGTCTTTCCGCTGGCATTGCCAGGAAACCAGATCTTTGCCCCTGGAGGGAGCAGGCTTCCTTTACCAGTCGATTCTTAGGTAAAAATAGTTGCTGGGGTAGGGACACGTGTGGAGGGAGCAGGGCTGTAGGCTTGAAGGAACTGTGCAGTGAATTCCCTGGAAGGGCCCCACGCAGAGTGCTGGGAACTTGGCATCTAAGGTTCTCTGATGTCTTCCCCTGCTCAAGCATAAGATCAAGCAGGCCATTATGGTTTTGGAAAAAATTATAAAAGCATGTGGGTAAAGAAGAAATGTTATTACAATCAAATTGTTTGAGGCCAGGCATGGTGGCTCATGCCTGTAATCCCAGCACTTTGGGAGGCTGAGGGAGGCAGATCACTTGAGGCCAGGAGTTCAAGACAAGCCTGGCCAACATGGTGAAACTCAATCTCTACTAAAAATACAAAAATTAGCCAGGCGTGGTGGCGCACACCTGGAGTCCCAGCAACTCAGGAGGTTGAGGTAGGAGAATTGCTTGAACCCAGGAGGCAGAGGTTGCAGTGAGCCAAGATAGCGCCACTGCACTCCAGCGTGGGTGACAGTGAGACTCTGCCTCAAAAAAAAAAAAAAAAAAAAATTGAGAGTCTTCTTTACCTTTCTATTTCTACTTTGATGAGATCGGGCACATTCAGGGTGGTATGGCTATAGTCTGTTCCCACTTTGAATATCCTTCCGTTCCCCAATTTACCAATGCCATTTGCTTCTTTTGTTATATTTTCATGAAATATTTCAAGGATAGAAAACACACAGAATAACATAACAAACAGTGAAACCACGTTTGCAAGAATTAAAACTGAGGAAATTATGACTGAGAAAGAGATCAGAACTAACCAACTCCATTTTGCTTCTAAACTTTAAGCTGTCCTTGTTCATTCCTGGGCATAGGCTGAACTAACTTTGGGAAGGAATTCAGTTCATGGTTTGACTCTGGAACAGAACTGATAATAGCCCTTTCCCGAAAAGACCCCCTTCTTGCCTAGGGACCAGTTTGCCTTTGCAGGACTAACAAATTAGCTGCAAGATTAGAAACTATAGTTTAAGGGTCATGCAGCCCCTGGCTCCAAGAGTCTGAACCTCCCCAAATTGCTCCGAGGAATATCACTATTATAAAACCTAAGATCAGCGCTTGAGATATTTTGCAGACCCTGCACTCCATGGATCAGCTGACACCACCCAGACCCGTAATCTGGCTCAACCATTTCTGCCATCCCACCCAGGAACAGAAGACAGCAAGAAAACCTCACTTCGACCCCCTGTTATTCCATCTCTCACCCCACCAATCAGCACTCCCCACTTCCCAAGACCCTACCCGCCAAATATCTTTACAAACTCCGATCCTGGAATGCTCGGGGAGACTGATTTGAGTAATAATAAAACTCTGGTCTCCTGCACAGCCGGCTCTGTATGAATTACTCTTTCTCCATTGCAATTCCCCCATCTTGATAAATTGGCTCTGTCTAGGCAGTGGGCAAGGTGAAGGAACCTGCTGGGCAGTTATAAGAGTAGCACATCCCTGATCCAGTCTTGTCAGATCACTTTTTTTCAAGAGTGAAAATGCGCTTGAACTAGTGATTAGTAATTACAGACTAGTAATCAAACAGTTCAAATGAATCAGAGTTGTCTTTCTACTAACATTTATGCTTTTGACATTTTCCCCTCACCTATATGTTATGCATACTTGGAAACAGGCGTTTGGACATGGTAATTGGTCATTGGATACTACTCCTATGTTTGTAAACAGGTGCATATGAGTGACTCTGTTCTCAGCTCTTTTGCTTTAGAATTTATACTGTCAGATTTTTTTACTTAAGAGAGTTATTACTAAAATAAGTGAGGACCGGGCATGGTGGCACACGCCTATAATCCCAGCACTTTGGGAGGCCAAGGCAGGTAGATCACTTGAGCCCAGGAGTTTAAGACCAGCCTGGGCAACATGGCGTAAACCCCATCTCTACAAAAAAACACAAAAATTAGCCAGGCGCGGTGGTGTGGTGCCTGTAGTCCCAGCTACTTGGGAGGCGGGGGTTGCAGTGAGCCAAGTTTGTGCCACTGCACTCCAGCCTGGGCAATAGAGCCAGACCTTGTCTTGAAAATAAAATAAAATAAGTGAGGTATATCTGCTTTCCCACCTCTACAGACTCTACGGTTTGGTTACTTTATATTTGTATTCTTTCTAATACTATCAGCAATTTCAAAAACGTTAAAATGGAAATCTTTATAATGAAAGTCAGCAATTCTCAAACATTTTGGCCTCAGGAATCATTTACAGTCTTAAGAATCATGGAGGATGGCAAACAGTTTGTGTTTATGTGGATTATATCAATTGGTGCTCACTGTATTAGAAATTAAAACCAAGAAAAAATTTTTAAATATTTATTCTTTAAAAACCACAATAATTAACCTAATGTGTGTCAATATAAAAGTGTGTTTTATGAAAATAACTATTTTCTAGATTAAAAAATAAATTTATTGAGAAGAATGGCATTGTCTTACATTTTGCTATCTCTTCAGTGCCTGCCTAAATAGAAGCAGTTGGATTCTCATATTTGCTTCTGCAGGGTCCAAAGGAAAACTTCCACTTCACCTTCTGATGGTTCACTGAAAATCAACTGACAAAAGGTAGATTAATAGGAGAAAAGGCATACAAATTTATCAGTGTGCACATGGGAGTCATACAAAATATGGAAACTCAAAGAAAGGGCCAGATGGTTGATGCTTTAATACCATCTTGAGTTTATAGAAAGAAAGGAGGCTTGTAGCACAGCAAGAGTGGTTATGGAGAGGAGAGAAAAGGAGAGGCTTGGCTAGCAAATGCAGTCTTGTTATGCAGATGAAACCTCACAGGTAGCAGATCTCAGAAAAAAATATGTTTCTGTCAGGCCCCCAAAGCTGTCAGACTCTCAGTCTCTCTAGCCAATTCTTCCTAGATCTGGACAAGGGACATGGGGGCAGAGAAAGCCTGGCTGTGTATTTCACCAATGTAGATTTTTCTCCACAGATGCAAATCTCCCCCACAAAAAGCAGCTTTTTGGCTATCTGCGTGTTTCCAGTCCCTCTGAATGGCCACCTTGAAATATATCAAATAAACATATTTTGGGGACAGGTGTGGTGGCTCACGCCTGTAATCTCAGCATTTTGGGAAGCCGAGGCCAGTGGATCACCAGAGGTTAGGAGTTGGAGACTGGCCTGACCAACATGGTGAAACCCCATCTCTACTAAATATGCAAAAATTAGCCAGGTGTGGTGGTGTGTGCCTGTAGTCCCAGCTACTCGGGAGGCTAAGACATGAGAATTGCTTGAACCTGGGAGGTGGAGGTTGCAGTGAGCCAAGATGGTGCCACTGCACTCCAGCTGGGGAAACAGAGTGAGATCCTGTTTCAAAAAGAAAGAGAAAGAAAGAAAAAAAGAAAGAAAGAAAGAAAGAAAGAAAGAAAGAAAGAAAGAAAGAAAGAAAGAGAGAAAGAGAGAAAGAAAGAGAGAGAGAGAGAGAGAAAGAGAAAGAAGAAAGAAAGAAAGAAATTTTGAGTGAAATGTTTTTGTTTCCTTTACTTCTGTATTCAATATATTGTGAAACATTATTTTGGTTGAGAAATATGGAGAAAATCCAGCCTCAAACAAATACGTATTTAGAAATGGGGACAGTATCTTGATAGCCTTTTTAGATAGCTGTGGATACTCATCTTTGATACTATGCCAAATCGCAAGTGATGGTTTCCTAAAGAAAAGATGCATTGTGAGATTTGAAACCATACTGTTGTACTTTTCATAATCTGTTACATTAAAACCCATTGGCACATCTTGCATTTTGAATGTATCCTTTACCCATGCACAATTTTGTAACACCATGTTGGTTGTTAGGAATATATTGGTTTGTTGAGCTATGCAGATTTTCCTCATACAATATTTTAGCATCACACTCATTAATACCACGGATCTCATTAGAGAAGTCTTTAAGGGTTGTAAAGCTATCAAGCTCCTGGGGGCAGATTCAAGTTTTCTTAAATTTTAATTGTCACTTGAAAACTCAAATTGTATTATTTGCACCAAATACTGTCAATCGTTTTCCTTAAAGTGACAGACTTGTATCATTCATTTTGAGAAAATGTCTGCCTAGCCTCCAAGTCTGAATAATCATTAGTTGTTAGTTGTCCTTTCAAGTTAAAATAGTGTTACATGAAAACAGCAGCTAGTTTAGTTGGCAACTCAAACAGTGGCACCTCACCTCAACCAGTCACTGAATGCTTGTCCTTGAGACAATATATGAAGTTTGGTATGCAGTTGAAATGATTCAGCTGTACTTCTTGTTCTGTCACACAGAATTTAAAAATGTGTGCTCCGAAATTTAGTAAGAGTAATAACTTTGGCATTTGTTTTGTCCTTCAAGTGTATAATGGTGAAGAACACCTTGGCCCATGCTTAGGTGCTAGCAGTTTTACTCCCCATTGCTTGGCAACATTAGTGCAAATATCAACCCAGTGAAAAAGACAAATATCATCTTCGAAATACTATGAGAATAGTTTCAACTTCATGAAACACCTAAAAAGTTCTCACAGACCACCAGGTGTCTGAGGACCACTCTTCGAGGTCTACTGATGCAAATCTCTCAACAAAAGTTTTTCTTCTTTAGGTAAGTTTAGTGTCATATTTTTACCATGTTTAGCATTATAGATGAATTTAGCATTCTTTCTTTCTGGAATTATACGCATGTATACACTGTAAGGCGCTGGCAATACAAAACAAAAAACAAAGCAAAAACAAAAAACAAAGCAAAAACAAAGCCCTTGCCCTCATGGAATTTCCACTCTACTGGGTGAGATCAACTATAATCCAGTAATCAGATAACTGCAAATGTATAATTGTGATAAGTGCTATGACTGTCTTGACAGAAGCAATTAATCTGTGGGTAGGAGGTTAAGATACAATGCTTCTGAGGACACCACATTTGCCTTAAAACATCAAGGATTGTTGGGTGTTAGCAGGTGAAGGAGGTGGCGGTAGAGAGTCCTCCAAGTAGAGGGACCAGCCTGTACAAAGATCCTGAGGCCCGAGGGAGCTTGGCATGTTCAAGAATGGGAAACACCTCTGAAAGGGGGAGACGATGGTAGGCAATAATTCCAGAGTGGAAAGTATAGACCAGATTACACAGTTGTCTCTGCTGACATCGTAGCTTTTATGCAGAGGTGCCATCAAAGCATTTCTACAAGGGGTGGCTTAATCAGATTGGCAGTATGAAAGGATCACCTGGGCAGTAGTGTTGAGAATCAGTAAATGATGTTGTGGGGGGGCAGGTAGGCAGATGAATGCAGGGGACCACTTAGGAGGAGGCTGTGGTAGTAATTTAGAAGAGAGAGCAAAGACAGTGGAAGAATTGTGTTAGGGAGCTGCCATGGTCAGGAAGTGATACGGACTCAATGGAAGGGTGGGCATGGGTAGGAAAGAAAATGGTTTCGATGATACCGTGGTTCCTTGTTTGCCCAGTTGGATAGGTAGTGGTGCGGGGTAGCCATTTCTCATTAAACTCAGACTATCTGGGAACAAGACTAAAAGGAAGAGAAAAGAAAGGAAAGGGAAGGGGAGAAGAGAAGAGAGGAGATGGAAGGGAAGGGGAGCAGAGGGGAAGGGAGAGAGGAGAGGAGAGGAGAGGAGAGGAGGCTAGGGGAGGGGAGGTTAAGGGAGGGGAAGGGAGAAAGAAAACACATTAACACCCAAAGCCAGGGATTGAGGATAGTATCAAATTATTAGGAGAGGAGTTTGAATTTATTAAATTAGTTTTATTAGTTGTAGCCTAAAAAGAAGTTTTTTTCAAGGAATTACTTAGACATTCTAAGAACATTAATTTCAGTTTGTGTTTTGTAAAACATATCTATTCTTAGCAGTGTAAGAGTCTGTTTTTGTGTTCGATCTCCCCTACAGAAGATGAGTTGTTCAGGACACATTCAATAAAGGACAAGACTTTCAAACATCCAAAAGATGAACTGATGCCCCCTCCCCAGGGCAGTCTGCACATCCTGAGCAGCCCCCTTGTGCCAGGCTCTCTTAGATGTATCCACAGGTATAATTACTGTGAAGGTTTATGATAGCACAATGTGGTAGGTATTGTCATTGCTACCATTTTACAGATGAGGAGCTCAGAAATGTTGATGTTTGCTAGTGATCACACCACTCTCAAGCACCAACACCAGGATTGCAATCCTTTTCTTTCTTAAAGCAGCTGAATGATATTTCTAATGCAGAGGTCTTAGGTTCAGAGGGGCTCGTGGAACTCTTTGAGATCCTACTAAAAACAACGAACCTTCTCCTCAGTAACGTTCACATTTGCACACGCACAAAATTGACACCCAATTTCTAGAGGCTTTATGTTCTCTTGCAACTAATCCAGAGATTTTCCAAGAGCATTTGAAATCCAAGGTTAAGGAAGGCCTATTCTAGGGCCTTTTAGAATCTATCACTGGCATTGTGTTCAAGTCTGGTCAATGAAAATTTTTAAATAATAGTAGAATAAAAGCTAACCACCTTAGATTTACAGATTACAAAGTTGGTTACTCTCCATAGAATTACCATATAACCCAGCAATTCCACTTCTAGATATATACACAAAAAAATTAAAATATGTATTCAACCAAAAACTTGTACACGCATGTTCATAGCAGTATTATTGATAATAGCCAAAAGGTGAAAACAACCCAAATATCCAGTAAGTGATGAATGAATAAACACATGTGTGGTATACCCATACAATGGAATATTATTTGGCAATATAAAGGAATGAAGTCCTGAGCTATGCTACAACATGGATGAACATTAAAAACATGCTGAGTAAAACAAGCAAGAAACAAAAGGCCATATATTGTATCATTCCATTTATATGGAGTGTCCAGAATAAGCAAATATACAGAGACAGAGAGACAGAAGGTAGATTAGTAGTTGCTTGGGACTAGGAGAGGAAGGAAAGGGGAGTGACTGCTTAATAGATATGGATTTCTTAGGCCAGGCGCAGTGGCTCACGCCTGTAATCCCAGCACTTTGGGAGGCTGAGGCGGGCAGATCACCTGAGGTCAGGAGTTGGAGACCAGTCTGGCCAACATGGTGAAACCCCATCTCTACTAAAAATAAACAAAATTAGCTGGGCATGGTGGCATATGCCTATAATCTCAGCTACTCAGGAGGCTGAAGCAAGAGAATTGCTTGAACCCAGGAGGCAGAGGTTGCAGTGAGTCAAGATCATGCCACTGCACCCCAGCCTGGGCAATAGAGTGAGACTCTGTCTCAAAAAAAAAAAAAAAGAAAAAGAAAAAAGAAAAAAAAAAGATATAGGTTTCTTTTGGAGTGATGAAAATGCTCGGGAATTAGATAGAGGTGATGGTTGCACTAAAAGCCATGAATTGTACGCTTTAAAGTGACTAAAATGGTGAAGTTTATATTATGTGAATTTTATCTCAAGTTTTTTAAAAAAAGGTTACATGCAAGAAACAAATGCCTGCCTAGCAAGCCTTCTTTGTCCTTCATTCTTTCCTTTGCCTGGGCTATTTAGAGAAGCTTGTGTTTATTTACTCTGGCCCAGGCATGATTTCCCTGGTGGGCTGGTTTGCACCTATGGGGTGAATTCTGGCAGCCTTCTCCCGGGGTGCCCATTGCAACCTAGAGGCCTAGTAAAGTGCGTGGCCATCCCTATGCAAAAGCCAGATCCTATGTGCTTGCACGATTGCCCGCATTTGCAGCATCTTGCTTGCATTAAAAAGGCAGTAATATATGGGCTTTTAAAACCTTTCAACCTGAAGCATCATTGGCCTCTTCCCTAGATGCTCTTGGTCAAAAATTTCTGCCCTGTTGAAGATAGCAGTGGTTCTCAAAGAGGTGTGGGTAACTGTGTGTGTGTGGGGGGGTGTTGTGCCCCCGAGGGGACATTCCACAAAATCTGAAGACAGTTTGGTTGTCATAACTTGGGATATACTACTGGTATCTAATGGGGAGAGGCCAGAGACGCTGCTACACATCCTGCAATGCACAGTGAAACCACCTTTGCAAAAGCTATAACTGCGTGAACTGTAAGAGTGAAAGAGATCTGACCTAAGTGACTCCATCTTGCTTTTAACTTTCAAGCTGTTCTTGTTCATTCCTGAACATAGGCCAAACTGACTTTGGGAGGAACTTAGTTTATAGTTTAACTTTGAAACAAAGACGGTAACAGCCTTTTTCCAAAACAAACCTCCTTCCTGCCTGGGGACTAGACTGCCTTAGCAGGAGTAACAAATTAGCCACAGGATTAAAAATTATGGTTTTAAGAGTCGCTGTTGTAAAAGTTGAGATCGGTGCTTGAGATATTTTGCAGACGCTGCATTCCAATGCATCAGCTGACGCCACCCAGATTGATAAACTGTCTCATCTGGCTTTGTGGCTGCCACTCAGGAACCGACTCAGCACCAAGAGGACAGCTTCCACTCCCTATGATTTCATCTCTGACCTGACCAATCAGCACTCCCCACTTTCTGACCCCCTACCCACCAAATTATCCTTAAAAACCCCGATCCCTGAATTTTTGGAAGACTGATTTGACTAATAATAAAACTCCGGTCTCCCGTACCACTCTGGTCTCCCATGCAGCCAACTCTGCGTGAATTAAACTCTTTGTCTATTACAATTTCCCTGTCTTGGTAACTTGGCTCTGTCTAGACAGTGGGCAAGGAGAACCCATTGGGCAGTTACAGCAGGACATACCCCCAGGCCCCCAACGAAGAATTATCTGTCCCCAAATGTCAATAGTGCCAAGGGTGAGAAACTCAGGATTATAGTATCATTGATATCATATAATTGAAAATGTTAATTACTGTTTATTGTGGGCAATGTCATTGAGACAGGTCCCATTCTCCTGATCTCTGTGAAGTGTGATGCCACTGCCCTCTGAAACAGCCCTGAGGAGAAGGTTCCGGAACTCCATAGGGAAATCAAAGACTTCAGCCTTGTAACTTATTTATCCTACAAAGATGATATCCCACGTGGCCCCAGGGTATATACACATCATGGAGCTATAAAATGAAAGTTAATTCCTCCCTGTCCAGCACTGTGGTATCCACAGGCTGGTCTGCATGGCAGACACAAGCAGGTAAGAAATTAGAACATTATTCACAACATAAGAAGAACATGATCTATACAGGAAAGAAAGAAAACACATTGTTCTTACAACTTTTCTCTGTAATAAAATACAGAAAAATAAACCAATAATTATTAATAATTTTATCATTAAGTTAATAATTTTATCATCAGTGCATCTCTTCATATTAAGGCTTATTTACTGATTTTTACTAACCTATTTTAAAAAGGGTGATCCTTTTGTCTTGCAAGGGAGACACTGGCTGTATAGATGTTTCATTTTCTTAAATAACATTCTTTTTTTTTTTTTTTTTTTTTTTTTGAGACGGAGTCTCTCTATCCCCCAGGCTGGAGTTCAATGGCACAATCTCGGCTCACTGCAACCTCTACCTCCTGGGTTCAAGCAATTCTCCTGCCTCAGCCTCCTGAGTAGCTGGGACTACAGGCAGACGCCACCATGCCCGGCTAATTTTTGTATTTTTAGTACAGACAGGGTTTCACCATGTTGGCCAGGCTGGTCTCAACTCCTGACCTCAGGTGATCTGCCCACCTCGGCCTCCCAAAGTGCTGGGATCACAGGTGTGCCCCGCCCTTAAATAATATTCTAATAGTGGTAAAACAACTACTTTTAAAACAGGCACCGTCTTGAGCAAAAATCAGATCCTCCATTTGAAAAGCCTTGTCACAGTCTTTCTTGAAGACAGCAAACACATAAATCAGCAACAGATTCTTACATATTATCCTTATTATCCTGCGGAGAGAATACATGTTCAAACAGCCTTAATTATACTTACAC
Source organism: Homo sapiens (assembly GCF_000001405.40). Classification (NCBI taxonomy): domain Eukaryota; kingdom Metazoa; phylum Chordata; class Mammalia; order Primates; family Hominidae; genus Homo; species Homo sapiens. Next base: position 13,250,877 of record NC_000023.11, read on the forward strand.
ATTGCCTTAGAAAATACTGTAGGGAAAACCTTGAGTAATTATCCAAGCGGTTTGCTGCTGGAAGTTTCACTCCTCAAAAAACTATGCTTGGCCTCTCCCTAGTTGCAGGAAAAAGCCACAATTAGGAGATGTCATGCTGAACACATTCTCTGACGATCTGGTGGTCACACTAGAAAGGGGTTCATTTTAGTTCCTCTGCAATATGCTTACCAGATTGATTTGGACCTACCCCTTCAGCAGGATACTTTTCAGCAGTGGCCATCCAAAATAAATGGAAAAACCATATTTGAGGTCAGGGACACATGCTTACCTGGGTTCACTCACACTGAAAATGTCAGGAAGTGAAATTCACATCTTTCTTCATCTAGGGGACTGGCCAAGCTTTCCTGATAATAATATGCACTTCTGGGAGGCCACTGAGGCCAGGACTTCATATGTTTGTGGTTGGAAAACTATTGCTACAATCGAAAGCTATGTGTTGGGAAGAAATTAACAAATACACATGAGCGTGGGTGTGTTTCTCAGCAGGGAAACCGACTCTGTGCTGAAATTCTTGTGTGGAAACATCTGTTTCTAACCATTCTGAGATAGGAAGAATGTGGACACCGAGCATGTGGTTCCCTTGGAAAATGCTTGCCTCACAGTCTTGACCTAAGAGATGGCATCTGGACTGGGGAGGAAACAGAAGTGATCCTGGAATCACATCCTCTTAAAAACAAAACAAAACAAAACCCACATCCTTATGCTTTTTTGAAGGGTTTCTTCACAACATAAAAATTATCCAAATTTCTCCTCAGTGTTTATTTTTTTAACCCCTTACCCAATTTCCCCATGGTTAACATCTTACGTGACTTGAGTACCTTTGTCAAAATTAAGAAACTGTCATTGGTGCACTACAATTAACTAAATCCCAGACTTTATTTGAATGTCACCAGTTTTTCCACTAATGTCATTTTTCTGTTCCAGGATCCCACCCAGGACACCACATTGCATTTAGTCGCCATTTTTCTTTGTCTCCTTCTTAGCTTTTGATGACCCTCCTCTCTTCATTTTCACAGAGACAGTAGCTTCACAACAATTTCTTAAGCAGCTTCCCTAAACATACAGGAGCCAACTTTTCAATTGTATCCATATCTAAAAAAAAAAAAAAAAAAAAACAAAAAAAAAAACCCTGCAGAAAAATTGGAAAATTCAGCCAAAAGGCTCTCCTGGCTGCCGTTTTTTATCTACATAAAACCAATCATAATCCATTTAACAAATTTATTTTCCATGATGTTATTGGCTATTCTCCGTAACTCAACATACAGCTGGGTCCATTTCATGGGTCAGAACAAGAGGTTATCAGGTAATACGAAGGACCAGAGTAGGAGAAGCAAGTTCTTAGGAACTAGCCTTCCAGACTGGGAAAGAACAGAAATTTTGACTAGATCAAGCTTAAGTGGATGAGGGGACATTCAGATAGCTGGATGACCATATCCAGAGAGTTGGGCTACTGACCATTTGGGAGACCCCAGGCATGTGGCATCAGAAAGTGGAGCAGACACTAGGAGCAAGGGAGTGGGCTGGTAGTGGTAGGAAGGTAGATGGATGGGCAGGTGGGTGTCTGAAAGGGCTAGGAGAAATGCAAAAGCCAGCAGGTGATGATAGGGAGGTTGCTAGAAAGGGCAGGAAGGACATCAGCTTGGGCCCACACTGCGTACAAATCAGAGCCAGGGTCCTGGTGGACTTGTTATCTCATACACACAGTTCTAGCCTAGATTTCTCATGTTCTGAGTGGATTTGATGTTTTGGAATAAACTGGCAAAGAGTAGTGATCTCTAAACACTTTGCTGCTTAAATCCATGTGAATTTAAAAATTTTATGCCACGTTGCACCATTACACAGTGGTTGACACCTTCTAAAATGGCCCCCACGATTCCCCGCTCCCAGTGTTCATGCCCTTGTGTAGTCCCCACTTTGAGTGTGGGCTGGACCTAGTAACTTGACATTGGCAAACAGAATGTGGCACAAGTCATGGGATATTACTTTCAAGATTAAGTTCTAAAGAATGTTATTTCAGCTGTGCTTTCTCTCTGACTCTTCTCATTTGTTCTCTCTGGTGAAGCAGGCCATCATATTGGGAACTGCTCTACAGAAAGGCTCATGCAGCAAGAAACAGAGGGTGTCTTCTGGCCAATAGCTAGCTAGGAATGGAGCCCTCAGTCCAACAGGCTTTGAGGAAGCGAATCCTGCCCACAACCACTTGCATGAACTTGGAAGTGTCTTCTCCCCCAGCTTAGCCTTGAGATGATTATAGCCCCTGCTCAACACCTTGATTCCAGCCTTGATTCCGTACAGACCTTAAGAGACCTGAGCCAGAGGACCCAGCTAAGCCACTCCCAGATTCCTGTCCCATAGAAACTGTGAGGTAATAAATATTGTTGTTTGAAGTTGTTATATTTTAGGATTATTTGTTATGCAGCAATAGGTGACTGATATACACACTAAAGTCATTCCACTCTTAGGTCAGTGGTATAATATTATGTCATCGAGTGCAGCAAAACACAGCTGTGAGGGCAAAGTGTTAAACTTGAACTCTAGTCCCTAATGGGTAGAGAGGCACCCTGAGGTAGGGGGAAAGCAACCAACCATGACACACAGAAGTGAAGGCTACTGAGAAATGAAAGAGAATCAACCTGTAGCATGGAAATGGGAAGTTCATTATTTCCAGCAAGAAAACAAAACGATGCAAACTGGGCACGATAGGGGTGGGCAGAAGTAAGCAGAAGAACAAAGAGTGGTGGTAAGAATATCAGGTGGAGTTTCCACTGCAGTAGGGAAGGGGCACTGGAAAGAAAAAGATCTAGTGTTCTAGGAGCACTGGGGATTCATGGAATAAAATGGTGATTGTGGTTTCAGATTAAACCAAACCATTTCCTATACAGCAGAGAAAGACACTCTCCTGTCTTCACTCCCCACTCCACCTCCGCCAGTTTCCTTTCCCTAAAGTGAGATTTTAGAAATACATACTTACAGGCAGTAAAACCAGGGAATTTGTAAAACTTTTAAGCTTGATTGTAGTCTAGACATAATATGTGTTATGTTTTTTTAAAATCAGGCTTGTATTAGGGTCAAATGATATGTGTAGTCCATAGATTAGGTATTCAAGGATAATACAAATGAAATATTCTAGGCAGTCATTACACTCATTAGACACTTGCCACTCAAAGTGTGCTCCATAGCTTTCTTCCTTAAATCTACACTCAACATACTTCACCAGCCAGGCTAGAGGATGCAACTCTATGATTATTTTAAGTTTACTTCATAATCTTGCGATTTCACCTGAAGCAAAGATACCAGCTTTTCTCTCAACAGCCAAATCTCCCACACTCTCATTTTCGATAGTCACAGCAGGAGTTTGAGTTTCTCTTTCTAGAAGGATCTCTGGCTGGGACTTGCTGTTCCTGTACAGCTTTTAGAACCTCATGCATGCACTTCTATTTAAAAGTTGTCTGTCTACAAATGCTTAAGAGAGCAGACAATCTGGTTTATCCTTCCCTTTTAGGTAGTTTGTGCTGGAAAGAAATTTCTATGTTTTTGTGACAAGAGGAGACAAGACCCTACAAAAAGAAGGCATGATAGAAGATAGGTTGGGAACAAGGTCAGTATTCAGCTCGTAAGCACCAGCATGTCTGACTGGATGATAAAATATTGAAGTACAGGACTTCAGTGCCGGTTAGGCAATGAACACTGCCCTGAGCCACCTGGGGGCCCCCTCTGCATGACTCAGCATGCATGGCCTAGCAGGGTTCTTCAGGACAGCTTAACTCAAGGGCCATGATATTCTATGTGTTCTCATTTTGTGTCCCACACTTGGTGAATCCTGGAGTAGTTTATGCTTAGGAGTCAAAAGACCCGGGTTTTATCTGGCTCCACTGTTTGCACACCTCATCACAAGGTCTTAGTTTCTTCACCTACAAAACATAAAGTAACTGTTAAATCAACTGTTTCTAAAGTGTCTTGTGCCATAACAATAAAAGCTACTGTAGCTTTTGAGTTTCTTGTCCAGTTATAATAATGGGCTCTCACATCTTCTATCTGCTAAGGTGCTTTCTTGTCCCTTAGGCCTATGGAGTTGCCCAGAAAATTCAGCTATAGTTTTGTAGCTAGCATAGAGGATTGGGAGGTTGAGGCTTCCTCTTCAGGGGTGGTTGTGGTTGTGGTTGTTGTAGGGATGTTTAACTCTTTGTCACACATCTCATTTTGGAAATACATTTTCAAACATGCTGCACATTTGCCCATCTTCTCAAAGAAGGTGTCAAGCATTGTTTCATCTGCTGTGTCTCAAGGCACACATCATGATCATCAAACATTGCCGTCTTTCCCTGGTGTTGGTCTCCGTTTAGGATTGCGAGACAAAATGAGTATGTCCAAAGCATACTTAGTTAAAAATTATTCACTATTTATGTGAAATTCAAACTTAACTGGGTTTCCTGCTAAATCAAGCTAGTCTAAGTCTCCGCTAGCCTCTTCCATTTCTAATGTGTTGCCTCTAATCTGTGGCAGGGTGGGGTTGAAAATGGAGCTCGAAATTATAGAGTTGCCAAGAGTATAAAGTTCTCAATTCTTTTCCATTTACACTCACTTCTCTATAGCTTCAAATATTATCTGTCTTCTTACCAAACCTATTTTCCCAACTCCTCTCCCCTGAGTTCTAGGACTCTTGGACCCAGTAACCTCCTCACCCTGATGAGCTGGCAATTGAGATCTCAAACCTGGATTCTTTTTTTTTTTTTTTGGAGTAAGTCTCACTCTGCTGCTCAGGCTGGAGTGCAGTGGTGCAATCTTGGCTCATTGGCTCACTGCAACATCTGCCTCTTGGGTTCAAGTGATTCTCCTGCCTCAGCCTCCCGAGTAGCTGGAATTACAGGTGTGTGCCACCACACCCAGCTAATTTTTGTATTTTTAGTAGAGATGGGGTTTCACCATATTGGCCAGGCTGGTCTCAAACTCCTGGCCTCAAATGATCTTCCCACCTTGGCCTCCCAAAGTGCTGGGATTACAGGTGTGAGCCACTGTGCCCCGTCCAAAGCAGGATTCTTGATTCTCCCTACCTCTCCAAGAATTCCCCCATTCCACCAGTTTCTCCTGCTATATTCTACATGTCAGTACGTAGTACTGAGCACCAACAATCTAAGAGCCATCTTGGATGCTGATCTGTTTTGTCCACATATTTTCTAGTCCATCAACTTGTTCTGGTGGCTTGTAGCTCTCTCTCCAAACATTTCTCCAATGCCTCCTTTCTTCTCCATTCCTACTGCTAAAATCCCACTCTATGCCATTATCCCCTCTTTCCTGGACTAATACCATGAATTGAGCAAGTCTCTTGGAATACCTTCTTGTCTCCTTTCTCCCTGCAAGCAGCAGCCAAGGGACCGTCTCAAAGCAGCAATCAGATCACATCACAAGCCCCCTCCCTCATCTCATTGTTTCACACATTTAAAGCCCTACAGCAGTTCCCTGTTGAAACTATCGGCTAGAAGTTGATAAGTTTGTAACAAAGGTTCTGAAATGGGAGTAATTTTGTCCCCCAGGGGACATTTGGCAATGTTTAGAGACATCTTTGGTTGTCACCACTTGGAGGTGATACTGGCATCTAGTGGGTAGGGCCCAAGGATGCTGCTAAACATTCTCCAATGCCCAGGACAGGCCCCCACAACTAAGAATGGCCAGCCCCGAATGTCACCGAGAAGCTCCAGCCTAAAGTGAGCAGTATCACAGTGTTTAAGATGAAAGAGTCAGGGACTCTGCCCCCAGCTCTAGCTGGAAAGTTCTTGTGCCAACAAGCCACTCATCTGCATTAATGAACATCTTCATTCAACTGCTCCCTTCAGCTGTTGCTAGGCAGGACCTTGATAGAGATGCAACAGAGAGAAGCTGAGCTGTGCTGAGAGGCTTGTACATTCTCACCAAGAAGCATAACTAGGGTGCTTGGAGTTGACATAACCCTGAGCAAATCATACCCTCATTAAAGAATAATCCAATTTAAAAAGAAAGTCTTGTGTACTCATGGGTTGTTTTTCCAAAGTTCTCAGAGGACAGATCATGAAAGCTTTGAACCACCAGACTGTACATGGCTGCCCAGTGAATTTGCAGAAAACAAAGGCCTCTGATTTTTTTTCCTCCAAGCTGTTAGTCTTAAGTGAAACAGGGTAAGAAAGTTCTGTTTATTATCTTTTGACAATTAAAGGATGACATAGGCAATGTGTTTTGATCTCTCACAAAAACTATGAAATTTTATTTCTTCTGGCGAAACATCTTTTCCAACAACATTCAACAAATTAACAAGAGCAACTTCAGAATGTGTGTTTTTTCCACCTAAAAATGCAAAAACAACTGTTCTTTTTGGCTTTATTAAGCTAAACAGACTTGATATAAGTCTAGCCTTTCCTGCTACTGAATAATCTCATGTAATATGAATACAGCCACCGAAGAGCTAATAATTGCTAATTATATCCCTCAACTAGATTTCCTGTTAACCATTTTTAACTTGGGTTTCCCCAGTGGGTAGGAAGCATTCTACGGTGTGGTTTACCAGAGAAGCCCTCTGAAATCCCCTTTCGTTTGATAGGGTAAAGCCAAAACCTATCTTTGCCTGACAGGTTCCTATATATACACACATATACATATACATATACATATACATATACATATACATATACATATACATATACATATACATAATGTATATGTATACATAACATTTATAAATATATGTTAATATTTATAAATATTATATATATAATTTCAACTTTTAGATTCATGGAGTACATGTGTAGGTTTGTTACATGGCGTATTACATAATAGTGAGGTTTGGGATGTGAATGATCTGATCCCTTCACCCGGGTGGTGAACATAGGACCCAACAGTTAGTTTTTCAACGCTAGCCCCTCTCCCTCCCTCTGTCATCTAGTAGTCCCCAGTGTCTATTGTTTCCATATTTAGGTGTCTGACAGGTTTCAAGAGCCCTGCAGTGACAAATAGACTAAGTAAAAGACAGGGACATGGTTTTGGCAGAAGACTGCATGAGAGACACAAAATGGATGTTCATAGGAGTCAGATATGTTGAGGGCTTAAGAATAGGATATTTTGGACTATCTTTATGCCAGTAGCTCTCAACTCTGGCTTCATATTAGAATCACTTGGAGATCTCTTTAAAAAGCACCAAAACCTGGGTTGGGCCCCAATCTCAGAGTTTCTGATTTAGTTGGCCTGGGGAATGACCAGGGCATAGGGATTTTTTAAAGTTTCCCAAGTGACTCTAATGAACATTGAGGGTTGAAAACCACTGCTCTAGACCAGGATTTCTTCACCTCAGCACTATTGATATTTTGGACTGCATCATTGTCCCGTGCGTGGTAGGATGTTTTGCAGCATCCCTGGCTTCTACCCACTAGATGCCAGTAGCACCCCTTCCCCAGTTGTGATAACTCAAAACGTCTCCAAACATTGCCAAATGTTCCCTGGGAAACAAAATCACCCCCTTCCCACATTGAGAGTCACTGTCTTGGCTACTGCATGTTAACTGTAGTTACACAGATAGTATGGTGGGTAAGTAGATGAGGGGTTGGAGATTCAACTCTATAAAATAAATACTAAGGAATAAGGAATAAAACAGTTGTTCAATGTCCCATCCTCAGCCCAGAGGCAGGATTAGTGGTTATCGTCTCTGACTGTACACTGAAACACCTTTCTTCTGGATTATAGGCACACAAACTAAACTGGCTCCTTTATTATTATTATTATTATTATTTGAGACAGGGTTTTGCTCTGTCACCCAAGCTGGAGTGCAGTGGCATGATCTTAGGTTGCTGCAACCTCTGCCTCCTAGGCTCAGGTGATCCTCCCACTGAGGCAGGAGAATAGGGTCTGGAGACAGGTTACCTAAAGCCAATTCGCCCTGACTTCCTAGAACTGAATCAAAAGGAAAACCCCACCTCTCCACACTGAAGTAACGAAAGGATCAGAGGTTACTACCTTTGCACTGTGCAGATGAAAAATGGAAAGTACCTCTAATTGGTCCCCTCCCGCAACCAATCAGACTGGTCGCAGGACTAGTCTTCATGTGTAACTTTGTAACTTCACTTCAGACTCTGATTGGTCACCTCCTGCAACCAATCAAACTGGTCGTGGGCCACTCTTTCATTTACATAGGTACAACCAAGTAACCAATGGGAAATCACTAGAAGGTATTCAAACCCCAGAAAATTCTGTAACCAGTGCTTTTCAGCTGCTTGCTCAAGCCCACTCCCATTCTGTGGAGTGTACGTTGGTTTCAATAAATCTGTGCTTTTGTTGCTTCATCCTTTCATTGCTTTGTTTGCATGTTTTGTCCAATTCTTTGTTCAAAAGACCAAGAACCTGCACAACTCATAGTCAAGTCCCTCCACTGGTACCACCACCTCAGCCTTCCGAGTAGCTAGCTCCATAGGCACCCGCCACCATGCCTGGCTAATTTTTTAAATTTTTTTTGTAGAGACAGGGTTTCACCATGTTGTCCAGGCTGGTCTTGAACTCCTGAGCTCAAGTGATCCCCTGACCTCGGCCTCCCAAAGTTCTGGGATTACAGACGTGAGCCACCACGCCTGTTGGCTCCATATTATTAATGGTCTATATTTGAGTATAGATGCTCCTTGACTTACAATGGAGTTACATCTCAGTAATCACATCATAAGTTAAAAATATCATAAGTCAAAAAGGCATTGAATACACCTAACCTACTAAACATTATAGCTTAGCCTAGCCTACCTGGAATGTGCTCAGAACACTTACATTAGCCTAAAGTTGGGCAAAGTCATCTAACACGAAGCCTATTTTGTAATAAAGTGCTGAATATCTCATGTAATTTATTGAATACTGTACTTAAAGTGAAAAACAAAATGCTTGTATGGATACTCAAAGTATGGTTTCTACTAAATGCGTATTGCTTTCACAGCATTATAAAGTCAAAAAATGGTAAGATGAGCCATCATAAGTTGGCACCCATCTGTACACAATCCATGGTCAAAATCATTTATATAGTGTTAAAAATTTATCTCTGAAAGGAAAAGAAATGATTCCCTCTTTAATATAGTCTTTTTTTCCCTGTAGGAAGCCTTCTCTCCTCTTCCATTCAATACTCCTCCAGAGATAACTTTCTAGCTCTGGGCTGCCCAATATGGTGGTCACTAGCCACGTGTGGCTTGCTAAAAGTAAACTTAAATTAATTCAAATTAAATAGAAGTAAAAATTCAGTTCCTTAATCACAATAGTTATATTTCAGTGGCTCAACAGTCACTGCAACATTTGAGCTAGTGGCTAGTGGCTGTAACATTTTAATGCGGAAATAGAACATTTTCATCACTGCAGAAAACTGGACAGCAGTTTATAACCATAGAGCTTATGGTGACATTGGCATGCTTAAAAACCTCTGTTAGTTCCCATTGCCTCTAGGATCAAGTTCAGTCATCTAGCTTGGCATTTAATATATTTTACTATCTAACTTCAGATGTCTCTTCCAAACCCCTCTTTGCTCCTTAGACTCCTTTGAGCAGCCCATTCCTTTACAGGAAAGATCAACGCACTTCCCTACCTCCCAGCCTTTGTCCATGTTATTTTATCTATCATGGATACCCTTTCTCTAATTCCACTTGGCAAATTCATGCTTGATCTTCAGAGTCAATTCAAATGTCCCTCCAACCTCCCTTCCCACCTTAGTTCTCCGGATACCAAATAATTGCTCCATTCACTGTCACCCCACGGGACTTGCATACCTGTTAATTGCATACATGTCACATTTTGTCATGGTTGTGTCTCTGTCTCCCATGCTTAATTCGGTGCTCCTGAAGGTGAAGGAGTGGCTTTATTTCTCTTTGTATGACCAAAGGCCAGCACAATGTAGGCAATCACATTTCAAAGAAATAATCAACTGGCTAACGAATAAAATGGCATGATTCATCACATTTAACACCACAGAATTCTAACAGCCCACACCTGCATGCAGTTGATAGAATTCTGGGATTGTTCTTGATGTTCTCTGGGATAAGAACAACTGCCTTTAATTTTATTAGCAGGATGAGCATATTTGGTGACTTAGAGGTCTCTATACTGAGATAGACGATAAATTTATTTAAAGGTTGTATCTGCTGGGTTGATAGTCACAAAGAGTAAGAAAGAAAATGCAAAGGAAATTTATTGTTCTTATATGTAGACTTCATCTCTGATATCAGTTAAACAGAAATATCTCAAAAGAATGAACATTAAGCTACAGAAAATCATTAAAAAGATCAGATTAATATTATAGCAACACAGTGTTTCTTCCCTAACACGCTCTTGGTTCTCTCTAAAAGGTCATTTGTCTGTACTACCAAACTCAGAGCTGTATCTTACACTTCCTTTCTCTTTTCCTCAGCACCTAACAGTGTCCAGTTCATAGCTGGTCCTCAGTTAATACTTGTTGAATAATTAAGATTAAAAAAAAAAAAGAAAACAGGTGGTTATAATGGAGGGGGTGGTGTGAACACCAAATTAAACAAGATTGAGTGAAATTACTTTTCAAGACTACATCAACTTTCTATTACTGCCGTGGCAAATTACAACTAACTTAGTAGCTTAAAACAATACACATTTATTATCTCATGGTTTTATAGGTTAAAAGTCCAACGCAAATCTCACTGCGTTAAAATCAAGGTGCCAGCTGCACAGCATGCCTTCTGGAAGATTTAGGGGAGATTTTCTTGCCTTGCCTTTTTCACCTTCTGCAGGCTACCAGAATTCCCTGCAAAAGGTGAAAAAGGCAATTTCAGTGGCGGGCCAAGTCCTTCTGGTGCTGCCGTCAGATCTCCCTCTGACCACAGCCCAAAAAGTTTATCCGATTTTAAGGACCTATATGATTAGATAGAGTCCACTAAGCCAACCCAGGATAATCTTCCCATCTCAAGACCTATACCTTTAATCCCATCTGCAAACTCCCCTTTGCCATGTAACACATTCACAAGTTCTAGGGGCTAGAGTGTAGAAATCTTTAGGGGACCATTATTCTGCCTGCTACAGGGGAGTCACATAGAATGACTAGAATTACAAAGAAAAAAACAAGCAACTGCTACATGTCCCTGGTCTTCTCATAAGCAGCATGAAATATAAATGCTTAAGCTTTAGATTTGAATAGTTTCCTAGAGCTATTTTTAAAATGGCTTTTTTTCCTTAGTATACTGATAATAAATGCGAACTGTCAATAGTTTGGAAACACAAAAGACTTTGAAGAAAAAAAAACCACCCTAAATCCCACCAAGCAGTCCTAACCAGTTACTATTTATATGTCTATTCTTCTGATATTATGTAAATGCATATCAAATTTATATATGCATTAAAAATATTAATTTATTCTAAATGATTCCTTTAAGTAGCCTATTTCCCCTCTAAATATTATCCTAAATATGTTCTCATGGCATTAAAGATTTTTCAAAAAAGATTATTTCTCCTCACTCTACCACATTGGCACCATATTATTGCCTCTGAATTTATGTGTTTATTATCCCATTGTTGAACATAAAAGGGTTATTTTTAGGCCTTTGCATTTATAAATAGTAGGTTTAGAAAAAGATGTATTCAAAAATCTGTATATACAGCTCTGATTATTTTCTTAAGGGTGTAAATGAGGAATTATCGCATCAGAGACCATTTTAAGACCACTGGTACTCGTCACCTCATTTCCCTCCATAATGACTACACCAGATTTACCCCCACGAGCAGTGTACAAAAGTGCCCTTTGCAATGAACTCTGAGCAGTGTTTACCAGTGCTATGGACTAAATTATGGCTCTTTCCCCAAAATTCATATGTTTAAGCCCTAGCCACCAATGTGATTAGATTTGAAGGTAAGGCTTTTAGGAGGTAATTAAGGTTAAATGAGGTCATAAGGGTGGGGTCCTAATCCAATAGAATTGGTGGCCTTATAGGAAGAGGAAGAGAGAGAGAGATCTCCTTCACATACATACGACATGCACATGCACTGAGGAAAGGCCACATGAGGACATAGTGAGAAGTTGGCTATTTCCAAGCCAGCAAGAGGGCCCTCACCAGAAACAGAATTGGCTGTCACCTTGAACCTGGATTTTCCAGCCTCAGGAACTGCAAAAAAATGAATTTCTGTCATTTAAGCTACCTAGTCTATGGTAGCTTTTTATGGCAGCCTGAGCTAATGAGCTAATGCAATGATGGGTGAAAAATGATGTCCTTGTTCTATTAATTGGTGATGATTTGATTTCTAGAAGAATGGTCATTTTGTTTACAGACCACTTTTCATGTCTCTGGGAAAATTCAGAGTCTATTGTTGGACTCTAAAACAGAATGTTACAAAAATCATAAGGCATAGAGGACTGAAATTCAATAGCACTTCCACAGAGCTAGAATTGTGTTCTTTAGAATAATGCATTTTTAAATGTCTGCATCAATCAGAACAAATGCTTTAATCTACTTACATAAGCCCTTTTTGATTTTAGTCCCCATTTGTCTATTTTTAAAGGCTTAAAGATCTAGCTACAAGAGTACCAAGAAAACTCTTTTGCCTTTGTAGATGAAGTTCACAACATGTGTGCTAAAGTATTTGATTCCTTCAAGCACCATGTGAGTTAGGTGGTGTTGAGGTTGATTGGACAGTATGGATGGTGGAAGGAATTGATTGACTTGAAGGACATGAAGATGCAAGGCTAGTGCAAGAAACCATGTGTGAAGCCAGTGCATTTGGAGGCACATGTAAAGGTCACCAACGCCTTCTCGAACAATTTATAAAATAAGAATGGGTGGGAGGAAACTGAAGACAATTTTACATCCTTGTGACTAGAAAGGAGATGTGAGCTAAGAAGAGAGTTCAAGCATGACCAAATGAAGCAGAGGCTAGCAGCCCAGGCAACAATACTCCTTCCTTGGTAGGTAATGACATTATAATGAGTAACTGCAGACAAACAAAGTCAGCAGTTCTTAGACACAGAGCAGCACCTAATGCAGCAAGTAGTACCTAGGGGAAGGTCTGGGGAGGAGTTTTAAAGGGGTTTCTAAGATAGGAAAGCGTGAAGTCTTATTATTGTACAGAAAGATTGTATCTACTCAGAGGGATGAGAGTAATCACAAATACACAGTGGTTATTACACCCATTATATAGAAAATGAAACTGAGGCTCAGAAACCTCATATAGTTCCCCTAGAGATACACAATTGTTAGTGCTGAAATGTGAACTCAAACCTTCAGACGTGAAGCTGGAAATGAATTTCCTTGGCTTCGATGTCTCCATCTCAAAAATGACTGTATTTTTGGGAAGGTTGCTTCAGAGTCCACGTTCTATTGGCCATTCCACTGATTCCGCATCTCCTTGACAAATGAATCTTGGGCCAAAAGTTCATTGTGGGGACGCTGTTCGTGAGTATATTAATTTGACCAGATGTATTCTCATTGGAAATCATATTTAAAATGGCTTACTGGGTTTGGAGGATGCAGAAGTTAAAGAAATAAAATTGAAATATCCCCTTTCTCTGTTGCCTAGAACTTTACCCATTTCCCTTGTCTCCTCACCAGCACCCTGGTGGCTTCCTCCTACCTCACAATTCCTTTTCATGCTCCTTTGGTGGGTCTTTTGCCTCTGCCTGCACCTCTAAATGTTGAGCGCCTCAGGGGTCTATCCTGGGTCTCGTATCTTTTGTCCACACTCTAACTGGGCAAACTCATCATGTCCAATATCTTTAAAATATTCACGCCCAGGATTCTAGATTCCTGTATCCAACAGCCAACTAGATATCACTATGTGGAAGCTTAATAAGCATCTCGAACTCAACATGACCCAAGAGTATTCTCTCTTTTGCCAATCAGGTTTTTTCCAGTCTCATGTATCTCATATAGCTCCCCTAGAAATACACATATCTCAGTAAATGGTTTTACCACCCACTTAGTGCTCAAGTAATTGTTCTTGATTACTGTCTTATAGCTTCCCTCACCTTCCACACCCAATACTTCTGGAACAGCAAGTCCCGTGAATTCTATTTTCAAAGCACCTCTCAAACCTTTCAATTTTTCCCCATCTCCACTGGTATCACCACCCTTTGTCAACTGGGGCTTGTACAAAAGCCTCCTAACTAGTTTTCTCTGCTTCCACATGAATTGTTTTGTAAAAATATAAATCACATTAGTTCTGGGCTCAAATCTCTCTAATAACTTTTCATTGCACTTAGATTAAAAATCCATCCTTCTTAATCTAGTTTATAATGTCCTTCATGAGCTAACTTCTGCTGACCTCTGAGACCTCATCTGTCCATTCACCCATTGGCCCACTATCCTCAGCTACACTGGACATTTTTCTATCCTGACGCTTACCTAGCTTATTCTTAACTAAGGACCTTGACTCTAACTTAACTCTGTGCCTGGAATGTCCCTCCTCCTCCACATTCTTGTGGATAGCTCCTTCTTGTCATTTACATATCAGCTCAAATGTCATCTTTCCAAAGAGGCTTTCCCTGACCATCCCATCTAAGTAAGGCCTATTTTTCTTATGTATTGATTTGTGTGTTTCTTCATTAGAGTAGTTCCATGAGAGCAGGAAGCAGATCTATCTTACTGAGGACACTCCTGGTGCCAAACTATCTGGGGAAGAGGAAACCAAGAATCCAGTGCAGTCTTAGAAGATGGGGGAGTTGCTAATGGAAGGAACCAGGTCTCTGAAAGACTTCATAGAACACAGTACCACACTTTGTGACATCCCCTGACAACCTCATTAGACTGTGACATAGGCAAGAAATAAATCTTGGTTGTGTTTGCCCCTGAAATTCCAGGGCTGTTTGTTACAATGGTTAACCTCTTCTGACAAATTTCATAAAATTCCATTTACCCTCGCTTTTCCTCACTACATATTATTCAGTTTAAGATTCGGTTCACTGTCCTCCAGGAAGCCTTCCTTGACTTCCCTGTGGCTGGCTTTTGTGTTCCCATGGCACCATGTGCACTGTTTCATCAGGTACTAACCACGTTGTATTATATACTGTCTCCCTCATGTGACTAAGTTTTTCCTGAGGTCAGAAACTATCTATTTTTCTTTTTTGTGTCTTTATGGCCTATTACAATGTCTGGCGCCACAATAAATCTTTGTTAGATAAATAAACCATAGACAGCAGGCAGTTCAGGTTTTAATGGAGGGCAACAGTATTTCTTTGCAATGGTTAACAATACTAGTAGAAACAGAATATGAAATGAAAAGTGGGGAAAGGCTTCATGAGTATGAATTTATTTGAATGAAGAAAAATTTCAATGTTACTTAGGCTGAATAAAGACAATGATCATTAAGTAATTCTAGAAAATAGAGATTATTCTAGATAAATGATCCTTATAAGATTCCTTTGATTCCTGTTAATTGCAATCCAATACATAAATATTGAAGGCTTATTATGAGCAAATTACTCTTTTTCGTATGACAAAGATGAAAATACTTCTGCCGGTTAACATTTTATAATTCTATGACCTTATGATTCTGAACACCTACGTAAGATATTTTTAAACCTTGACAGTTACATTGGGAGATTTACATCAAGAACCAGCACTATGGAGTCAGAATTTGCATGGAGTTCTATCTTCAAAGTTTTACTACAAACCGGTGCCACTGGGTCATTTTTAGATTCAGACCATTGGTTAGTGGCTTCTCCCCACAGTGAACCGGACAGTCATGTGCCACTTGGCAGTTTTCAAGGTATGAGTTTATTCTGTTTGATGTTCTGTCAATTTCTCCAGGGGACAAGCAGCCAGATGGTTAATTGCCCTTCCTTAAGCACAGACGCACTCACAGAAAAGGTGTGAGGAAGGACCCCTCCGAAAGAGGAGCCTCTCACAGAGCAGGCTGAGCCGCTGTACAGAGTTGAGATTGTTGACCCACTGATTGTGCCTGAAAGGCTTTTCAGCCACACAAAACCCTGGGCTTCCTCATTAGCATATCAGAGGTGGCGCAGTGGTGGGAAATACTGCAGGCAACAAAGAATGTGGTTCAGTGGCATTGTCTCATTGGTGCTTACAGAAGCAGAAAAAATGATAATCAGGCCGGAGTTGCAGTGATGGACAGATGTTGACATATTTTCTTGGGCAACCAATGTCTTCCACTCCCCCTCCATCAGTTGACCCATTCTCAAGACTCCCCGCCCCTCCAAGGCACAGTTCCTCAACCAATACACAAGGAAAAGCCACGACACAATCAAAACCTCTCTTGAGCTGAAACGAAGACACAGTTTCAGCTTTAACTTGAACCATGCCTGGAAGGGATTTGTCATTTTTCTCAGACTTGAAAGTCTTATTTGGAACATAACTTGATGATAAATAGGAGAGTCAGCTGCCAGTTACTAATACCATCATAGAGACTGAGTCACTGTTGATGTCACCGCGCCTCTTTGCAGGATCAGCCATCTTATTATTTTATACTGAAAGGGAAAAAAGAGGTTTAGTGAAAAAGTCACTTTACATTCTTATTGTCCTAAATTTTTCCCATCTCTGAAGTTTGAGACCAGTGTTCTATGCTCTATAGCAATGGCTCTCAACTGGAGGTGATTTTGCCCCCCAGGAATCGTGGCAATGTTTGGAGTCATTTTTTGTGGTCACAATTGGGTGAGGGGGTGCCACTGGCATTTAGTGGATCAAGTCCAGGGATGCTGCTGAAGATGCTACGATGCACAGGACAGCACCTACGATAAAGACTTATTTGGCTCAAAATGTCAACAGTGTCAAGGCTGAGGAACTCTAGTCTGTGGCCTTCTTTGTGAAGCTAGTTTACAAATTCTTACTGAGTCAAATTGCTATTGATAAATGGGCACCTCGAGGGACTTATAGCCCCATGATCACTATATTGATTTAGAATATTGAACAGTTCTTGACAAAGAACAGGGCCGAAATTAAAATTTCTCATCCTTGGCTGCAATATTGAAAGATTTTATCTAAGCAGTGGGTGTAAAGTTTGAGAAAATTGTATATTGAGCACTGAGGGGTAAAAATTTTCCTACATGCAGTAATTTGACTTTCTTACAGCCAACAATATGTCTTTTACTTCACGCTCAGCTAAGTCTTAAATATGCTCCAAATGGCATAAAATTTGATTGAAGAATTCTTCCTCCTCACTTGGAAATATTTATAACCTCTTGGAAAATGACACACTGGGACACACTATATGTTGTTCAATTATATATATTATATATAACATTATATATTATATATAAAATCAAATTTACATTTAAAATCACATGTTGTATTAGCTTTGTGTTTAATATCATGTTCGCCTGGCTTAAATTTTTTTCAGCTCAATATTTACAAATCAAAATATTTGTAATTGTATGTATACATATATATATGCCTAGATAGATAGATACGTCTAGAGAAACATATGGTTTTCCTTAGGTGCAAGTTATTCTACCCAAGTAACTACATGTTGACCAAACCACTCCAGATCCAAAGCACTAAAGATTATTGGTCACTGGTTGTTATATCCATTAGTATACAATTTTGATAACTATCTTTTCCACAGGTTAAAGTAGATTTTGTATGCCAGTAAAAAAAATTGCAGGTGATTATAATGGACTTTATAAAGAAGAATATAAAATGGAGACCAAATTAATTGTCTCAGTTTACCTTCAACTATCTTAAGTTATGGTCTACATGATATACAGTTTTGTTCTTAAAAGTTTTTGATCAAAATTACCCTATTGTATCGGAATTCATCAAGCCTAAAGCACTTTCAAATTCACTTCACTCTCTGATGAAGACACTTTACCATTTGTAAAAATATTTTTGCTTCCTGTAAAACACAGTGTTATGTAGTCTAACACAGTGGTTCCTATTAGAATCAATTGGGCCCTAAAGGCATACTCATTTCTTAGGCCCTGCTCAGACTGGTTGAATGAGAATATAAGAGGATAAGGCCCAGGTATTGATATTAAAACAAAACAACAACAACCACACACACACACACACACACACACACGCCAGGCAATTCAAACATACTGCCATGGTGGGAAGGCTGGCTGAAAACTCAGATCTAAAGCACAGACCATCATAGGCAACAGAATTGGCAGGTAAAATGGGAAAATATTGCCCCATAGAGATAGTAGGGACATTTCCCTGTGTTGGCCTTGAGGGGAGGTGGAAGGCAGGAATAGCCCAGGAGAATAAGTTTGGTATGTAACAATTTAGCAATGATTCACTTTTTAAATTGCCATCCTGTATGATAAAGTCCTCCTGGGGAACTATAATGCAAGAATGCTGGGATCCAGGTGGGGTTCTTAGTTCTGGCTCTTTCCCCACCAGCTGTGGGTGAGCTCTGTGGGTGAGCTCTTCCTTTACTCTTCCCAGCCTCAGTTTATTCACCTGTAAAATGAGGGGGCTTGGTTATGATTTCTACTGTTTCTGTTCAACTTAGAAAAATGAGTCATAATTATGAACTTAGAAAAATATTAAACTGTTTAACATTGTATATTTTTCATAAATTTATAAAGCACTGTATGGCAAAATGAAAAAGAATTTATAAAGTTTTTTTGGCAATTTGTAATTCAGACATAAATTTGATCATATCAGGAAAATGGGCCTAGTGTTTTGGCTGTTTTCTATAGCTAAATATATCTTATACTGGAGATCAGCAAATTTTTCTGTAAAGAGGCAGATAGCAATTATTTTAGGCTTTGAAGGTAAGCCACAGAAAAGAAAATTGCAAAATCTTTAAAAAAATATCATTTAAAAATGTGAAAAATAGGGCCAGGCACAGTGGCTCATGCCTGTAATCCCAACACTTTGGAAGGCTGAGACAGGACGATTGCTTGAAGCCAGGAGTTTGAGACCAGCCTGGGCAACACAGCAAGACCCTGTCTGTACAAAAGTAAAAAATAAAAACAATTTGCCAGTGCGTTGGCACACACCTGTAGTCCCAGCAATTCTGGAGGCTGAGGCGGGAGGAAAGCCTGAGCCCAGGGGTTTGAGGCTGCAGTGAGCTATGATTATGCCATTGCACTCCAGCCTGGGTGACAGAGCAAGACCCTGGCCCCTGTCTGTGAAAACCAGGTAAGGGCAGGGTTTGATGATCCCTGTGTTAAACAATTAAAACATATATTTGGATAAAAAGAAAATTACGTGCTTTTATATAACAACTGTTAAAAGATATTGCTATACAGAGAGACTGAACCCAGGCAATAAGGAGACCTGCTGAAGAAGTTTTTACTCAAAGCCTGCATGGAAGCCACCATCATGTGCCCCTATAACAAACTCATCCTAGTTTGCCAGCGACTTGCCCAGTTTAAGCACTGAAAGTCTCAAGTCCCAGGAAATGAGGATGACTGGTTATTTTACATCTGTGACTCTTGGAAAGGTTTCTTTTTGGAAAATCTAGGATCAAATTGAAAGGGAAGAAGCTTGAGATGGAAATGCTTTCAGGAGCTTTACCATATAAACAACAGGCAAAGATCCCAGCTGGAAAACTGCAAAGGGAAAATTGTAAGAGAATATTTTGCAGTATTTTTTTGGCTTGAGCTCAATGGATTCTAAATCTACCTTCCCATTAACAGCATCAGTTCAACAGGCTGTACATGAGGAAAGTGCTTATTCACAAGGTGTGTCAGGTCTTTTTTGTAGAACCAGTTTATACATCCTCTGGATATGATAAATGCTAGGCATTATGATGAAACACAATCCAACCTTACTACTCAGAAGTTACAGGATTTAGAATTATTTCCTGGGTTTGTCCGAAGAGGACATGTGACATGAAACTAGCTGTGAGCCTAACTATGAATAAAAAGATTACTGGTAGAGACTACTTCTGAAACAGTCCAGAATAAAGTGGGAGCAATTTTCTCAACATATTATTATGTGCATCTGTGATATTATTATCATAATTTGAATCTTTAAGACTAGAAGCTCAAAGCTCAAAAGGCGATTTTCTCTGAGGAACTTGTCTTGAAATTAAGTACACGACCTCCAGAGAAGTTTTGTTATAACCACATGGTTTTCCAGTTGTACTTCATCCAAACAGGAACCCTTCTTAAAACATAAATATTAAAAAGCAGATCCAATAGTTCAAAAGAGGATGCCATTGGCTAAAACAAAACCAAGAATATAATTTAGAACCTTTTACAATATTCTTTCATTTTTTTCATTTTATCCAAATTTTAATCCCGTGTTTGAAGCTTCGAATGTTTCCTTTATGATTCATCCTATTTGGGGTCATAAAAGCACCTTTAGGCCGGGTATGGTGGTTCTCTTCTGTAATCCCAGCACTTTCAGAGGCCGAGGCGAGTGGATCACTTGAGGTCAGGAGTTCAAGACCAGCCTGGCCAACATGGCGAAACCCCGTTTCTACTAAAAATACAAAAATTAGCGAGCATGGTGGTGGGTATCTGTAATTCCAGCTACTTGGGAGGCTGAGGCACGAGAATCACTTGAACCACTAAGGCAGAGGTTGCAGTAAGCTGAGATCATGCCACTGCACTCTAGCCTGGGCAACAGAGCAAGACTCTGTCTTTTTCTTAGTAGAGACAGGGTTTTACTATATACTATATATAGTGAGCTGAGATCATGCCACTGCACTCCAGCCTGGGTGACAGAGTGAGACTCTGTCTCAAAACAATAATAATACAATAATAATAATAAATAAAATGTTATGAAAAATGAATAAGAGTTTCCTGATTTCACTAAGTGAAACAGGAAGTTGATGTCCATATGTCTTTTGGATTTGAGTGAATGGGGGTAGATAAGTAGGAACTAATGCAACCTTTAACACAGATATTACATGCATATTTATTAATATATTTATATGGCAATACACACTGACACATTCCAGGAAAAAGGAGGTGAAGCAATAGTTTCTATTTCCTTAAAATTCCTCCATGACCATGCTTAGTTTTTTCCGTTCCTTACAAACACTTAAACCATTCTGAACTTCCGTGGTGTGAGGTCCTAATCCTACTTCCCATTCCCTTTATAGCAAAAGAAAATGTTTGTTTCCGTCTAGGAAAAGGCACTTCTCACTTTTTTTTTGTAGAACTAAAACATCAAACTGCTACCTAAATTATTATTATTATTACCTGCATTATTTTTCGACCCTTAAAGGTACCAGCACCAGCTGATTGAGTGAGAGCTACTTCCTCAGAGGCCTGGGCCCCAGCCCTTCGAGGGTTCGCCTCATAGATTTTAGGTTCTGTTAACCCCAAGTTCTTCCATTTTTTTTTTCCCCGCAGGCCTGGGAGTGGCTGTTGTCTTCAGTAGTAGCAGCTACCTCTGTTACCTCCGTGTTCCCACCTTCTCTTTTCAGTCCTCTAATGCCTATTTAACTGAGTCTCTATATTCAATATTAAGATTAAAATAACAGGTGTGTTTCTCCTTTTCTCAATTGCATTTTGATTGAGACTCAGCTCTACTGTAGGCCTCTAAGGCTCTGATTTCTCAAACATGCCACATGGTGATGGAAGGGAGCCTGGTAACATTCCTTTCCATTTGTCCAGGCTTTACTGTCTCCTTGTTGAGATCTATGTACTTATATAAAGTGGCCCCCAAAGAGGAATCCTCCTTCTAGGACCCCGCCTCCCCACTCCTTACACACATTTCTATTGCAACTCTGTGACACCTTCATGGATTGACCACACACCAAGGGTTCTGCCCAAGGGTTCTCTTTGATATTTGCTCAGAAAATCCTATCTCCCTATCCCAAATAGCCTGGGCTCCAGGGCATTCTTATCACTCATTCCATCCTTCACAAGATAACTGACATTTTACTCAAGGTGGCTGTTTAGGAGAGAGTTAGCTCCTGCCCAGAAGGACATGCCTTAGCTGATCCAAGGACTCTAGACAAGCCCTAAGACTCCTCATTTTGGCCCCGCAAGGCACTTTTTCTTAGATACGCTTACATTCTTAAAGCTAAAATGGACCTTTGAAATTATTTATCATCTATTCTAACCTTTCCTTCTAGGGAGGATCTATAAATTACATATTTTAAAAAATTACAATCATAGATGAATAAAACAAAAAGAAATGGTTACATAGATAATTCAGAGAAGACGAATTTTTCCTATGTCTGATGCTGTAAGGCAGCCAAGAAATCCAAAAGAAGTATTTTACATATGTGTGTATTTTTTTAAATAAAAATATATTTTTTAAAATTTTTATCTTTAACCTGGCTCTACACATTGAGAGTTACCATCTCAATAAATGTCAGGTTCGGGAACTTGTAAATTCTATAGAGAACTAAAGTAATTTTCCTGTAATTATTCAGCAGCTGTCATTCCTGGAAACTGTAATTGCAGTGAAATAGAATGTTCCCAAATCATGATGAGGGGAGGCAATGTTCTGTGATCTGGGGCATGCAATGCCAATGAGGAATACAGCATATAATCTGTGTATCTAGAATATAAAATGGAAATACTGCTAGGGCATATGAGGCCACCATTTGTTCGATTATTCAAAATCTCTTATAATGTTTTGGTCTCTCAAGCATCCATGGCCACATTCTGATAAGATTCTATTTAATCCTCTGCATGTTCAAGCCTGATATCTGCTTATGGTATTCTCATCTCTATAAAAACAACCACAAAGGATGGTTAACAGATAGAAAAGTACCGCCAGATAGGAGGAATAAGTTCTAGTCTTCTGTAGCACTATTGGGGGTGGTTATGATGAACAACAATTTATTGTATATTTTCAGCTAGATAGAAAAGCGGATTTTGAATGTTCTCACACAAATAAATGATGAGTATTTGAGATGATAGATATGCTAATTACCCTGGTTTGATCATTATACATTGTATACATGTATCAAAATATCACATTGTACTATATGTACAATTATACGTCAATTTAAAATAATAATAAAAGTAAAAACCCCCCTTATGTACATTGAAAAAGCACTTTTAACGATGAATTCTGAGTTTCTTTTCCCGACAAATGTAAAACAACAGAGTTGAAAAACAGGGTTGATTCTCTATAGTTATGTTTAAATATCCTCATTCCATTTAGCGCTGTGGTTACCTACTAGTTATCTATTGACATATAACAAACTACCTGAAATCTTAGCAGCTTAAATCAGTCAACATTTTTTATTTCACAGTTTCTGTGGGTTAGGAATTCAAGAGTACCTTAGATGGGTAGTTCCAGCTCAGGAGCATTCATGAGGCTCCTGTGGAACTAGGCTGTGGACCAGGGCTGCAGTCATCTGCCTATTTTCAAGTATTTCATTCTTTTAGTCGCTATTGTTAACTGAGTTTTTCAATTATTTTTTTCAGTTTGTTCATTATTAGTGTAAAGAAATATATTAATTTTTGTGCTGATTTCATATCCTGCAACTGATGAATTAGTTTAGTAGTTTCTAACAGGTTTGAATGTGTAATCTTTAAGGTTTTCTCTATATATAACCATGTCATCTGCAAACAGAGATCATCTTTCTTGTCAGTCGAAATCCATCATGAAAATAGCACTGCAGAGGGCTGATATACCCCTGTACTGGTGGGAGTCAGCTGGGTGTGTGCCCTTGGACTTAATTCTTCATATTTCTGGGTCTGTTTCCTCACTTGCCAAGTGAAAGAAGGATGAGGAAAGAATGACACTGGTCTTAACTGGCCTTTTACAGTCATTATCTTAACTATAGTCATTATCTCATATAATGTTCAAAGCAGAAGCAAAATTCTAAGCAGTAAGAACAGAGAGACTAAGCAATCAGGAGGACCACCTACCTGCAGCACCCAATTGTAAGGCAAGGAACCAAATCCCATTCAGCCTTACCATAAAACCAACTGAGTCAGGTACTTCCTAAGTCCACTTGCAGCTGTCAAACCCCTGTGCCTTCCACCAAAAGTGCCCACATACTTTATTTTGAGTTCTGTAGTCCCAGAGAATTGCTTTTCATTTTTTTAACAAAGATCCTTTAAATGCAAACCATTTGTATCATTTCCTTGATTTTCTTTTCCCCTGTGGAAACTAACCACTTTTGTACAGTGACTCCATTTTTAATTCAGGAAAATAAAGAAAATAAATGATTGGTATGTAGGTCAGTTTCTGGCTCTCCCTGAGTTAGGAAACAAACGATCAGGACCTAGCTAGACATGTACCTAGTTCCATTATTCCTTAATACGGCTATTCATAGAGATATTCCTGTGCATTTCACCTCGCTCTTTCCTTGTGACCTAGTAGTAATAAACCTCCAAAGAACTGACTTGAGGCTAAGAGTCCAAATTTATTGCATCTCAGATAAATGTTTTTTGAGGCTTTTGAGAACCTTCTGTTGACTTCACTAAACCATTTTTTTCTCTACATAGACATGGATTGTTTAAAAATGTATTTCATATGGTTATTTAAGAGGATGTGTCTTTCTGCTAGCCAGATGATTACTGTAGGATTATAAGCATATTGTTGAGACTTTAGTACATAATCTCTCAAAAAATTCAAGGAATGTATAGGGTCTTTGGTTGCTTTGTGTGCTTTTCCCTTTATGAAGCCACCCTGGTACCCTGACCCCCTGTCACACCACCCTGGGGCTCTGATGAATCTACAACTTTGAAGACCATTCTCATGTGCCTTGTTGATTGATGGCTTTCTTTTCAAAGCTTCAGGAGGTTGGGGACACATTTTCCACTGTGGGAACATTTTCATATTTAAAATTAAAGCTGCAGCACAGTTCTATGGTTAGAAGAGTAGCATTTTTAACTAAGGTGCCACCAAGTCACACATGATACAGATTCATCACTTTATGGTATTTGCCGTGCTTGACAGACAGAGCAAGACAGGCATTGGCTTCTAGCATCTGTCCATGTAAACCTACTTTTTGAAAAATGTTCACATCCAACCTTCTTTTGAGAGATTGAGAAGCAACAGGATGACTTTTTACCCAACCAAATATGAGGTTCTCTTATGAATCAGGAAGAAGTGTACAATGTTTATTTTAAAGAAACTTCTTATTTATAGCATTTTGCTTACTGGAGTGCTGGAGCTAGCTCACACCAGCCTATAAAAGTTGACTGATTTTGTCCCACGTTTGAAAAAGAAGAAAAACACACGTTATGCAATGCCAACCATGTCCTTTTTTAAGATGGTGGGCTCCTCAGAAAAGACATTTTTTTTTTCCCCACAGAATTTATAACCTATTTGAGGAAAGAAGGAAGACTGGAAACACCAAACAAAGCAGTGTAACCTTGACCATAAGGACAAGCGGAGTCCAAGAAAGAAAGAGAAAGGAGTGGGCACATATGGCAGAGACCATGGAAATGCTGGAGTTTGGGCTAGGTCTCTAAGGACAGGCAGGACAGGAATATGGGCAATCAGGCAGAGAGAAAGTCATGGAAAAGTTATGGTAGGCACATAGAAACAATAAAATCTACCATGAATAAGAAAAGCAAGCATAGAGCATGTGAGTGTAGTGATGTGGGGAGAGCTTGCCACTGTGGGACACGGTACAGTTTGTGCTGTGTCTCATACACATCATACGTCTTCTCATTCTGATCCTCAAACCGAGCCTGAGAGATGAAGGCTATTGAGGCTTAATTGGTGCAACACAACTGTATAAGCCTGTGGTCAGAACAACAAAAAAAATTGTCTGCTATCCCTGGTTCTGCATTGTCCCACAGTACCATGTTGATTCCACTTATCTGCACTTTAAAGCATGTAATACAGAAAAGCAGCAACAAAAAGGAATTTTAAATGAGTAAATATATTTAACACTTTCTGATTAACTCTAAACGTGTGGATGATGTTCTGGTTGGCCTTGAATGACAGTAAAGTGTAACTTCCGAGTAGGATCGCTTTCAAGAGTTCAGATAGGCTGGGCGTGGTGTCTCACGCATGTAATCCCAGCACTTTGGGAGGCTGAGGCAGGCGGATCACTTGAGCCCAGGAGTTAGAGACCAGACTGGGAAACACGAGGAAAGCTCGTCTCCACAAAAAATACAAAAAATTAGCCGGCATGGTGGCACACACTGTAGTCTCAGCTACTTGGACAGCTGAGGTGGGAGGATCACCTGAGCCCAGGGAGGTCGAGGCTGCAGTGAGCCGTGATCACACTTCTGCACTCCAGCCTGGGCAACAGAGTGAGACCCCGTCTCAAAAAAAAAAAAAAAAAGAGTTCTGATACAATTTCTCTGCAAGGCATCCAACATATCTGAGCACACAGGCTTACTGTAGTCAACCCTAACTTTGACAGGAAGCAGAATTATAACCAGAGGTCAATTTCTAAGGAAAAGAAAACACACAACAACTAAAACATAGTGTTATCTAAACTATGGGGGCTGGATTCTTAGGCCCCCTGAGAGTCAACTTTCCTAAAAGAAATATTTTTGTTCTTTTCCCCATACCATATGCTAAACCTCAAAAGGAATAAACAAGAACTGAACTTTTGAGTTTAAAAATTTCCAGTAACTTGAATCTCGTATGGTGTTGAGTGAAAAAATCCAGAGACAAATGGAATACTTCATGATTTTGTTTCTCTAAAGTATAAAAAACTAAGCAAAACCAATCTGTGCTGTTAGAAGTCAGCTTCGTGGTTATCCTTGGTGGTGTGGGAGTGGGGGTATGAAGACAGGGATCAAAAGAGAGCTTTTGGGGTGTAGGCAATATTCAGTTTCTCTGTCTGAGTAGTGTTTACACAGGTATGCTCACTTTGTAAAAATTCATCAAGTTGTAAACTTAGAAGCTGCACATTTTTCCTTATGTATGTTGTACTTCGGTAGTTAAATATTTCCTGCACACTTAAACAGGGTAGAGCCAGGATTATAATACTTTAAAAGACAAAGAATGCTCGACACTGGAAAAATGCTCTATGACAATAGCGTGTAGTATTGGAGGCCTGGCTTGAGTAGATGTTAGGGTAGAGCAGTCTTAGGAGGTCTGAAGGAAAGAAGGCCAGGTAAACAGAAGCACTGGTACATTCCATCCTTCCAAATGAGTGCCAGAATCTAACTGAAGGATACTTGAGACAATTAGAGATATAATAAAAGGTCCTAGATGGCATATAATATCCAATATCAGAATCTGGCCCACTCTGGGGCTATTTTCTCATAATTCAACAAATTGGTTGCCCCTGGAGATCTTAATCCAGAAGGAAATGATTTCAGATAAAGAGAGAAAAGGCCACACTTATACGAGGTAAATAAAATAGACATTCTATTTTTAGTCATTCAATGAATAGAATACAATTTTAAAAGCAGAGTGTAGGGCCCCTTGAATCTCACTCACTGGTCACTCTTCATAATTGTAGCAGATACACAGGATCATGAAATTTTTGAACAGAAAGTGGTATATAATTTAAGAGACATACTATTTTATCCCTTTTCTAGGTTTGCTAAGCCTCTACTTATGTCAAGTCAGCTCATTATAAAGTTCTGTACCATGTTAGGTTAAGCTCTTACCGCCTATCCAAAATTTTCTTCTCCAAGTTATACCTTGGAGCAAATGTCAGATCTTTTTCTATGCCACAGAGCCTACTGGTGATCTGGTGAAGCCTATGGACTCTCCCCAGAGCAAGTGTTTAAATCCATAAATGAAAAGGCATGAGCTTACAAAGAAAACCACTTTTACTAAAATTCAGTTATCAAAATACTTTAAAACTTTAATATAGCAACATGTATGCTTCTTAGAGAAAGCATTACAAACAAGAGCTGCCTGAGGTCTACTAGCAATTGTAATTTCAAAGTGTCAATGAGAACAAATGAATTTTTGAAATATCTGCAACAACTCTATTGTAATTTTTAAAAAATCTGTGGTTTCTATTGGTGAAAAAGTTATAAGTATTGATAAAATTCTGTGTAGGCTTCATGCACGCTAGAAAGAAATGCTAAATGTCAGTTAGGGGTTGATGAAAGTAAGGACGCAATTTTTTTTTCCATCCAAGCCCATAGATACCGTGGATTCCACCTACAGACTCGAGATCTGTGAATCCCAAGCTAACGATCTCTGTTTTAGGGCATGCTCTCGGCCTATATTCAGGCTTACTAGCCATTTAACAATAACATCCTTGATTTTTGTAAAATGGTTTAAATTATTGTGTAACATATAGTCCAAGGTTTCCCAAATAAAGGGTTTAAATTTTAGTATTAAGAGAAACTGTGCCTCTGAAAAATAAGAAGAGTTATGTGTAATGGCCCTGCTTTACATTTCTGCCCACATTGATTTTTATCTGTATTGACAGTAACTATATTAACTTTTGTGGCTTGCATATTTGGCTTCTCTGCCTTTTCTTGATTTTAGTTTTCCACTGCCATTGTATGAACCCAATTTTATGTGTTTCTTTTATTGAAAACCATCGTGTGTGTGCATGTGCATACACGTACATGTGTGTATGTGTGTGTGTCTGTGTGTGTGTGTGTGCTTAAAAGGTGGGATGTAACTTTGGGAGGCCAAGGCAGGCAGATTGCTTGAAGCCAGGAGTTTGAGACCAGCCTGGCCAACATGGTGAAATCTGGTCTCTACTAAAAATACAAAAATTAGCCGGACGTGGTGGCACACGCCTATAATCCCATCTACTTGGGTGGCTGAGGCACAAGAACCGCTTGAGCTCAGGAGGCAGAGGCTGTGGGGAGCCGAGATCATACCACTGCATTCCAGCAGCCTGGGTGACAAAATGAGACTCTGTCAAAAAAAAAAAAAAAGGTGTGATGTAAATACGTAGATAAGAGTCATTGTCCTTGGGTTGCAGAGCCACCATGAGGATCTGGGTCTCCAAGGCCTTCAGACCCGTGCTGTTACCTAAACCCCAATACCTGCATACTCCTTGTCAATGTCATGTTTCCAAATATTTGCAACCCCTGGTAAATACCAGACATAAGGTCTAGAACTGGCTTGTACTGTGATTGAATATGGATTTGTATTTATGTGAGAGGGGTTGATCTCCAGCAGAAAGGAACTGCCTTTTAAAAATATCCAAATATAGAATAACATTCAGTATGCTGGAGTGTTGCATGCCTGTGGCCTGTCATTGAAGGGCAGCCGGAGGGTCTGCCAGGACTCATCTTTGGCAACAACATAATTTCCTCTCGCATTCTAATCTTCCCATTCTCCATTTAAATGAGTTTTTTTCCTTGTACTAATTTTATTTTTAAAATTCCAGGCTTGGGGGAAAATTAGAAGAGTAATATATTCATTATTTTTAAAGATAATCAACATCCTGATTTATTAATTTTATAGTATTGTCTGCATGATGTATAACAGATCTACTCTCTGGATTGGAAAGGGGCCTCCCAGGGAAGCCAGAGATAGAAGATGGATGAATTGCATGATAATTTTCTTGGCCTTTATTTAGCAAATGCTGTGGGTGTGCTGTTTTTCACTGTTCAGCTTGAGAGTGAACATGACAATGGAATGACTCCAATTTAGAGGTAAGGCCATCCTTAAACATGTTCTCCATTCTTCTGCCTCTATGACAGTGATGTGATAATACCTGACTCCTCTTTAGAGGCAAGACCACCCTTAATTATTCTCTCCATCCTTCTGTCTCCACAGCTGAGGCAGAAATTACATGAATCATTGATAATGTGTTTCTCTTACAATCGTCAAAGTCAGGTCCTTAAAACTTTGGGGTCTGAATGCCCACCCTTGCCAGCCAGCAAGGGCACAGGATCATCCTTAAACACATTTAAATGGTCTTCCCTGGAGCCAAGGATTAATAAACTTGTTAGAGTCCTCCAGACAAGTTCATGACTACAGGGTAGATGTTTTAAGTTTTGTCAAAGGAGAGACAAGACATTTTCTCCCTATCACTTCCTATATCTGTTGTATTTAAGGCTTACTGGTTTAATGTTCTTTTCCTCTATTGTAGCCTATACTCCTTGCGCCTCATGGGTTCAAGCCTCAACATCTTTGCTCAAACAGGCCTGACACTTGAGCAGATAAAAATCTAAATTGGAGATCTAGGACCAACATCCATGAAAAATAAGGCATAGGCTCACCTATCAATGCTATAAATGCAATCAGAACATCAATATACAAGTCCTGAAGGAATGAGAAATACCAGGCAACTCTCCTTATTCTATCTAATCTCCTTATTCTAACTCATCCTCTGCATAATTGTCCAAAAAAAATCTTAAAACTTTTATTTCTCTCTTATTTGCCACCCTCCTGTTCCTTTTGTGTATCACAGAGTAATAACACTGAACACTGATGGAGAGCTGACCACTACTGGGCATTATCCTAAGTGCTTTACATTCATTCACCTATCTAATACTTGCAACAGCTCTCTGGGGTATGTGCTGCTCCTATCCACATGATTCAAATGAAGGAATCAAAGATTAGAGAGATTAGATAAAATGCTGTGGAATTCACAGTACTTTTTCACCAAATATTTCTATTCCTCCACTTTCAGAGAACATGCTAGGCTTGCACCTTGTCTTTGGCTGACACCATATTCACTGAATATGGCCCACTGAATATGGAAGTGACGAGTGTCATTTCCAGGCTGAGCACTGATTGAAGCCCCACGACTCTCCAGGGCTCTCTTTTCCCTTCTGCCACAGCAACTGACAACATTGAAGATGGTGGCTGCATTAGCAGCCCGGATCTCAGAGTAAGGAAACACGAAGAGAGCTCCCAGCTGCCTTGCAATGTACATGTCGTGTTAAGAGATAAACAAACATTTGGGGCTGTTTGTCACTCCAGCATAGCCTATCCTCTCCTGACTAATAGAGGTGCCTCCTATATTATGCGGCTGGTCAATGGCAGAGATGATCTGACCTTAGAGTCCAAGCTCTCAATCAGAATGATATATTATCTTATTTAACATTAGTCATGTCAATCAGATTCTCTCAAGCATTTAAACAGAAGATAGCAGGAGAGAATTTAATAGCAGTGAAATAAATGAAAGAGAGTCAGATAGAGGGAGGATGCAGGAACTCTTGAAGTTGAAGAATGGTAGGGAGAACTGATCATCCCAGTTCCCCTGACCCTGCCAGTTCTCCAGGTATGTTCCAGTCTAGGGACATGGATGTGGGAGCATTTGAGGGATCTCATGAGATTTGTGCCTGCATAATTGTCACATTTTCATCCAACAGAATTTAATGAATATAGAACCAAACTCATTGTATTGTCTTTTGTTTTTGTACAAGACATAGTTTTTAAAGGACATTTTCTTCTTCACTTGAACATGAAACATGGCATAAAAGCATGCAGGGTATTTGATTATTTCAGTAAACAGTATCCTCATTTTCTCAGATCTCATCTTGCTCAAAATTCCTCAATAGCTCTCCATTGCCTATGAAATAAAACCTAACCTTATTAGCATGGACTAAACACACCTTGGATCTGGCTTCTGACTCATCTGCCCCCATCCTTTCCCATTACATATTACATCCCAGCAGCAGTCATTAATAGTAATGCCCTCAAAATGCTATGCTCTCTCCTGTCCTTGCATCTTCACATATATCATTTCCCAAAATGACTTCCCTGATTTCCATACCTGGAAAACTCCTATTCATCCTTCAAATCGTAGC
Organism: Homo sapiens; assembly: GCF_000001405.40. Lineage (NCBI taxonomy): Eukaryota > Metazoa > Chordata > Mammalia > Primates > Hominidae > Homo > Homo sapiens. The sequence continues at coordinate 13,282,342 of NC_000023.11, forward strand.
TCAAAGCCATCATACCCTATCACCCCCAGACCAACTACCTCTCCTCTCCCCTATACTTTGAACACTTCTTATATGTCCATCAGCAGAGGGTCTCAACCTTGGCTACCTACCTTGTGAGATAGGAATAGCACTGGGCAGTTGCAGGAGGATGGAAAAACCCAGACAACAGCTAAATCAAGAACTAGGCAAAGAAATCACAGGATAACAGAAAACCCCAAATAGGGGAGAGAAAATGACAAAAATCTTGGTCAGGGTGACGTGTCCATGACTCTTCTGGGCAAACCAACATAAGGGAGAAAGGGGGCAGTAATGGGGAGTTGGGGCAGGGCTGAAATCCCCTTCTTTTCCAGAAAATCTAATGATTATTTTACCCCTTAATTTAAAAAAACCCCCAAAATTAGAAACCCATACTCCACTGTGGGCAACTCATTCTTATGAGCACGCCCACACTTCTCTCTTAAGTGTGTACCTTTGCTTTGCAATAAAGCTTCCTGTCTTTCACATCATTCCAACTTATCCCCAAATTCTTTCTTGTGACAGTGTCAAGAATCCAAAAAACTGGTTGGGGCTGGGGTCTCACTAGTGTCTCACAGTATCTTTTAAAACTCCCCAAGTGATTTTAATATTTGAATACTACCTTTTTTTCTTCCCCAAATTGAAGACTCCAGACAAGCTATGACCATGCTTTTAATCTCATATAAGCCTAGTGCCTAGCCCTATATAGGAATAAATACATAGAGCTTGAGTGATAACTTCTCTCACAATATGTTTTCAGCACTTCTCTCACAATATTTTTTCGTCACTAATGAATTCTTTAGAAAATAACTCCTGAGAGTAGCAAAAACTGCTTAATTCAAGTTGACCCATTTAAATATTTTTAATATTTCTACCAGCAAGTTTAGTTTATATCTCTAAATATATCCATCTTTGACGAACCATCTTCTATCACACTTAGAGAGGAAGGGAAGCTATCTCTCCAGAATTGCTATTTTTAAATGGTTTTGATATATCTTATTTATTTAGCACTATCAGGAAAAATAAGAAATATAATTAGCAAGTTAGCTGCTTTCAAAAGTAATCATTGCCTGAAATGGGGATAACATGGGTAAGTACCTAGTTGTGTACCTGGTCCATGCCGTCAACAAAAAGATTCAAACTCTTTTTGACTGTTCTATCAGTCTTAAGGGCTCTGTTTTAATGTTAATGCTGGTCAGCTGTGCCCAGATTCCAATGGGAGGAGGGTGTAATGAGGCATGTCCGACCCCTACTTCCCATCACGGCCTGAACTGGTTTTTTAGGTTAACTTTGGAATGCCCTTGGCCAAGGGGAGGGCCCATCAGTCTGTTGCATGGCTTGATTTTTGGTTTACAATGCTGTATGCTCAGTAATGGCAGCTGTTATCATTGTGTGCTTCCTCTTTCAGGAAGGGCTGCCTTCTTAAGTCACCTCACAGGAGGGCATCTGGAGATAACACTAAAAGAGGAAATAAGATGACTTGCCAGGCACTTTCTTTCATTTATGCACAGTCCATGAGATTTCCTGACCTCTTTCATCACAAACAAAGAGGTGTGTGCAGCTTTAGAAATTTAATGGACATGCTACCCATGTCATAAAGAAGAAACTGTTTCAGTTGTTTGTCTTTTCTTACTCCATTTGGCTACTGCTATATAGGGCCTGCTTTCCTAGACCCTTGTGTTTTCCTCAAATCTCTGATTCTACATTTACATGAAAAGCCTTTAGACTGATTGCTCTGAGATTAGCCAACTGTTTCCTAGGTTTGATCACACAATTCCACTCCTACACAATTCCTTCTCTCCTAGGTCTTGTGATTCCCCATCCCCAGCTGAGTCATTCAATTGCAATCACATTTAATTGTCTCCACCTGAGTGGCTTTTTCTTTGGGCCGCTTGCCTTTGTCAAGCAATTGGAGGCAACATTTATTTATGCACATAGCATTTCTAAGGATCCATGGTACCAAGTGACTCTTCCAGATGAAGTAAAGTGACAGCTCTCCACATGATAATGACAGTGACATTTGAATTAGCTGCAAGTCTCCAGAAACAGGCATATTTCAATTTAATTTTTATCCAGCTCAAGATGAACTTAAAAAATTGTTTTCAACCCTTGGTTTCATACTTTGGTTAATACCATGCATTAATTCAGTGAGGTTTTTGTTTTATAGTTATGAATTCAGTAGTGGATGCATAATTATGACCATAACTTTTCACTGACTAGGGCTTCAAAAATTGATAAAGGAGGCACAGAAGAACAGATCTTCTTGGCATAGACTAGCTAGTTGTTGAAAAAAACCCCTCTCCTCTGCCTCCTGGGCACCCAGCCAGGCTACATTTCCCAGCTGTCCTTGCAGTTAAGTGTGGTCATGTGACTGCATCCTGGTCAATGGAATGCCGACAGAAGTAAAATGAGTGACTTTCAGGTCTAGCCCATTAAAAACCTCCAGGCACCATCCTCCATGTTCTTTCTTATTGGCTGCTGATAGCAGCAGGAGGCAGACAAATGCCTAGGCAGACAGGGGCAGGTCCCTAGTGAAACCCCACCTTCAAGCCTGTCTTTGGCTTGTTTAAAGCCTGAAGGCCAAGTTACAAGTCAAATCCACAGACCAGATTGAGAACCTGTCGTCCCATTTGGTGTGCTTTCCTTTGATTTATCCCCACCTTTCACCGATTTTACATATACCTACTCTTCCCTTATTGTTTTTACACTGTGCCCACCTTTGATTGGTGCCTTTGTTTTAACTGTTTTTGCATACTCACACACCAACTGAATGTTGCCTTTTCCAATGCTACCTACGGCCTGCCCCTCCCCTATCCTGTGCCTATAAAAAATCCAGACTCAGCCACACTGGGGTAAGAGATGACCTGACTTTGAGGAAGAGATGATCTCACTTTGGGGGAAAGGTGACCTGACTTTGGGGTAGAGGCCAACTGACTTCAGGGGAGAGATGACCTGATTTTGGGGGAGAGACGACCTGACTTCAGGGAAGAGACAACTCAATCTTCCCATCCCCTCTCCACTGAGAGCTGTTTCGTCACTCAATAAAATTCTCTGCCCTCATCACCCTTCAACAGTCAGCATGACCTCATTCTTCTTGGATGCGGGACAAGAGCTCTAGACCCACTGAATGTGGGTACCCAGAAAGGCTGTGGCACTGGCCCTCTGCCCTCACCAGTGGGGGGGCAGCGCCGCACAAAACAGAAGCAGTGGCAGGGCCAAACCAGTCCCAGAGCCATGCTGGTCCTGGAGCTGTGGGCCAGAGGGGGACAATAGGCTGACTAGCTGCTAACATACTGCAGTCCATCTGGCTGTGAACAGCAGAACAAAAAGAGCTAATTAGCACACTGTAACAGCCACTCTGGGGCTTTGGGGTCACAGGCACCCCTGCCTGGGTACCACCACATTCCCCTTGGGGCAACATGCCTGGTCTGGCGGCAGGCCCTGCATGGAACTTGCTTCTGTGTCGGCACTTGGAGTGGCCAGCTGGACCCCACACTCACTCACTCATGTGTTCCCTCCCCCTAGGGGCTGAGGATGCAGTTGTGCAGCTGCAGGAGTTACAGGCCGGAATGCAAGCCAGATGTGGCCCGGTGGGCCGTGTAGAGGGTGTGCCCCCTGCTGCAAGTCTGGCAAAGGGGCTGTGAAAAATCCTGTGTCACCGTGACCTTGTAAGTCCTATGTTAAAAAATGCAAAGCCACAAGATGCAAGAAGCCTGGGTACCAAAATTATCGCTTGGAGGAATGTTACCCATCTATCAGGAATACCTCTTTTGGACCTTACATGAAAAGGAAATACACTTCTATTTTCTTAAGCCACTGAGATTTGGGGTTTATGTGTTATCGCATACTTTACCTTAACTGGTAAAGATAAATGCTGTACGTCTTAAAATAAAGTACTATTTTTCTCCTAATAACAGGGATATTTTCATTGTTTACTATTTGGAAAATACTCCATACTAGGTGTTAATGTCATCTGAAATATGTTTTTAGGAATAACTCTTTGGAAAATAACTTTGCTAGTCATAACTTTCTTTCTTTTTCCTGAAAGTGGAAGGTAAAGGAGGAGGAAAAAACCTCAATCGAGATGCATTATTCTAGTTAAAGTTCTAGCAATGACTCAGGTTATTCTAATAACTAAATTAACTCAGCGAATCAAGCAATTTTGGAAATTGCAACTTTCTCAGGGCTCCAAGCCATGATACACTCAATGTTTCAACAACAGTATTTCTACTTTACTACTAGGACACAACTTGGGCTTTGGTAGAAATTTTCTCAACATATTTCAGTACATACGGAACATTTTAAATTATTTCTTATGTAATATTTCTAGCACTTTGACCAATTTATTTGTGATCAGGGCAATCTGGATATGAATACATTACAAACTACTATGAATAAAAGTCTGTTTGTTTTATGTATGATTATATAGAATTAACTAGCTGGTGTTCATCAGACATCAGCTAAGATCACCCCCACCCACCTCTTTGTAATTGACCTGAAACTGACTTGAATTCCCGAAACTTGATTAACTCAATTTCCTCAAATATCCCAAGCATTTTCACATGAGAGTACAATTTAGTGAATGAACATTTGGAATGACAAGGGAAGAGGAAGTATAAATCTCTATACTAAAAAGCAATCATTTAAAATATGATTATTATGTATTCATATATTAAAGAAAGGACTCTGACCTTCATCTCTTCTCCTATTTCAGCTTTCAATTCCAGTTCATGTTACATACAAAGAATTTGAACTATTTCCTTGTTTCACTATCTCCTTTCAGATCATGTCCTCAGAGTTTCATTCTCTACACCTAAAGCACTCAATCAATGTAATCCTAAGTAAAGCTGCTCCAAAGGCTCGGGTGACATCTGTTAAAATAACTACCCTTACATACACACACACACACACACACACACACACACACACACACAAACACGCGCGCGCGCGCAGTATCCTCGGTTTATGGTTCTTGGTGATTCTGAAACAGTGAGAGAAATAATGAATTTTGAACATAAGATGTAATTAAAAATAGTGCTTCTTAGAATTAACATACACATTACACACGTTACCTGTGAATTGTGAATCTTATTAAAATGCAGATTCTGAGTCCATAGTCCATTCTGGGGTGAGATCTGAGATTCTACATTTCTAACAAGCTTCCAGTTGATGCTAATGCTACCAGCACTTGGGCCACAGTTTGAGTACCTAGATTGTAGAACATTCAAATATTCATTGTAGGGTAGAAAAAAATTCTCACCCATTGTAAGGGTCATGGCTGTGGCATCTATAATACAAGACAGATTAATGAGAGAAAACCATACAAATCTGTTTAATATAAATTTTACACGACATGGGAGTCTTCAGAAATGAATACTCAAAGAAACAGGGCAAACTTTTTATAGATAGTTGTGCATAAGTATTATTGGGGGACAAAAGGGTACGATCTTGTAAAATTAAATCATTCAGACTTAAAGCTGTTGGAACTTTAAATTATTTTGAGCTTTGAGAGGAATGTGACTATGTGGCATGAGTCATGTAGCATGCAGCTGCAACTTCTACTTTTTCCTGCAAATCATTAGGAAAGGCCTTGTGGCACCAGAGATAAGACCCCCTTCAGATCATCACCCCTCCTCACAGAATGCTAAAGCAACCTACCTTGGAATGTAGCAAACTATAACCAACCAAACTGCTATACCATATATATTGACCTTGTATGGAAAATGTTGCAACTCTGTTAACTGCCTATATAAGTGAAACCTTAACTTTCCCACTTTGGAACGCTGACCCATTCTTTTATAGTCAGTGTTTCTGGGTGTCCATCCTCAAGCTTTGCACTCAAATAAACTCGAATAAGCACAGTTGATTATATTTTCTGAGTCATATTATTTAAGGTTGACAGTCTAATGGTAATAAACTAGAGGGAACTTAGCAAGGCATGTTTGTTCAGATTCTTTTTTGTGTTCCTTTGCCTTCAGAGATAGGGACATTCCTTTCCTCAGGTATAGAAAGGACACCTCTGGAATGAAGGTTTTATGGCCTACTTTAGAGGAAGGTCAGATAATTCTTTTATGGCCTGCTTCAGGGGAGAACGGTGAAAGAAAGCCAAGAGAAACCTTCCTGCTTCTGCTATTATTTCAAATGCCAAGGTGCCATTTTTGGGGGTAGCATATCCTGAACCCCGTAACTATCCATTTACTGGTATTGTTCTGGTCACCTAAGAATCACGTGGAGAAGAAGAGTGATTAGACATACAGCCAACTGGACCCTCTTCCTTGGAAGTTCTGATTAGGTACACCTTTTAGAAAACTCTTTGGATGAACCTAACGTTGGGAACCTCTGATTAAGGCTTCTGCTCCTCAAAGTGGGGTCCTCAAACAAGCCGGACTAGCAGCCTTCAGGAGCTTCATAGATATGTAGAATCTTGGGTCTTAACCCAGCCTTACTGAATAAGAATTTACATTTTAACAAGAATCTCCGTTGATTTGTATGTACATTGAAATTTGAGAAGCGCTACTCTAGAATATCATAACAATACAGTGGAAAGAGAGAACTGGGGATATTTTAAGTGCAAAACATTAACATCATCATAGCCAACACTCACTGGAGAGTCAGAAAGTACGTTATATTAGTATGCTGTTTTACAATTCAAATTGTTTTCAGACATGTTTTTCTTATTCAATTTAATCAGTATCTCTCAATATCCTTCTGGGAGACAGGTATTATTCTCCTACTTTTATAAATAAATCTTGGTTTATTACTGAGGTTAGAAACTAAGTTGTTTTTGTTTTTTGTTTGTTTGTTTGTTTTTGAAACAGGGTCTTGCTCTGTCACCCAGGCTGGAATTCAGGGACACGAACGTGGCTCACAGCAGCCTTGAACTCGTGGGCTCAAGTGATTCTTCCTCCTCAACCTCTCAAGTATCTAGGACCACAGGCACACAACACCATGCCTGGCTAATTTTTAAAATTTTCTGTAGAGATGGGGGTCTCATCATGTTGCCCAGGCTGGTCTTGAACTCCTGGTCTCAAGGGATCCACCCACGTCGGCCTCCCAATGTACTGGGATTACAGGTGTGAGCCACTGCACCTGGCTGAAACTAAGTTTTATTCAACTTGGTAAGACTCATACATTTTAAAAGCTAACATTTACTATCAAGGGAAGAATCCTTAAAACGGAACTTGAATCTTACTCAAAATAGTCTCTCGGTCAATCAGTTAGTATATGTTTATGTGAAGAGGAAATTTACTTGCTCATCCTGAACTTATTTAATGATGTTAAGCCTACTAAGTTGTAAATTAAGCAAGTTTGGAAATGGAAGCTGACATGCATTTGAGGCTAGATATATTGTTATAGTTTTTGTGATACAAATATATTTTTCATGCAGTTATATACAAAGCTTTATATTCAGTGCCATGTTTCTTCAGACAACTGTTGAGGCTTACTGTCAGCTGCACTATTCTTCACTTACTCAAAAAACATTTCTTAAATACCAACTATGAACTGTCTAGGTTTTGGAGGTACAATATTGAGTGAGAAACAGTTTTGACAATTGAGGAGTTTATAGGCCTAGACAGAGGACGACTAACTGCTGTGAGGAAGGGGATAGGAGAATCTTCAAAGACAAGGTTATATCTCCTAGAGGTCTGAAAAGACCAACTGAGAGCGTGACAGGAATAAACGAAGGAAGGGCATCCCAAATTGAGGGAATAACAGGGTCTGAGACATAAGGTTCTGAATGAACTTGAAATGTTTGGGGAGTGATGATTCATTTTGACCAGAGTTTCGGGGAAAAGGGGGGTGCCTGGATTAGGAGGATGAGGAGGTAGCTTGGGGACAAACTATGGAGCCTTGGATGATATTCTATAGATCCTGAACATTTACTTTCTGTATATATGTGTATATATATATATATATATATATATATATAAAGTGAGATCAACAAACAGATAATAATAGATAAGAGATTTTAAGCAGGGCAAGGAGTGACCTCATTAGGTTTAGGTTCAGGGTAAATAATTCTAGGCATAGCATGGAGGATGGCCTAGAATAGACAGAATATTCTGAAAGTACAGACGCTGGTTTGGAGGCTGTTGTTTAAGTGTTTAAGTAGAGGAGGTGCCTGATTTGGGAGATGTTTCTGAGACAGAATCAGGACTTGTTGCTTACTTGGGTGTGGGGAAAAGGAGAAGTTAAAAATACCTGATATTTTTATCTGGGGACTCTGGGCAGATGATGATACCACTAGCTGAGAGAGGACATTTAGAAAAAGAGCAAGGTGGGATGAAGCTAAAAAGGTTGGTCCTTAACATATTGTCATAAAAGTGCCCGTGAAGTAGACAGGGACAACAGGAACCAAAGAAGCTATGGTTTTCAGTCTCAAAATGTCTCCTTATTAATGGTCCTATTAATTGCAAATGGGGAAAAGGTACCTTTACAGTGGACAAATCTGGAGGACACCACCTTAACCAAATGATTCATCAATACCAAAGTGATGTTGTGTGCCTCCTGATACAATACGCTGATAAGGACACAACTTCACTTATAAAGTTCTCCTACCAAAAATTCATAACCTGATTCTAATCAAGAGAAAACATCAGACAACCCCAAATGGAAGTACCTGGCACAAAACAACTGTCCTGTATTATTCAAAACTGTCTAATAGGACACGGCACTGAAATGCAGTGGGTCCTGGACTGTGGGGCGTGGTGGTGAACTGAGGCGCTCCTCTTGCAGCCCACTGTCACCTCGTCAGCTCCATAGGCTGCAGAGTCCGGCCATGTCCTCGTGCCACAGGCCGCCCTGCACCCCCCCGCGCCCCCCCGCGCCCCCCCGCCACTTTCTGCGCCTGCGTGCATTTCAAGTGCTTGCGTGACATCCCCCCGCACCCCCCCCGCCACTTTCTGCGCCTGCGTGCATTTCAAGTGCTTGCGTGACATCCGGGCACTGCATGACTGGAGCGTCTGGCTCGCGGAGATCAACATGGCAGTTTTCCTGTGCACCCGCATAAAACCGTCCGCCTACTCAGATGTGGCTGAGGGAGTGGACTGCTGCTGGTCATCTCTATCAGAGGTATCTGAAAGCTCCCTATCTGAAGAAACATGGTTGGTAGCTTCAACCCTCACCCAACTCTATAAAATAAGAAGCCTCAAAAACTTGGCCGGGCGTGGTTCCTCACGCCGGTAATCCCGGCACTTGGGGAGGTTGAGGTGGGCAGATGGCTTGAGCCCAGGAGCTCAAGACCAGCCTGGGCAACATGGTGAAACCCCATCTCTACAAAAAATACAAAAATTAGACAGGCGTGGTGGTGTGTGCCTATAGTCCCAGCTACTGGGGAAGCCGAGATGGGAGGGCCACTTAAGCCCAGGAGGCAGAGGCCGCAGTGAGCCAAGATGGCGCTGATGCTCTACTTCAGCCTGGGAGACAGAGCGAGACTCCATCTCAAAAAAAAAAAAAAAAAAAAAAACGAAACAGAAACCTTTCTGTCACTTGAACGCATTTAGTTTACATCGTACATTAGAAAGGAGGGCAAGGTAGGTGCCAGTCACAGTATTAACTGCTCCAGCTTTTGGCAGGAGATGAACTATACTAGGAAGTTTCAAACTCAAAAGTATGCCACATTTTTCGTCAGACCTATGTAGTCTGAGAGCCTAAGAGAAAGCATATGAGACAGACACTAGAGATCCAATATATGGATTACCGACATGTTGAAAAGAAAACTGGAATAAAGGGAAAATAAGAAATATTTGAAGAAGAGAATAAAGTTTTCTTGAGCTCGAGAAAAATGTTTCATCTTCAGATGAAAAGGCCCTGTCATGGTCAAAGCAAAATTGACAAAAATTGCCCGGTACCTGAGTGGGAACAATAACGTTTTAAATTTGAAAGGAAAAGAATGCCATAGATTTCCAGAAAAAAGGAAAGATTATCCACAAAGTACATAATCAGACTTTGCCTGAGTGTCACATGATACAGGATATACGAAGCAACATATATATATTTTGAAAGAGACGGCTGTGTGTAATTCTATATCAAGTCACATGTGAAAGCCACAGAAATAATTCTTGCTTATATATGGGCTCTGAAAAAATTTATTCACAGATGTACTATACATGACCAAAAGATTAATCAAAATAAAGACTTTCTTTTCTTTTTTTTCTTTTTTTTTTTTTCTTTTTTTGAGATTGAATCTTGTTTTGTTGCCCAGGCTGGGGTACCGTGGTGCCATCTCGGCTCACTGCAACCTCTGCTTCCCTGGTTCAGGTGATCCTCCCTCCTCACCCTCCTAAGTAGCTGGGATTACAGGCGTGCACCACCACACCTGGCTAGTTTTTTTGTATTTTTAATAGAGATTGGGTTTCACCATGTTGGCCAGGCTGGTCTCGAACTCCTGACCTCAAGTGATCCGCCCTCCTCAGACTCTCGAAGTGTTAGGATTACAGGTGTGAGCCACTGCAGCTGGCAAAATAAAGACTTTGGAAGTAGAAGTATGTGGTACAAGTCCTGGTGGTGAGTGTAAAATTCAATTAAATTAGGACATCTGAATAATTACTGTAAATATGGTTTAAAAGCCCTGCAAATGTTAAAAATAATTTGAATATTAATCTATTTCATTTTTTAAAAATACTTTTTAATAAAAATAATTTAGTTCCCTTAAAAATTGTTGAGATTCATTAAAATAAATATGCTAGATAATAGTAATATTTATATCACTATTAAATTTTCTAAATTTGAGAATTGCACTGTGGTTACATTAGAGAATGGCATTGTTCTTAGAAAATACTGAAGTACCACTGGGGAAAGGGACACACCCATATACTGTATACATATATATACATATATACATACAGATATACACATTTACCCATATGTGTATATATATATGAGAGAGAGAGCAAATGTGGCAAAACATTAATAACTGGTGAAGCTGGATAAAGGGCATATGGGAGTTCTTTGTACTGTTCTTGCACATCTACACATTTGAAATGATTTCAAAATACAAGTTTAAAAAATTTTAAACTTTACAATTTTTAAAATATAGAGTCAAGACGTTATTAATATTCTGGTATGAGCCATTTTCATGCAGTGGTTGGGGCAGAAGCCAGTTTGATTGAGTTTGTCGAGTAAGAAATGAGAACGTAGAGAAAATAGGACATGACTCTTGGACCCCTGGGTGGAGTGGCTTCTGAAATACAAATATTTCACCTACTTTCACATTAGGTTTTCATAGTTTGAATTTTCTGAGGCAGATCACATTTATATGCAAACTCAATTATGGAAGTACCCCTATATATTCATTCTATGCTATAATGTAACAGGGCATAAATTCTTCAGGGCTGCCATCATTTTAAACTAGAAAGAGCGGTAGCATCCATGTGAGGAGAGAGAAGTACCAGCATCCCAAAGCTGCTCTTTGTTGCTGGTAATCACAATGCTGCATTCTCTCCAGTCCCTTCCCTTGGAAAGTATTTAGTTCCTGCAAGTCTAGGCAGGATTCTTGGGTCGAGACAAAAGTGACTGTTTTATTGGCTCTGGCTCTCAGTGGCTACCTCATTATACTCTTTACTTATGAAACTGAACGGAAATGATTGTGTAAACACATTACCTGTTATTACCGATAATCACACCCACCATGGCTGCTTCTTGGCTGCCCAGCTAAATGTTAAATTACTTGCTATGTCAGGGAGGGGAGAAAACCGGACCCAAAGAAAAACACGGGGAAGAGATAGGCTGTCAAGATAAAAATGTTTGGTGGGGCAGGGGAAAGTGGAAGATCTGGTCAAACGTTACAAAGTTGCAATGATGTAGGATGAATAAATCTAGAGATCTAATGTACAAATTGAAGACTGTAGTTAATAATATTGTATTGTATACTGGAAATTTGCTCAGAGAGTAGGTTTTTGATACTTTTACCACAGAAAAAAGACGGAAGGAAGGATAACCATGTGAGATGAGATGATGGATATGTCAATTTGCTTGGCTATAATAATCACTTCATTGTGTAGATGTATATCAAAACATGTTGTATACCTTAAATATATACAATTTAAAAAGGAACCTTTATGGGAACTTTAATTTGTGATTAAAGTGCTTTTAAAATATATGAGGGACATTTAAAATTACATATGTAATTCCAATATCTCAGCAACATTATGATTTTCATTTGTTTGGAGTTCCTTTATTCATATGAACATATTGTTTCTAAGTTGATGAGGCACTATATATTTTATGCATTTATATATGTTAAACATTATGCTACATTATTTTAGAAACACTTTCTCTTGATTTTATATTTGTATCATAAAAGTTTTAATAGCTGTGTTACGTCTCATTGTATTTATACATTATATATATATACTTTAATCATTTCCTTATTATTGGATGTCAATGCTGTTTATTTATTTATTTTTGAGATAGGGTCTTGTTCTGTCGCCCAGGCTGGAGTGCAGTGGCGTTATCTTGGCTCACAGCAACCTCTGCCTCCTGGGTTCAAGTGATTCCCCTGCCTCAGCCTTCCGAGTAGCTGTTACTACAGGTACGCACCACCATGCCTCGCTAATTTTTTTGTATTTTTAATAGAGACGGGGTTTCACCATGTTGGCCAGGCTGCAACGCTGTTTTTTTTTAAATGATTTTAAATAACTGCTGTAAATGTCTTCATACATGTGGATTTTTCTCCTTTTAAATTTTCATATTTCCTCAATTCCAAGATACATATTTTTTTCTTTTAATATGTATCAGGATACATTTTAGTATAAAGATATTAGTAATTTTTTCTTTAAAATATATTATTAAATTAATATTGTATCTTAAAATTGAAACTGCCTTAGAATTGGAGAAATACAATAGTTCTATAATATAAATTAGAAATAGAGGGTTTACTGAGTCAAACAAATTTATGATACTTGATAAGTGTATCAGAATGTCTTCTAAAAGGATTTTGTTGCTATTTTTTACAGTTTTGCTAGCTTGAGATTTGACTTCTTTTTGATTTTTAATAGTTTTAATAAACGCAAATGTTTTCTCATCATTATTTTAATTTACTTAGCTATTCTACTCTTCATATGTGAAGGAGTTTGGGTATAAAAAGAACAAAAGGCAACATTTGAAGACATCTCAGAAACCATTCAAAAGGAAAAACCTTGATGATTAGTCAGTAATTTTGGAGGGAAAAAGTGAAAGGTACTGGCTCTTCCCTTTCCATGTTGTTAGGTCTGTTCCCCTGCCATACGCAAAATTGGAAGGATTCTGTACAGTGATTTATTTATAGAATTACAGGGTTTTATAAGCCCTTAAGGATCATCTGGTTAACTCCCACATTTTATAGATGATTAAGTAAAAACCCAATGAGATTCAAATTGTTCAAGATTTTACAGCTAGTAAGTGCCAGGGCTGAAATTTGAAACCAAGGTTCCAGACCTTTCTACCAGGCACACTGCCTTTCTGGTGCAAATTCCATTTGAGAGCTAATGACATATCTACCAGTCCTTGACGTTTAGACTGGGCAGTATAATATTTAAGTTTAGGATATTACTAATTCTTACTTAATAAATTACTCAAGAAAGTGAATGATCTCAGATTTAAGATTATAGAACTAAACATGAAAAAAATTGCCTATATCTAAATATGTTGCACAAACGTAGACGTATATATCCGACATTTCCTGTAACAGGCTTATGCAAGAATTCTGATTAAGGTGCCTTAAGTCTAGTAATTCAGATTGTAGGTGATTAAGCCCTCTGGAAAACTGAATCACCGTGATCTTAAATTTTTCTCACTGTAGATTTAGTCTCATTGCTTATTAAATATTGCTCACCTTTTCCAAACCAAATTAACATCCAATTTTTCCATCTAAAAGATGTCATATTTTTATCCCATCATCTTTATTACTGTTATTTCCAGGCATTCATAATTTTATAAAATGTTCCTACAACTGTTAACCCAAGTCACAGTCTTTATCAGTCTATGACAACAAAATTAACTCATACTTGCATTTCAAACCCAAACTCGTATGGCACAAGTTCAAATCAGCAAAACTACTGGAAACTGGCCGTATTTAAATTGTTTCCCCAACAATTTCTAAGGTCCCAGGGTAATGCCTCATAAATACTCAGGACTGGTCACCATCTTTTACACCTGCTTCTTTGTCTTTCTTCTGGACAGGAATGTTGATGGACACCACTCTCCTCCCCTGGTGACAACTCTTGATGCATCCCTACTGTGACAAGGTTAGTCCCTCTCCAGATTTTCCATATCTAAACTGTGATGAAACCATACTCCTTAAAAAACATATCTTGAAGGTTCCAGAAAAAGGAAACTGAAAACAGAGAATAACTTCCAACAGCCAAGAGCAGTAGATCTTTAGAGCTAACAAGCCCAAACCCAAAATATGAAGCCCTGCCTAATTACCAGCAGTCCATCACGTGGCAGGGAGGCAGCTCAAAAGGAAACAGGTAACTCCAGGTATCTCCTTATCTTGGAGTTCAGGTTCCATGCCCCCCAGCTTAAAAAAAGGAGTCCTTCAAATTCTCTCAAGCCTAAGCTGGGCTTTATTTTCCTGCCTGGAATTTTCCTCTTCCCAGATGTGGGGTGGTAGGAATCCTGTAGTCTAGCCACTCAAAGATTGATCTGGGCTTCATAGCTTGAACAAGATAATCACAATCGTAGGCAGTATATTTTCCAAAGTCTGGCTTACACAGTCTTATAATTACCTCATTGTAAGAAAAAACTGTGCTTTAGAGGGAAACTATGCATTGTCCAGCATAGAGGACACCCATCTTTCTGGGTTATCTGATTCTATGGGAGCTATTTTACAATGCTGTAAATTATTGATTATTGATATCAATGCAAAATGCTTGTTTATAGACATCAGATTGTTTCCTATCCAGTAGAGGGATAGAGGTTCAATTGACTTCTCTCTCCTACTGTGAAAAAAGGCTCGTTTTGTCTCAATTTGCATATTCATTTCCCTATTTCTCATCTATAACTGTGTTTGTTCTTTGTATTCTCCTTTGAACTGGCTGATACCTCAGCGTTTTCCTTATTAATGAGTTAAATAAAATCTTGAACACGTGTTCATATGTGTTATATAGGAGAGTCATGATTTTACCATTAAAAAAATTATCTTTAACACCATGTATGAGACCCTAAAGTATGGTTAGTTTTTGCTACATCAAGTTTAGTTTAGTTCTTCATTACATTTTACCATCAGCATAAGGAAAAGAGATGATCAAGCATGTGCCCAACCCCACCATAATATTTGTTTTTGTTTGTTTGTTTGTTTGTTTTTGTTTTTGTTTTTTGTTTTTGAGATGGAGTCTCGCTTTGTCACCCAGGCTGGAGTGCAGTGGTACGATCTTGGCTCACTGCAACCTCCACCTCCTGGGTTCAAGCAATTCTCCTGCCTCACCCTCCTGAGTAGCTGAAATTACAGGTGTGCACCACCACACCTGACTAATTTTTTGTATTTTTAGTAGAGACGGGGTTTCACCATGTTGGCCAGGCTGATCTTGAACTCCTGACCTCAAGTGATCCACCCGCCTCGGCCTCCCAAAGTGCTGCGATTACATATAGATGTGAGCCACTGTGCCCAGCCCCACCATAATATTTGTATACACACAAAATACACATTCATGTACACACAGTTCTCCAAAATAAGCATAGAACAGTCTAAAATCCACATGTAAGAAGAAAAAACTCTCTAATGCAATAAAGGCACAGTTCTGGTGATCCATCAAGCAGAACATATGCTATTTCAGCTTGAAGGGTCTGCACTGAGTTACTTCCTCATATCCAGGAATTCTTCAAGAATGTAGAGTTTTCATCTGTATCAGGGTTTCTCGGCCCCAGCACAATTAACATTTTGGATCAGATAATTCTTTGTTGTAGGAGTCGTCCTGTGCATTGTAGGATGTTTAGCAGCATGTCTGGCCTCACTCCAGACATTGCCACATGTCACTGGGGTCAAAAGTAACCACCAGTTGAGAACCACTGATCTATTTTATTAAAGGTTCCCCAAGATAGCTCCTTTCAGAGTAAAGGGAGGATCTCCCTAAGGATAAGTGAATTTATTTAACCAATACATATCAGCATGGATGGGTCTCAGTGATAATGTCGAGTGAACACAGCTAAATTACAGAATGCTTTCTGCAGCATGATACTATTTGTATAAATCTTAAAATCACAAAAACTTGTATGTTGCTTATAGAAATATATATATGAAATAAAATCATAAAACCATCAACATGGAGAATACATATCAATTTAATGAGTATGGCTGCCTCTGAGAAAAGAGGGAAGGAATTAGATTAAGATTACAAAACAATATTCAACTGTGTTTATAATGTTTTGCTTTTTTAAGAGATCTAAAACAAATACTACCCAATGTTGTCATTTTTTCATTCCAGCAAATGCATATATGAATATTATGCTACTCTACAAACTTTACTGTAAATTTGAAAGAAATCCATAATAAGATATGAAAAATGCAGCTTAAATTTCAAATAATGTTCTTCAAAGCCGTTGTCATTAATTTTCCAATCATCTTTTGCTTTATATTATTCATACTGCTGCTTGCCTCCATGATTATAGGTAGCTGTGAGCTGGCAGTGTTTTATAGAGCAATTTCCTGGCTCCGACTCTAATGACAGCCATAATATTAATGCTCTCACCCTGTATTTGTGGAGTGCTTTATCTTTTCCCAGTACTCTTACATCTGTCTTCTCTTTTTATATTCACAATTTCTCTCACCATCAGTCTTCGTCTCAACTGTATTTGCCATGTATTAATAAAAGTATTAAAAAGCCTTCTACGAATGCTTTTTCTTTGGCAGCTACCTGAGTTCAGGTTTCCCTAGATACCAACCCTGAAAGATTGGATTCTAGTGCAAGCAGTTTATTTAGGAGGTGATCCTACAGAGCTCTGGTAGGGGAAATGTGACAAGGAAGAGAAGAAAGCTAATAAACAGCACATCTTAGAGCAGGTTACAGTTGAGGGCAATTGAAGCTCAGTCCTGCCCATTTGTTTACACATTATCTGTGTAGTTTTCATGTTATGGCAGAACTGAGTAGTGGTGACAGAGGCCTGAAAAGCCAAAAATATTTACTATATGGCCCTTTACAAGAAAAGTTTCTTGACCTCTTCTTTATACCATAAAACTAGAAGAAAAGTTATTATTTTCAAGCATTTTGAGAGCTTCCAGTATGAGCACATGTGTAAGAAGGAAAATGTCAATTATTACTCATAAAAATTCCATTTTTATGAAGTGTGTTAGGGGAAAAATTGAGTTAAGAAGAAAAACCTTTTTCCATAAAAACAAACATTGGCAATTTGCCCTAAAAAATATATATATAAAGGTTCAAGAAGAAATTTGAGGCGGTTACATCTCTACTGTGGAATGAATTGTAAACTCCTAGTGTAGACATAGAAAATAGTAATCATTTATTGTGCCAAACTCCAACTAATTAAAAATTACGGTGATAAAGATCTAAGACTATGTTCAGGCTTAGTGAAAGAGAGGGCCATAATTGGTAAGCAGTGTCTGAAGTGAGCACAGGAAGGAATAGTGGTGGCCAATGTTGAATGCAAAAAATAAGCACAGCTACCTGCCATGAGATGGGAGGAGAAAAAACCAAGAGAGGAAAGGGGACACTTAGGCTTCCTGCGATCTCAGAAACCTAACAAGGGCTGATAAAAGGCTGTTTATACACCAAGCAGGAAAAAACCCTATTATTAACATCTTGCATTAGTGTGGTACATCTGTTACAATTAATGAACCAATATTGTACATTATTATTAAATAAAATCTGTAGTTTACCTTAAGTTTCACTCTTTGTGTTGTACAGTTCTATGGGTTTTGATAAATGCATAACATCATATATCCATCATTATAGTATTATATGGAATAGTTTCACCACACTAAAATTTTCCTGTACTTCACCTATTTATAGCTTTCCTTCCACCCACCCCCATCCCAATCCCCTGGCAACCACTGAACTTTTGACTGTCTCCATAATTTTGCCTATTCCAGAATGTCATATAGTTGGAATCATACAGTAGGTAGCCTTTTCAGACTGGCTTTTTTTTCACTTAGGAATATGCTTTTAAGTTTCCTTTGTGTCTTCTTACATCTTGGTAGCTCTTTTTTTTTTCATCACTGAATAATTATCCATTGTATGGATGTACTAAATTTTGTTTATTCACCTATTGAAAGACATCTTGTTGTTTCCAGTTTTGGGCAGTTAAAACTATCTATTTCTTTTTGTGTGTATTTTGGTAGCTTATATCTTTCAGGGAATTTGTGTATTTCATCTAAGTTATCAAATTTGTGGGCATAGAGTTATTTATAATATTCCTTTATTATCCTTTTAGTGTCTATGAGATCAGCAGTGATGGCCCCTCTTTCATTTCTGATGTTAGTAATTTGTGTCTTCTTTTTGTCTTGATTAGTCAAGCTAGATGTTTATCAATTTTATTGATCTTTTCTAAGAAGCAGCTTTTGATTTTGTTGATATTCTTTATTGTTTTCCTGTTTTCAGTTTCATTGATTTGTGCTGTAATTTCTGTTACTTCTTGTTTTCTGCTTGCTTTAGGTTTATATTGCTCTTCTCTAGTTTCCTAAGGTGGAAACTTAGATTGCTGTTTAGATCTTTTCTCTTTTCTAATAATATGCATTCACGGCTATAAATTTCTCTCTAACCACTACTTTTGCTGCATTCAACAAGTTTTGAAAAGTTGTATTTTCATTTTCATTTAGTTCAAAATATTTTAAAATTTTTCTTGATACTTGACACATATGTTTAGAAGTATGCTTAATATTCAAATATTTTGAAAATTTTCAGCTATCTTTCTATTATTGATTTCCAACTTAATTCCACTGTGACCTGAGAGCAAACTTTGTATGATATCTTTTTTAAGTTTGTTAGGATGTTTTATGGCCCAGAATGCACGTTCTGAATGTTGGAAGCTGAATGTTCCATGTGAGCTTGAGAAGAATTTGTATTCTGCTTTGTTGGAGGAAGTATTCTAAATCTACGGATGTCAGTTAGATCCAGTTAATTGATGGTGTTCTTCAGTTCAACAATGCCTTACTGATTTTCTGCCTGCTGTATCTGTCAATTACTGATAGAGAAGTTTTGAAGTTTCCGGCTATAATAATAGATTTGTCTATTTCTCCTTGAAGTTCTATCAGTTTTGCCTCACATACTTTGATGATCTGTTGTTAGGTACATACATGTTGAGGATTGCTATGTCTTCTTGGAGAATTGGCCCCTGTATAATTGTATCATACCCTTCCTTATCCCTGATAATTTTCTGGTCTGCTTTGTCTGAAATTGGTATTGCTACTATAGCTTTCATTTGATTTGTGTTATCATGGTATATCTTTCTCTATCCCTTTACTTTTAATGTAGCTGTGTCTTTATATATATAGTGGGCTTCATTAAATATAATAGGAATTATATAGTTGGGTCTTGTTTTTTCTATACACTCTGACAGTCTCTGCCTTTTAATTGGTGATTTAAACTATTATTCACAGTGAGTAGTAATATAGTTGGATTAGTATCTACAATGTTTGTAACCGTTTTCTATTTGTTGCACTTTTTCTTTGTTTCATTTTTATCACCCCCACCCCCCGCCCCCATTTTCCTGCCTTCTCTGGTTTTAACTGAGCATTTTATATGAACCCATTTTCTCTCTTCTCTTAGCACATCAATGATATTTCTTTGAAAAAATGTTTTAGTGTTTGTCTTAGAGTTTGCAATATATATTTACAACTAATCTAAGTACACTTTCAAATAATACTATAATGCTTCACGGGTAATGCAGATACCTTATAACAAAGCATTTCCAATTACTTTCTTCCATTCCTTGTACCATTGCTGTCATTCATTTCACTCATCCATAAGCTATAACTACCCAATACATTGTTGCTATTACTCTTACTTTGAACAGTTATTTATTAAATCAATTTAAAATATGAAAAATGAAAGATCTTGTTTAAATCTTGTTGATTCCCTGCTAATGTTCTTCCTTCCTTTCTTTCTTTCAGATCAGATCTGAATTTCTGACCTATATCAATTTCCTTCTCTCTGAGGAACTTATTTGAGTATTTCGTGCAAGGCAAGTCTACTGGCAACAAATTACCTCAGTTTTTGTCTGAGAAAGTCTTTTTTTCCTTCTTCACTTTAGAAGGATAACTTCACTGGATGAAGAATTTTAAGCTTGTGTTTTTCTTTATTTTTCTTTCAACACTTTCAATATTTCACTTTATTCTCTTCTTGCTTGCATGGTCCCCGATGAGAAGTCTGATGTAATTCTTATCCTTGTTGCTTTATAGGTAATGCTTCCCCCAACTCTCTCATTTCTTTCAAGATTTTCTCTTAGCTTTTGATTTTCTGCAGTTTGAATGTGAAATGCCTAGATGTCGATTTTTTGGATTTGTCTTGCTTGGTGTTGTCTAACCTTCCTGGATCTGTGTTTTGATGTGTTTCAATAATTTCAGAAAATTCTGAGCTATTATTACTTCAAATATTTCTTCTGTTCTTCTTTCTCTTTCTTTTCCTTTTAGTATTCCCATTATGTATATGTTACACCTTTTGTAATGATTATACACTTCTTGGATATTTCGTTATTTTTCCCATTCTTTTTTTCTCTTTGCCTTCCAGTTTGGAAAGTTTCTGTTGACCTATCACCAAGCTCATTAATTCTTTCCCCAGACATTTCCAACCTGCTGATGAGCCTTTAAATACATTCTTCATTTCTTCATTTCTGTCACAATGTTTTTTTATTTCTAGCATTTCCTTTTGATTCTTTCTTAGGGTTTTCATCTCTGTGCTTACATTACCCACCTGTGCCTTCATGTTGTCTATTGTTTCCACTAGGGCTTCGTATTAGTCTGTTCTCACACTGCTATTAAAGACATATCTGAGACTGGGTAATTTATAAAGGCAAGAGATTAATGGACTCACAGTTCCACATGGCTGGGGAGGCCTCACAATCACGGCAGAAGACAAAGGAAGACCAAAGGGACTTCTTACATGGTGGCAGGCAAGAGAGGGAGCTTGTGCAGGGGAACTCCTCTTTATAAAACCATCAGATCTCATGAGACTTAGTCACTATCACAAGAACAGCATGGGAAAGGCCCGCCCCCATGATTCAGTTACCTCCCACTGGGTCCCTCCTATGACACATGGGAATTGTGGGAGCTACAATTCAAGATTACATTTGGGTGGGGACACAGCCAAACCATATCAGGCTTTTTCTGTTTTGACTACCTGGAGTACTACAATTCAATTCTGGCACTAATGACCTAGAGTTAGCACCAAATTCCACAAATTAATGGCTCAGTCCTCCACAAGACTGCTTCTTATTCCAGATGCCAGCCACAAGTGGAGTCCCCAGTCCCCAGGCTCCCTGCACCTCTGACTGATTATAAATTTGGGAGTTCCCATAACTACCTCAGTTTTGATAATTCGATATGGCTCAGAACTCACTGAAAGTAGACTATGTGTAAAACTCTACATGTAGAGTTTTATTATAAAGTATACACTTAGGACAAGATCTGGAAGGGCTCTGGATGCAAAATTTTCATACTCTCTTCCCAAGGAATCTGAGTGCATCATCCTCCCTGTACACCAGTATGTTCACCAACCAGAAAACTCCACTGAGTTTCAGTGTACACATTTTTTATGTGGAATATGATTACACAGGCATGATTGGATATGCAATTGGCCACATAATTGAGCTCAGTCTCTAGCCCTCTTTTCCATGCAGGTAAAACTGGCCCAAAGTTCCAGCCTTCTAATCGTGTGTTTGGTCTTTCTGGTGTCCATCTCCCATCCTGAAGCTAACTAGGAGTCTGTCATGAGTTACCTCATTAGCATAACAAATAATTTCTATCTCTCAGGAAATTCCCAGGATGTTTGAAGTTCTTTGTCAGGAACTAAGATCAAAGGCCAGATAAACTTTTTTTTTTTTTTTTTTAAAGACAAGGTCTTGCTCTGTTGCCCAGGCTGGAGCACCGTAAGGCAATCTTGGCTCACTGCAACCTCCACCTCTTGGGCTCAAGCGATCCTCCCACCTCAGCCTCCCAAGTAGCTGGGACTATGGGTACATACCACCTTGCCTGGCTAATTGTTTGATTTTTTGTAGAGATGTGATCTCACTATGTTGCCCAGGCTGATCTCAAACTGCTGGGCCCAAGTGATCCTCCCGTCTCAGCCTCCCAAAGTGCTGGGATTACAGGTCTGAGCTACCATACCTGGCCAAATTCTTTATTATACCACAGAGCCCTTAATATATCAATAATAGTTGTTTAAGTTTCTTATCTGATAATTCCAAAATCTGAATATATCTGAGTCAGATACTGATGCTTGCTTTGTCTCTTCAGACTTTATTTTTTCCTTCCCTTAGCATATCTCATAATTTTTTTCTGTTGGAAGTGATCATGCTATATCTAGTAATAGAAACTGAGTTAATTGGGCTTTTAATATAAGGCTTTATGTTGATCTGGCTAGGAGCTAGGCTACGTTTAATGTTAATTGTAACGCATATATGCCAGAGGCTCCAGTTTTCTATAGTTTCCTTTTATTCCCTGCTTCCATGGTGCCTTTAGGTTCCGCTAAGAACTCTTTCTTAAATAGATTACGTCTTTCAGTTCTCTCAGTTGTAATCCACCGTTTTTTTACTGGAGCCTTGCTGATGTGGTGGTAAGACTTTAAGGAGGGTAAGCACTCTATAATCTTATAATTAAATCTCAGCTATTTTTAGTGGGCCTGAGTCCCTGAGCTGTGACATTCAGCATTTCTCAGCCTTTTTTTTCCTTATCATTATGTGAGACACGAAGGCTAGGGGGAACTAGCATTGTCTAGTTGCCCTTCTTCTTGGTCACATAAGACTCTGGTAATTTCCCTTGATGTAACTCTTGTGACAGAGAACAGAAAACTCTGGGCTTATTTCAAAATGGCACTTCTTCTTTCCTCTTGCTCAAAGCAAAGGAGATTTGTCTCCCATATGATTTTTACTCTTATGGGGCTCCTAGTGGCACAGAAAACCCTGGGCTTATTTCAAAATGGCACTTCTTCTTTCCTCTTGCTCAAAGCAGAGGAGATTTCTCTCCCATATGATTTTTACTTTCGGTGGGGCACCTAGTGGTAAATCCCACAAAAGTGTGGAGCTTCCTAAAACTGGGCCATCAGGAGTTTTTAAATCTCAAGTTAGTCTGCACTCAGCCTTCAGCAGTTTATCAATTACCATTTAAGTGTTCCTACCAGTTACTGGTTCCAGAAGCCTCTGCTCTTGGTAAACTGTAATTCTTTGTATTTACACATCTCTACAGTTTTGGGGGTGGCAGTTTGCCCTGTGACCTCAATTCTCTGGTAGATTTAAGAAAAGTTGTTGATTGTTAGCTTGTTCAGCATTTTTCTTGCTGTGAGAACAGGAATGTTGACTTCTAAGCTCTTTGCATATCAGAGCTAATCAGGAAGCATGACCGGTATACAACTAGAGGAAGGGTGCTTAAATCTAAGTGGAATTAGCCTATCTATGGTTCATGGCAATCATGCATATTGATTACAGCCAGACGCCACTGATTCTTTCATCAAACCAACTTTTCTCCTAGAATTGCATTCTATGAATATAATATTTTGTTGAGTAGTTAGTCAAATTAAATGCAGTTTTCAAAAGGGGAATCTTTTAGGGAGATATGGCCTTATGGTTTGAACCAGATTTCATTTCCACTGTATCAAATCCCAGTGGCCTTCTCAGTGGCAGAATGGGTTTTTCACAAATTCTCTGTATTGTAGTTGTTAATTCTTAAGTAAAGTAACTCTGGAATGTGCTTTCTTTGGCTTATAAGTAGACCTCCTCTCCACCTTATGAGTTTCCAACTCTTTGCCCTTGAATTAGACACATGTTGGTAGATTGTAGCCTAAGGCCTACTACTTACTAGTACTTGATAAAATCTTCTCCCTAGGATGAATGGGCAGTGGACTAAAGACAAGAATTACAACTTTTTAATCAAAGTGGCTGAATCCATAACTATATCTTTCTAAATTAAGCCTGTTTTGTTATGAACTGTCTCTAGATTACCATTAGCAATGTTGTTGGTCGGATGATTTGGAGAAAATGAAAGAACATCATGATTTTTATTTTCCTTCTTTCTATAATCCAATGATTCTCAACTAGGGGCAGTTTTACTCCTGCAGGGACATTTGGCAATGTCTGGAGACGTTTCTAATTGTCACACCTAGAGAAGTGATTGCTATTGGTGTCTTGTGGGTAGAGGCCAGGGATGCTGCTAAACATCCTACAACACACAGGACAGTTCCCATAACAAATAATTATCCACAAAAAGTTATCTGGCCCAAATTGTCAGTAGGGCGGAGGTAAAGAAGCCCTGCTAGAATCTGAGAAATTAGCCACCATGGCTTCTTTGTCTATACTAGGATCCTAAAGATCTCATTATTTTTATCTCTTTATTAATTTCTGTATTACAAAGATAATATTTTTCTCTGGACTATTTTCTCATTTGACCAAGGAAGTTAGTCTTGGAATCCTGCCCCACGAAGCTTACAGGTCAGTAATTCACAGTATAATCTCCTTATTGGAGTGGAGGCCTATGGGTGCTGGAGTCCTAAGAGTTAAACACCTTTGCACAATTATAGTGGTTTAGTGTGCAGCTTATACAAACAAAAATATTATCTGTACCTTTAATTTGTAGTTTCCTTGTGTTATAGTAATAATACAGAGCAAATCTTGTGTTATAGTAATAATACAAAGAAACTACAAATTAAAGGTACAGATAAAATTTCGAAAATAGCCTTAGTGGAAGAATGAGAACCAAGCTCTTTTGACCTGTTGAGCTTCACATATGGTTTACAGATGCTCTCCAATTTCATCCTCATAACAGCCTCACCAGACAATCTTGTTCTTGTCAGACAAAGAGTCAAGAAGAGAACAGAATGATACTTTGAAGATAATTTTATCCTGTTCCTGTTAATTAGTCAAATATGTGCCTTGTATAAATTTACAACTTACACAGCGTCTACAGAGAAATATAAAAATCACTCATTATTATACTCTCAGAGATAACTGTTTAGTGTATTTCTTTGCTACTTATTTTTTTTTTGCATGTAAATGCATTTTAAGTGTAATTGCATTTATTCTGTGTACATCACCTTTATCTTTTCCCCTCCCCTCAGTATCATTTCATGGGCATTTTAGGAGGTCAGTTGATATTTTCTTTCTTTTTCAGATTTGATAAGCTAATTTTTTTTATTTCAATAGATTTTTGGGGAACAGGTGGTGGTTGGGTTACATGAGTAAGTTCTTTAGTGGTGATTTCTGAGATTTTGGTGTACCCATTACCCAAGCAGCATACACTTGAGTTGATATTTGATATTTTCTAAAGTATGATATTTAATGATTTTAAATACTTCATCATATGACTACTTCATATGTTTAATCATTCCCCTTGATAAGTGGCAACATTTTTCTGTATGAAAGAAACAAACCAAAAAACAAACAAACAAACAAAACAGAGAAGAAAAGTGCCTGAAGCACACTGGTATATTGAAACAGCAAAATTCAACAACAAAAACAAAAAATACCACCAGCTATATGAAAAACAAACCACAAATCTTTGACTTCTCATCATACCTAACAATACTGGGCTTTGTAAATATCCGTTAAATTATATACAAATCCGTGTACGCAGATAATGATATTTTTCACTGTGCCCAGAAAATTTGATTGTTGTAGTGTCTGCTTCTAAAAACGGGTAAGATATAATAGTGTTTCATATTTAAGATAAATAGTATAGCTTAGTAGTGGAAGCCTGTTTCGGGGGGTGGTTGATTTTTTTTTTTAGGTTCAAAAATAGTAATTTTAGTATCCCAGGAGTTCCAAGCTTATATAAAATAAAATAATTGTTATTAATATCTATACTGGTATATATAGGATATATGTTATATAATACAGTTCATCCTTGAACAACATGAGTGTTAGGAATACCGGCCCCCACACAGCCGAAAATGTGTGTAACTTTTGACTCCCTCCAAATTTACCTACTAAAAGCCTACTGGTGACCGGAAGCCTAACTGGTAACATAAACAGTTGGTTAACGCATATTTTGCATGTTATATGTATTATACACTGTAGTCTTACAATAAAGTAAGCTAGAGAAAAGAAAATCATAAGGAAGAAAGAATATATTTACCATTAAGTGGAAGTGGCTCATGATAAAGGTCTTCATCCTCACTGTCTTTGTGTTAAGTAGACAAAGGAGGAGGAGGAAGAGGATAGGTTGATCTCGCTGCCTTGGGGTGGCAGAGGCAGAAGGAAATCTGCATAAAAGTGGACCTGCACAGCAACCCTTGTTCTTCAAGGGTCCACTGCATATATCATATATAAAAATAACAGTTACATAGTATTGCAATTATATCCAGACATAATAGGCAAGACATGAGACATAAAATATAGAATTAATTTTGGAAGTCATCTAAATCATGCTCTGAGGGAAGGTACAAGGCTACTAAAGGCAAAGAGCCTTGCTAAGTCAGGGTGTGGCATAACTGAAAGCCCAAATGCCAGACTTTGTCCTCTGCTTAGCCTAAACCAGAGGTCAGATGTCTCTTGTCGCCAGATGTTGATAAACACAGAGAGGTAAGCTCTTCAGTTACCCTATCACCACCTTACTAATACATATGACTGCAAAACGTTGCCTTCATGTAAGTCAGAATATGAAGGAAAAGCCCCTAATGAATATGATTTCATGAACTTTGGACATAAAAACTCACTTGGTAGTACATTATAATTTTAAATCACATTTAATTCCCTGCCAGCCAGGAAATAATTCCATGGGAAGTCAATCAATGAAAGTTAACAAAATCATTACTAGAAAAAAAGGTAATATTTTTCATTTTCAAAAAGTAAAGGGTTGGGTTGAATGAGAAGTAGATATAGGAGACAGAGCAGCATTCTCAGGTGTTGTTCATGCCCCTGCCATTGTTTTAATTATGGCCTCAATATTCTTTCTCATGGCTGATGGTTGACTTTGGTGAGTAGAAGTAGGTAGTAGCTAAGAATAATCATGAAAAAATAGAACATTTTCTTTAAAAAGGAAAAATTGCCTAATGATATATCAGTTTTGTATCTACAATCACCATAGAACATTTAGGTTATTTGTACTCTATTATCAGGAAAGATTGGGGAAAAGTGGAGTGGCAAAGAGAAATAAAGAAGTATTAATTGGAAACCACCTCAAACATGAGAAAAATAGCCTTTATTTATTTCATTCTGCATCTGCTAGTCTCTGGGCAATCTAAAAAAACAGTCTTCAGAATTATAGCCACATGGTGATTTTTTTCCTCTCCAGAATTACAAGAAAATTGGCTCCCACACTGTGGAACTAAAAAGAGGGGCTATAGGGTGCTGCTTCTCTCTCTTGACATTTTACTTGGTTTTCAAAGGAATTCGTGACTAAGAATCTCATGGAATCTAAATGCGGTCACTGATGGAAATTTAGGTTTCCACAAAGAGTGCAGGAAGAAATTTACATGGCAAAAAAAAAGAAAAGATTTGCTCTGGCAAATGGGTGAGGTAAGGATGTGTGTGTGTGTGTGTGTGTGTGTGTGGTGTATATATGTACACGTCACATACATATATCAGTGAGTATGTATATCTCAATGATTTTCATTTGCTAGGTCTAGTAATACATCTAATTTTTAAAATAACGAGTTTTTTTCCAGCAGTTGTATAAAAATAATTACTTAATTATTGTTTTTCTTTTTCAGCAAGTTTATGAACTTTGGACATATTGAGATTATGTAAGTCCTTGGACAGCATTAATATAATATTATCTAATTTGTAATAAAAGTGTATACCCATTTTATTCATTAAGTATAAATATTTGGAAAGACGATAGATTTTAAGCCAGGTATGGAGTGAACTGACACATTCATCCACAAAAGTCAGATCAAGTTAATGAAAAAAGAGAAGATTGAGGTGTTACTATTCAGTAGTACTTCTTTTTATTTATTACTTTATTCATCAGCACATCCAGGAGAGCTTAATAACTCGCTCTCCTAGAATAAAAATCCTAGTTGGTACTCCCACCATGGCCAATTTTAAGGACAAGGAACACTAAGTTACAAGGAAATGACAATAATCAGTTCTCATTAGATGGTAAGGACAGGTGTGAACACTGTGTTACAGCTAACCAGGAGAAAAAGGAATGTTACGGAACTTAAACTGCTTAGAATGTTGATATAATAAAGGGGGATAGGGAAACAGCAAGCACTGAGGCTGGTGAGCCAGGCAGAAGTCAGAGTGGGAGGAGCCTTGAGGTCTCTCCAGGAGATTCAGGGACCATAGGATTTGGTAGTGATTCAGGTATGGGATGATCATGGCCCTCATCATTGTAGTGACCACAGTATTTTGCAGGAATCCAAAAAACAGATGATAGACATGTCCGTAACCATGATAGTGCCCATGGGATTTTGTAGCTATAGAGTGAAAAGATGACAGTGGCCATATCCAGGGTAATGTCTACGGGAATTTGTGAATATCCAGGTAAGAAATGAGTGTTTCTACTTAGGAATTGAACATGGGATACTGAAGTTATAAAGGTAGGAAATGATGATAAACCTAACAGTGGGGGTGAGCATGGTGTTTTCTAGATATCCAGATAAGAGAGGATGATGGCCCTAACTCGAGTACCAAAATTGGATTTCCTCAGGTAAGCACATAGGAGCTGAAGATGTTTCTTACCATGTTAGTGAACATGGCATTTTGTGCTATTCCAGACATGATGGCGAACCTAACCACAAAATGACCATGAGATTGTCAGGGGTCTAGTAAAGACATGATGGTGCCCTTAACTGTGAAGGTTATGACGAAATTTGTAGGTCAGTAATTAAGAGATGATGCTGATAATAACCACAGTAAGGAGCAGGGGATTTTGCAAGTAACCAGGTAAGAGATGATGGTATCTCTAAAAATATGGTGACCATGGAATTTTGAGGATATCCAATCAAGGAATAATGTGTTACTAGTAATGGTAGTACCAAGGGATTTTACAGTTACCCTGGAAAGAAATGATGTGTCCCTAGCAATGGCATTTAATCTGGGTAATTTGTAGGTCTTCATGTATGGTAGGCTTCTCTAAATCTGGTAGATCTCACGGGCTTCTGTAGGCATCCACATGAGAGATGACGTGACACAAATTGCAACCAATTGCCACCATTGTAACCTAGGTGTTTTATAAGTATCCAGCTTAAAGCTGTAGCTTTATTTATTCCTTGGATGTAAGACTTTCATGTTATCTATTGTTTTCTTTCTTTTTGAAACAGAGTCTGGCTGAGGTAAGTGCTGATGTGGGCCTAAACCACAGCCTGCACCGTGGGACTGTCACAGAGACACAGTTGAGTGATGATGTGTCCCTACAGGCCTTACCACCATTATTTCCTTCATACTTATTCAGGTGAGAAATGATTGAGTCTTGTCTTGGTAAGTGATGATGGTGATGATGGTGTAGGCCTCCCTGTTGTTCCCGATTTCGCTTCAGGTGTCCCTGACATATTCGAAACCGTGAGTTTTCCCTCTGCATATTTCAGAGACAATGCCTAACCCCGTGTTCACAGTGGAACTTTGAATACTTGGTAATTATCCGGTGTTCCTTCCCACAGCAGTGACCATGGACATTTTGCAGGTGTCCTGTAGAGAGAAATGCTGTCTTCTGGGACCACCGCCCTGAGCTTGGGGGCCCCCACTAGCATTCAGGTAAGAGTCCTTCAGTGATGGATGTGAGCATCGTGATTTGCAGGTGTCCTGGTAGAACACCTTGTGTGTTTCTGAGGCATATATCTCAGTATATGTTTTCCAGGTTCCCGGGAGAAAATCCTGAAGAACGGGGGTCATGAGCAGGGGACGTGTCTGCTATCTGGGTAAGTGATTGTGTGCACCATAAACTTACCACGGACAACCTGATCTTCACGTTTGTAGGTCAGTGAGGTTCCTTTCCCTGAACAGTTTACCATGTGATGCGTTTATGGGTATTCCGGTAAGAAAGGGTAGTGGCTCCTCGTTCTCCTTGCCATGTAATCCTATTGTTTTCTGTCTTGGAGAGAACGTATGAGGTAAGTACCCTGTGAGTGCTGATGGATTGGCACGTAACCAGGGAACTCCAGTGGCACTGTGCATCACAGGAGTAACTAAGGTGGATGTGCAGAGAAGACGGCCAGAGAAAATGAAGTGTCCTATGATGTCCTACCCCTTGGAGCAACCACAAGCATCCAGGTAGATTTTTGGCTCCCACAATGATGTTAGTGAGCAGGTGGTTTTCTGGGTCCTGGTGGAAAAGCTGTGTCTGTAGGCAGATTGTAACACATGTGGTTTCACATTCCCTTCCAGAAGTCAAGGGAACCCTCATTATGCTCGAGCAGGGGCACTCTGCCCATATCCAGAGAGGAGACAGTATGGGCGTAAGCAGGCCATGGACGATCCAGTCTTCCGATACACAGGTAATCACCGATGTCATTCCTGCTATTTTTCCTGTCCTGCCATGGGTTTTCTCAGCTCATTTTCTGTTTTTTATTTTCTGCAGTTATTCAGTTAAGAAACAATGCTCTGCCAACCAAGGCTAGTAAGCATTAGTCCTTGCTGTGTTCGACTTTAGGATAATGTGCATTGAACCTGAGTCCGTGTTGACTGTGGTAGATGCGGGTGTCCAGGTGAATTATCCTACTCTACCAGACCACAGGATGGAATGATAGTTCTGACACATCCTCAGTCCAGAGCCGATAGTGGCGCCAACAGTGGGGTGGACGTTGGAGTTCTGCCAGGATCTAGGTAAGGTTGATGGTTCCCGGATGATGGCAGTGACCAGCCTGTGCGGTGCGTGTCTTTTTCGTCTTTCAGGTATGCCAAGTGGCATCCCGGAAAACACCTGTCAGATGCGTTTCTTCTGCTGCTGCTAGTCATGAGATCAAGGTGGGTCTGAGAATGGCCATTCAGAGGCCCTGGATAGTAACCAGGTAATGGATGACACCAGTCCTATGCCAATACAGACCACTTGAACTTCAGATTTCCTGGACAAAGAGGGCACTGTCCTTGACACAGTGTTTTTCCCATGGTTTCCTGCAGGAGTCCCGTAAAGTTCTCTTCCTGTAGAGAGGTAGGAGATGTTGTGGCATTACCTCATGAAAGACATTCTGAATTTCCTGCATGTAGATAGTTAATGATGGTTTAAGTCTGGTAGAGTAACCTTGTGTTTGGCATATGTGTCATTGAGAAAAAATAATTAGTGATTCCCAATGCCAGTAAGCATGAGATTTTACTGTTTGCTTATTCAGAGGTAAGGGCTTTTATTTTTTTTTTTCGGTAAATCTGACCCTCCACGTGAGAAACAGATATGCCAGTGCCCAGGTAGTTGATCATATTGTCTGTCACCCCGATGTGGACTGTGCTGTTTCTCCAGGTATCCCTCGGAGGCTCTGGCTTAGATATTTTCAGTTATCTGGGTAACCTGGATGAGTTGCGAAACGATACCAATGAACAAGAGTATTTGTGGGTGTCCTCGTAGCATAGGTTGTGTACCAAGCAGAGTTTCCCCAATATGTCTTTCAGATGAATGTCAGGGCATCACAGCAGGCCTTTTGAAGCTAGGTAACGTGGGGCATTGCTGGCTGAGGTAAGTGCTGACACAGGCCTAAACCACAGCCCGCAGCATCGTACTGTCACAGAGGCTTATTTCAATGATGATGTGCCCCTACACATCTTCCCGCCATGATTTCTTTTCCATGTATTCAGATGAGAAATGATTCCGTTTTCACCACTCCCAGATAGGCCGGGTTTTCCCATTTTATAAAAGTATATGCTGAACCCTGTGAGTGTTGAGGGATTGCAGGGAGCCAGGTATTTATCGCTGTGTTCCCCACTTCTGTGCTGCCGCTCCGATTTCTAGAGATGTGCAGTTGAGAAACAGTAGTTTTCTGCTGTCAGGGTCGACCTGAGATTACTGCAACTATACACATCGAGTGGGTGTGTCCCATAAAGATGGAAATAAACATGGGACTTTGTGGGAGTCTTTGCAGAAAACCCCCTGTCTTTTTACACATATGTATTGGTGCCTCTTTCAGATTCCTGCTATGACATCACAGTGAATCCAACATGGGTCCCTATCAGGAAGCAGGGCTGCTCTGCAGGTCAAGGCTGCATGAGGACCCAAAGCAACACATGGGCCACTTGAAGTTCAGGTGTATAGGTAAGTGAGGATGGTGTCCATACTTCCTGTTGTTCCCATGATTTCACCTCAGGTGTCCTGGTCAGAAATGACAAATGTCCCTGGCACACTAGAAACCGTGAGATTTCCCTCTGCATATTTCAGAGACAATGTCTAACCCAGTGAGCACAGTGGGACTGCAAATACCAGGTAATGATCTTGGGGTTCCCAGCCACAGCGATTACGCTGGACATTTTGCAGGTGTCTTGTAGAGAGAAATGCTGTTTTCTGGGCCTGCAGCCCTGAGCTTAGGGGGTCCCACCAGCATCCAAGTAAGAGTCCTTCAACGATGGATGCGAGCATTGTGATTTGCATGTGTCCTGTTAGAACACTTTGTGTGTTTCTGAGGCATATATCTCAGTGTAGGTTTTCCAGGGTCCCACAAGGAAATCCCGATAAACAGGAGTCAGGATCAGGGAACACGTCTGCTATCTGGGTAAGTGATGGTGTTCATGGTAAACTCACCACACACCAGGCGATCTCCACATACCTAGGTAAGCAAGGTTCCTTTGCCTGAAGGGTTTATCATGTGATGGGTTAACAGGTATTTTGGTAAGAAAGGGTAGCGGCTCTCCGTTCTCCTCGCCATGTGATCCTATTGATTTCTACCCTGGAAAGAATGTATGATGTATGTGGTCTGTGAGGGCTGATTGATTGTCACATACCCAGGGAACTCATGTGGCATTGTGCATCACAGGAGTAACTGTGGTGGATTTGCAGGGAAACTGGCCAGGGAAAAATAGTGTGTCCTACAATGGCCTAGACCCTGGAGGGCCTGCAAGCATCCAAATACATTTTTGACTCCCACAGTGATTATACTGAGCAAGGCGGTTTGCAGGATCCTGATGGAAAAGCTGTGTCTGTTGAGCCATTGATCACACTTGCAGTTTCAGGTTCAGGCAGGCAGAAGTCAGAGCATGAGGACAACATTGAGGTCTCTCCAGGCGATTTATGGACTCTCGGATTTGGTAGTGATTCAGGTACGAGATGATCATGGCTCTCATCATTGTAGTGACCATGGTATTTTGAAGGAATGCAAAAACAGATGATGGGCCCGTCCCTGACCATGGTAGTGCCCATGGGATTTTTTAGCTATAGAATGAAAAGATGACAATGACCATCTCCATGGTAATGTCTGAAATTTTTAAAATATCCAGGTAACAAATGAATGTTTCTGCTTAGGAAGTGAACATAGAATACTGAAGTTACAGAGTTAAGAAATGATGATAAACTTCACCATGGGGGTGACCATGATATTTTCTAGATATCGAGATAAGTGAGGATGGTGACCCTAACTTGACTACCAAAATTGAGTTTGCTCAGGTAGGCATGAAGGAGCTGATGATGCCGCTTCCCATGTTAGTGAATATGACATTTTGTGGTATTCCAGATATGATGGCGAACCTAATCACAAAATAACCATGAGATCATGAGATTGTCAGGGGTCTAGTAAAAAGATGGTGGTCCCCTTAACCATGAAAGTTATGATGAAATTTTGTAAGCCAGTAATTAAGAGATCACAGAGATCCTAACCGTGATACTGAACAAGGAATTTTGCAAATCACCAGGTAAGAGATGATTGTGTCTCTAAAAATGTGGTGACCGTGGGATTTTGCAGATATCCAATTAAGGAATAATGTGTTCCTAGAAATTGTAGTACCAAGGTATTCAGCAGTTACCCAGGAAAGAAATGGTATGTCCCTAGCAATGGCATTTAATCTGGGTAATTTGTAGGTCTCCATGTATGGTAGGTTTTTCTAAATCTGATAGATCTCATGGGCTTCTGTAGGCATCCGCATGAGAGATGATATGTCATAAATTGTAAGTAACTGCCACTACCGTAACCAAAGTATTTTATAAGTGTCCAGCTAAGAGCTCTGGCTTTATGTATTTGTTGGATTTATGACCATTTTTTTCTGTGTTTTCATAGTTTTTTTTCTTTTTTTGAGAGTCTGGCTGAGGTATTGCTGATGCACGCATAAACCACAGCATGCACCATGGGACTGTCCCAGGGACCTGGTTCACTGATGAGATGTCCCCACACGTCTTCCCGCCGTGATTTCTTTCACAGGTACTCAGCTGAGAAATGATTGAGTCCTTACCAATCCCAGATTGGCCAGGTTTTCCCATTTTCTGTTTCAACAAAAGTGTATGCTGAAACCTGTGAGTGTAGAGGGATTGCAGGGAGTCAGGTATTTATCACTGTATTCCCCGCCCCCGTGCTGCCCCTAGGATGTCTACAGGTGAACAGTCGAGAAACGGTGGTTTTCTGCTATCAGGGTCGACCTGAGATTACTGCAAGTATCCAGGTCGAGTGGGTGTGTCCCCAAAAGATGGAAATCAAGGTTATTTGTAGGAGTGCTGGTGGAAAACCCCATGTCCTTCTACACATGTGTCTTCTACACATCTGATTTTGCAAGCTGCCAGAGAAGATATGATGGTGTCTCTAAAAATGTCTAAACATGTGGTGACCACGGGATTTTGCAGATAACCAGTTAAGTAATAATGTGTCACTAGAAATGGTAGTCCCAAGGTATTTAACAGTTTTTCAGTCACCCAGGAAAGAAATGATGTGTCCTTAGCAATGGCATTTAATTTGGTTAATTTGTAGGTCTCCATGTCTGGTAGGTATTTCTATATCTGGTTGATCTCCTGGGCTTCTGTAGGCATCCACATGAGAGATGATGTGTCACAAATTGTAACCAAGTGCCAAGGTATTTTACAAGTATCTCACTTAAAGCTCTGGTGAATATAAGTTTTTGAAGATACCCAGTAGGGAATGATGTTGGCCTAAGCCGTGGTAATGCCCACGAGTAGTGCCCATATCTTGGTAACAGGTGGTGTGTGTCTAATTATGGTTGTCACCATGGTTTTTTTGCAAATTCCAGCAACATAATGAAGACAATCTTAACCGCTCTTATGAATATAGGATTTCGCAAGAATTGAGGAAAGAAATAATGTGGGCTTTAACCAAGTAGACATGATTAGATTTTGGGGATTTCTAAATAAGTGATCACGGTGTCCCTAACCATGGGATTTTGCAGGTTGTAGTCAATAGGTGATGATGAATTTAACAGTAGGCGCAAACATGGGATTTCTTGATACCCAGGTAAGACATGATGTGGTCCTTAAACATATTACAGACCATATGATTTTTTAGATACCTAGATAAGCAATAATATATCCTGAAATCTTGATGTTACCTTTTTTTTTTCCCATTTAAAAAGTCGCTCATTCTCAAATATTTGTGCAGGGCTGATTTCAGAGTATAAGAATGCACCAGCGGTTGGCCCAGTGACTCACGCTTTAATCCCTACACTTTCGGAGGCCGAGGCGGGCAGATCACTTTAGGTCAGGAGTTCGAGACCAGCCTGGCCAACATAGTGAAACCCTGTCTCTACTAAAAGTACAAAATTTAGCCGGGCGTCCTTGTACATGCCTGTAGTCCCAGCTAGTCGGGAGGCTGAGGCACGAGAATCACTTGAACCCAGAAGGCAGATGTTGCAGTGAGCCGAGGTTGGGCCACTGCAGTCCAGACTGGGCGACAGAGCGTCTTTGCCCCCATCACCCCACCCCCAAACAAAGAAAGAGTAATGCACCAGAGTCATGAAATAATGATCTTACCACAGAGGGCGTAAAAAACAAAACCTCAGAAAATATTACCATATTTCGAAAGACTTGTGGAAAATAATTAAGGACCAGGTAGCAGAAATTGTGATCAGAGGAAATAACATAAGAATATACTTAAGCGCACAGTACATAGTTGGAGGGAGAACTGTTTATCCTTCTAAAACCGTTACTATGATCAACACAGACAAGAGACACTTCCCTGAAAGGTTAAATTGTTTCATGAGAAATAAAAGCAACCAAAATGAGCCACATTATCTACAATAGAAGAGACTATATGGAAAAAGTTCTATGGCAAGAGCTAATTCGTTGGTATACAAAAAGATCCATGAAAAATGACCCAATTTTAGACACATTAGATATTGCAGGCTCAAAAATCAAAGGAACATTTTGAAAGCTAATTTAAATTTAATTAATTGCTGAATGTCTCCTTGGCTAGTAGTTGAACGATCATTATTTAGTCCCACATCTCTCTCGTCATTTTGTTTGCAAACTGTCTAAAAGCCTTATTTCCTCATCTCTTTGACAGATGACCAAAATGGATCCTACAGTATAATCACACAGGATAATGTTGGAAAGTATGACTATCTAAATTATTTTTAAAGGCATTATTTTTCCCCTTTGATTTTCAAATTCTTTCTCATAATTTCTAAAATGGTGTCGACAGCGGCCTGTACTGTGCCTTCACTGATGTCATCACTGAGATCACTCTCAATTGCTCTCGAACTTGTTGTTGGCCTTTCGTGTAGGTATGAACTGTGGCCCGGCAGATCTGACTGTTGTTGCTGCTGCTTCTGTTCCTGCTGATGCTTTTCAAAATAGTCTTCTTTTATTTTCTTCGGCTGTTCTGAAGCAGGAGTTACACATGATGTCTTTGGAAGATCTTGCGATGTGTTTCCGGAACTACCTTGCATGCTTAACTCAATAGTACTGCGGAGATGTTCATCTTCTCTATTGGTTTCTTGGCGGCTTAGTTCAAGGGCCCTCTGAAAATCCTCCTCATCTTGGTCTGATGTTCCAGACTCATCACTTTCTTCTGATACTTTTTCAAGGACTGTTTTATAGACTCTATGCTCTTTTTGTTTTACTAATTTTTTTCCATTAAGTTTTGGTGTATCCATCTCTTCGACACTGATGATCTGCAGGAGTTGGTCAGCTTCACAGTCTGGCAGATCACCCTTGACAACAAATACAGAATATGCTTGTTGTTGTAATCGAGCCAAGAAATTTGCAAGGCATGTATCTGATATTAATTCTGGACCCGCCAAGAGAGAATTCAAGTTAAACCAGTGTTTTCCAAATTTTCTAATAGTAAACCAGTGTTGTTTATAATTACATATAAAAGATCTTTCATTTATAGGATCAATGCCGAGCTTCTGATATTCAGGATTATTGAAATGGATGATCTCTAAACCCCAGAACTTCAAGGCATTGCTTATTACCTGAATGGAGAAGAAACCGGTATCATCCATGTTTTCTGAAGGCTGCTGTAAAAATGCAAGATACTCTTCACTGGTGACTCCTCCTTCTGCCATTCTCATCCTCTCTTCTTCATCTAGCTGATGTGCAATTGAGGCTAATTCCACAGGGCTAAAATATTCTCCTTGCAATAGATTGTTCAGACAGTGCTGAGCACACAGGAAACCTTCCTGTTTCTCATGAAAGATGAAATCCATGTTAATTGTATCCGTGAGTTTCTGTAGGTATGCCGGAAGATGTTGTATGCCCAGCTATGGCAGTTACCTGGGCAGTTTGTGGATAGCCATGTAACAGATGTTAGGTTTTCAAACCTTATGAAGACCATGGGTTTTTGCAGGTATTCAGGTAAGAGATGGTATGTCACAAAGCACTATTGTGACCAAGGTGGTTTTGCCAGTATCCAGTCAAAAGCTGATGGTAAACCTAAAGTGAATATGGGATTTTGGAGTTATCCCATAGATGATAATGGTGACTTGCACCATAGTAGTGCCCGTTGGAATTTCAGATGTCCTATAAAAATAATGTCTCTCTAATTATGCTTGTCAGCATGGTTTTAGTAAGTAAATAAAGGTGAAATTTACCACAGCACTAAACAGAAGATTTGGCAGGTAACTGGGAGAGAAATAACATGGGCTTTAACCGAATGGACACCATGGGATTTTGGAACTGTCTGGCTAAGTTATCATGATGTCACTGACCACAATAATAGCCATAGAATTTTGTAGGTTCCAGTCAATAGATGACAATAAAACTCACAGTGGCAATGAAGATGGGACTTTGCTGGTATCCTAGTTAGAGATTATGTGGACCTGAAAAACATGAGTGACCAAATGATCTTCAGACATCTAGAAAACTGATGATGATGTCCTGAACTCTTTTCTTATCCATGTGTTTTTACAGGTGTTCAGGTAAGAAATGTATGTGCCTAACAAAAGTAGTAACCATTAGATTTTACTGTTTTCTAGTTCAGAGACAATCTTTCTCAAACTTAGTAGTGACAAAGATATTAGCAGGTATCCGGGTAAGATATCACAGAGTTCCTCACCACAGTAGTAACTATGGGATTTTTGCAGGAGTCCAGTGAACAGACAGTGTGTGAAACTACTATGTTGACCTTGGACTTCTCTTGAGTGTCCAAGTACACTTAGTGGTTGCCCTAATGATTATAGTGAGTGTATGCATGGAATTATCAGGGGTCCAGATGGAAGGACATGTATCCTGACCAGGGTTGCCACCATATGTTTTCTCAGCAGGTAGTCAAGAGATGATGGTGTCTCTAACTACAACATTGGCCTCAGAACCTTAAGATTCAGGTAGAGTTCATGGTTCCCCTAACAATACTAGTCACCATGGGATTTTTTGAGGTGCGTATAGAAGATGTATCCCTAACCACTACTGCTGCCATATGGTTTTGCAAGCTCCTATCAAGAGATAATGGTGAAACTCATATTAGTCATTTTTGTAGGAATTTCATGGAATCTAGCTAAGTGATTATGTGGACCTTAAACACAGTACAGACCATCTGCTCTTCAGACATCGAGGTAAGTGACGATGATGTCCTCAACATGTGTTGGTATCATGTGTTTTGCAGGTATTCGGGTAAAAAAAAATGATACGGGCTCTACCAATAAGTATTGGAATCCATGAGCTTTAGCTTAACCAGTTTTCTAGTTTAGAGATATTGTGTGTTTAACTTTAGGAGTGAATGAGGGATTTTCAGGTATCTAGGCAAGTGATCATAACTTTCTTCACCACAGTAATGACCTTGAGATTTTTATAGATGCCCAGACAATAAATGACGGTGCCTGTACCAATGTGTTGACCTTCAGGTTCTGCCAATATCCAGGTAGCATTAATGGGTTTGTAAAGATGGAAGTGACAAAAGTTATTTGCAGATGTTCTGCTAGAAAAAGTTGCATTCTTAAACACATCTGTCACAATATGTTTTTTCAGGTTTCAGTCTAAAGATCAAGGTAACCCTAACAACGGGGATTAACATGGAGCTTTGCTGGTATCCAGGCAAGTGATGATGTGGGTCTTATCACACGGTAGACATTGTGACCTTCAGAAGTTTACATAAGTGATGATGATACCTCTAACATTTGTGTTACCGTGTTTTTTTGGGTTTTTGCAGATATTCAGGTAAGAAATTATAGTGTTCCCATAATTCCTATTTAATAATACACCCTTGCTGCTTACTAGTGCAGAGATAATGTTTTGAAATCTGGCTATGACTGAGGGATTTGTAAGTTTCCAAGTAAATTATCGTACTGTTTCTCATCTCAGTATTGACTATGGTATTTTTACAGGTACCCAGTCAAGAGATTATGACATATCCATGGTTTTGACCTGGATATTCTGCAAGTATCAAGGTAAAGTTGATGGTTCTCCTACTGCTAGTGATTCTCATGAGATGTGTCATGGTCTAAATAGAAAAAGACGTATCTCTAACCATGGGCTGCCTTTATGGGTTTTTTAGGTGCTGTCAGTGGATGGTGGTGAAACTAACAATGATAGTGAACATGGACTTAGCTAAAAGAGAGGGAAAAGATGGTGTGAGCCTTTACACTTTGGAGAGCTTCAGATTTCAGTTATCTCGGTAAGCGTTGATGGTGCCTGTAATACTGTGGTTACAAGAATGTTGTTTTTATCAAGAGGCATTCAGGTAAGGTCAGTGCTAATATAAAGGTGAGAAACCATGTGGCATTTATACACTAGAGACCTGAATTTCAGATATCTGGGAAATTGATGATGGTGATCATAACTGTAATAGTTACCTGGTTTGGTACAGGTTTGCAGGGAAGAAATGAACTTGCTCCCCTAGTAAGAGTAAGCATGAGATTTAAAAAAAAATTTTAGTGACAATTTGTACTTAACCCTAGTAGCAGTTGAGAAACCTGCAGGTATCCAGGTAAGATATCACACTGTCTGTCACCCCACTAGTGACCATGGGATTTTTGCAGGTATTTCTTCAAAGGAGAGAGGTGTCTTTATTAGGGTTTAACTTCACACCTCTGGAACTATCGATGTAGCATTGATGAGTCACAAAAAGAAGTGATCAAGGGTATTTGCAGGTGTCCAGGTATTATAAGAGGTGTATGCTTTTCAGGTTCCTTTCATGAGATTATAGTGAGCTTAACAATGGCCATTAATGGTGGACATTATGAGTATGTGGTAAGTGATGAGGTGTGCTTAATGCACAGCTGAAAATATTTGACCTTGGCATAAGAAGGTAAGTGATGAAAGTGCCCCTAACGGTTGTTACAATGTTTGCTCGCTTGTTTGTTTTGAAGATATTGAGATAAGAAACCATAGTCCTTACCAGTGTTAGGAACCATGAGTTCTTAGTTTTACATATTTTAGAAAATGTATTGTTAACCCCATGGGCACTGAGTCATTGCCATATCCAGATAATTTTCATGGTGTTCCTCACCACAGTAGTAACCATGGGATTTTTGCAGACATCCAGTCAAGAAACAGTGGCTTCATCTGGCAACATTGTTCACCTTGAGTAGTGCAAATGTCCAGCTAGAGTGTATATGTCCCATAATGATGGAAGTGACAAAAGTTATTTGCAAGCATCATGCTTAAAAAAGTGTCTTTTCACACATATTTCAAAACATGTTTTTCAAATTCCTGTCAAGAGATGGTGGTGAACCTAACAATGGTTGTTAACATGGTAGGTGTTGATGTGGGTCTTTCACACTACAGAACATCTAATCTGCACATACCTAGGTCAGTGATGATGGTGTCCCTAGTACTTGTATTACCATGTTTTTATTTTCAGCTATCAGGCAAGGGCTTTACTAGTATAGAGGTAAGAACTAATACGACTTTTATGTAGTAGAGACCTTCCTATTTTGAGATATCCTGGTAATTAACAGTGGTGCTGAGAACTCTGATACTAATCTTGTTTTTTGGCTGGTTTGCATAGAGGAAATTAGTTTTGTCTAACAGTATAAATAAGCATGAGATTTTACTTTATTGTTATGTAGAGCTAATGTGTATTTAATAATCCTAGTGTTAGATGGACATGTAGGTATCCAGCTAATTTATCCTATTTTTCATCACCACATAATGACCATGGGATTTCTGCAGGTATCCATGTAAGAGAGGAAAGTGTCTCTTACTAGATTTTGACATTGGAGTTCTGCAAATGTTCAAGTAATGTTGATGGGTCCCAAAATGACAGAAATGACCAGGGGAATGTGCAGGTGACCAGGTATAATCAGATGTATATCAAATATAACATTTTTCGTAATGTGTTTTTCAGGATTCTGTCAGGAGATTATGGTGAGCCCAACAGTGGTAGTTGATGTGGGACACTGCTGGAATATAGGTAACTGATGTGGTAAGTTTAAATCACAGCAAGTCTACTTGATTTTCCTATATCTAGGTAAGTGATTAATGATGTCCCAAATACTTGTTACTGTGTTTGTTTCTTTTTTCTTTATGTATTCAGTGATGAAAAGTTCTTACTAGTAATAGAACCCATGAGTTCTT
This sequence comes from Homo sapiens, assembly GCF_000001405.40. Lineage (NCBI taxonomy): Eukaryota > Metazoa > Chordata > Mammalia > Primates > Hominidae > Homo > Homo sapiens. The sequence goes on from NC_000023.11 coordinate 13,324,241, forward strand.
TCTTTTTACCTTTTAGGGAAAATTTCTTTAACTTTGTGAGTATTGAGGGATTGTCACAGTAATTACCATTGTGTTTCCCACTGCATTCGTAATCATGGGATCTTTGCAGTTATCCAGTCAAGAAATTATGGTCTTATCTGAAATGGTGTTTACCTTGATGTACTACAAATATTCAAGTAGAGATGATGTGTCCAGTAATATTGGAAGTAACTAAGGTTAGTTGACAGCATCCTCATAGAAAATAAATTGTGTCCTTTAACATGTATTTTCTAAAGTGTTTTTCATGTTCCTGTCAAGAGAGCATGGGGAACCTAAAGACGGTGGTTAACATGGGACGTTGCTGGTGTCCAGGTAAGTGATGATGTGAGCCATAGTGGTATTGTTGGCTTCTACTTAGTGTTGTCAGCTTTTGTTTTTTTTTAAAGTATTCAAGTACGAAATGATAATCTCGTTACTGTTACTATTAACTATGTTGTTTGTTTTATATATTAATGTAAACTTATGTTTAGCCTAGTGAGTGTTGGATTTGCAGAAATCTAAGTAATTCTTATGATGTCCTGCTTGTCAGATGTAACCCCGGGACTTCTGGAAGTGTGCAGTGAACAGAAAGTGTTTTCACTAACAGTAGTGCAGACCATAGAATACTACAAGTAATCAGGTAGAATTGATGGGTCCTGCAATGGAGGAAGCCACCAACTTTGTCCATAGCTGTTCAGGAGGAAAAAATTGTGTGCATAGGAACATTTGTAAAAATTTGTTCTTCAGGTTTCAGTCCAGAGAACATGATGAACTTCAAAATGGTCATTCACAGGGATTCACCTGGTGCCCAGGTAAGTGCTGATGTGAGCCTAAACCACAGTACAGGCCATCTGATCTTAGGCCATCTGATCTTCATGTATATAGGTAATGATGGTGTCACATTTTTTTGACTATGTGTTTATCGCAACTATTCAGCTAAGCATGAGATAGCCCTTAACAATATGAGGAACCATGAATTTTCACTTTTTTATTCTGTAGAGAATGTATGCTCAACCCTTTTAGTGATGAAGAACTGCACATGTCTAGATAACTATCGTGGTGCTCCTCCTCCACTAGTAGCCATGGGAATTTTGAGATTATAGTCAGGAAATGATGTTTTTATCTGGCAACAGCACTTCCTTGGAGTACTTCAGATATTCAGGTAGAGTAGATGGTTTCTGCATGATGGCAGTTATCAAGGTTATTTTCAGGCATCCTGATAGAAAAGGTTGTGTTCTTCAACACATATCTCAAATTATGCTTTTCAGATGCCTATCCAGAGATCACAAAGGACCTAAATATGTTTGTTAACAGGAGACGTTGCTGGTGTCCAGGTAAGTGATCATATGACATTGACTCATGAGAGAGCTTCTAATTTTCAGATACCTGAGCAGTTAGTGATATCCTTAAGACACATATATTAACATTGTTTTCGACATGTGTGCAGTTAGAGAGTTAGTTCCTAACAATACTAGTAAACATGAGATTCTCCTGTATTCTTATTTAGAGATAATGCATATTTATCACTCCGAGCAACAGATGAATATGCAGGTATCCAGGTAATTTATAGTCTTATCTATCACCAGGTTATTGGTCATTTTGCAGATATGTCTTCAAGAGATGAAGGAGTTTCTTACCTTGGTTTGAACTTGGAATTCAGCAGGCATCCAGGTAGCATGGATGGGTCCTGAAATGATACAGGTGACCAAAGGACTTTGCAGGTGTTCAGGTATCTGAAGATACTTACCAAGCACATTTTCCACAATACCAGATGCATTTTCCACAATGTGTTTTTCAGATCCAAGTCAAGACATCATAGTGAGTCTGTGAAAGGTAATCAGGGAGTCTGTGAAAGATGGGATGTTGCCGGTATCAAGGCAAGAGATGGTGTGGGACAAAAGCACAGCACAGCACAGCCCATCTGATCATCATGTGCATAGGTAAGTGATGACAGCGCCCCAAGCACTTCTTTATTGCCTTTTCCATGATTTTTTGGCAGGGGTTCAGGAAAAAAATCATAGAACCTGTATCAATTCTAGAAACCGTGAGTCTTTACTTTTCATATATTAGGGAACATGTATGGCAGACTCTTTGAGTTTGAGGGATTGCATGTATCCAGGCAATGATCATGGTGATTTTCACTACAGTAGAAACCACGTAATTTTTTAGGCTTCCTCTCAAGAAATGATAGTTTGATATGACAACAGTGTTGTCCTTGGAATACTGCAAATGTCCAGGTACAGATGATTTGTCTCATAAGGACGGAACTCTGCAAGGTTATTTGCAAGTGTCCTCCTGGAAAACATGGCATCCTTTAACACATATTCACATTGTGTTTCAGGTTCCTGTGAACTGATTGTTATGAAACTAAAAGTGGATGTTAATAAAAACATTTCTGCTCTAAGTAAGTGATGATGCACACCCTAACCAATCATGAATCATCTGATTTTTATATATCTAGGTAAGTTTTACCATTTGATTTTTGGTACGTAGTCAGGCAAAACATGATAGCATTTTATTAATTCTAGCAGACGTGTTAATCCAGAGTTTGTATTTCACAGAAAATTTACATTTAACCAGGTGAGTGGTCAATGATTTCCATGTGTCCTTGAAAATATCTTGTGGCTCCCCATCAGGGTAGCAACCATGGGATATTATCAGCTGTGCAGTTATCACCACCCATGATGGTGTCTCTAACAAAGATATGTTGACCTTGAATTGAAGCAAGTATCTAGGTAGAGTTGATGTGTATTCCAAAATAATGGAAGCATACAAGGTTGTAGGCAAGTGCCCGGGGAGAACAAGTTGTGACCTTAAACACATTTGTCTTATATGATGTTTCAGGTTCTTGTCAAAACTATGAGGTGAATCACATAATGCTCAGTAATGAAACATTGCTTGTAAACAGGTAGTGATAACTGTTTGCGTCCTGTAATGGGGGTAATTACACAATGCAGAGCGTTGGATTTTCTAGGTAGGTAAAAAGGGATCCCTAATGCTTAAGCTACTGTGTATTTTGTAGGTAATCCATTCAGGTTTTTGGGCTAGTATACAGCTACCAGATAAGGTTGTATTAACATGTAAAACACCTTGGTATTTTCGGATATCAACTTTATTAATGTTTTACACAATATTAACTTAAACTTGTTTTTCACATTTATGCAGTTAAAAATAAATATGCCTCTAGTAATACAAATAATCAAGAGAATTTATTGCATGTCTTGACAGATAATGAGTATTGAACACTTACAGAGCTACACAAATCCACAGGCATCTGGATTAACAGTATTGTCCAAAACCATGAAATTAACAACTGGAATTATGCAGGGATCTAATCAAGAAAGTACAAGGATTCTTAAAAGGCGTTTTCCTCAAATTTCTACAAGTATTGAGGTACCTTTGATGATTACAAAAATAATAAAAGGGACCAGAAAAGATTGGAGGTATATAGGTAGAATGATACGTGTACCAGTCACACTGTTCACAATATATATTTCAGATTTACATTAACATATCGCAGCAAGCCTGTCAAAGCTAGGTAACATGGGACATTGCTGGCAGAGGTAAGTGCTGATGCGGGCCTTAACTACAGCCCGCAGCGTGGGACTGTCACAGAGACTAGTTCAGTGATGATGTGTCCCTAAACGTCATCCCGCCATGATTTTTTCCCAGGTATTCAGGTGAGAAATGATTGAGTCTTAACCAATCTCAGATAGGCTAGGTTTTCTAATTTTCTCTTTCACCGAAAGTGTATGCTGACCCTGTGAGTGTTGAGGGATTGCAAGTAACCAGGTATTTATCACTGTATTACCCACCCCCATACTGCCCCTGGGATTTGTGGAAGTGTCCAGTTGTGAAACGGTGGTTTTCTGCTATCAGGGTCGACCTAGGATTACTGCAAGTATCCAGGTCGAGTGGTGTGTCCCATAAAGCTGGAAGAACTCAAGGTTCTTTGCAGGAGTCCTGGTGGAAAACCCTGTGTCCTTCTACGTATATGTTTTCATGCCTATTTCAGCCCCTGACCGTGACATCACAATGAGTATGATACAGGTCTGGAGGTCAGCACTGATGAGGACTGAAAGCAACGCACGGGCCACGTAAGGTTCAGCAGTCTAGGAAAGTGATGATGGTGTCCATCCTTCCTGTTGTTCCCATGATTTCACTTCAGTTGTCCTAGGAAAAAATGGTAAGACTCCCTGGCATAGTAAACTGTGAGTTTTCCCTCTGCATATTTCAGAGACAATGACTAACCCTGTGAGTGCAGTGGGACAGCAAATACCAGGTAATGATCTGGCTTTCCCAGCCACAGCAGTGACCGTAGACATTTTGCAGGTGTCCTGTAGAGAGAAATGCTGTCTTCTGGGACCACGGCCCTGAGCTTGGGGACCCTGTCAGCATCCAGGTAAGAGTCTTTCAGTGATGGATGTGAGCATCGTGATTTGCAGGTATCCTGTTAGAACAGCTTGTGTGTTTCTGAGGCATATATCTCAGTTTATGCTTTCCAGGTTCCCGGGAGGAAATCCTAACTAACCAGAGACACAATCAGGGGACGTGTCTGCTATCTGGGTAAGTGATGGTATGTGCTGTAAACTCAACACAGACCATTTGATCTTAATGTATTAGGTCAGTGAGGTTCCTTTCCCTGAACGGTTTACCATGTGATGGGTTTATGGGTGTTCTGGTAAGAAAGGGTAGTAGCTCCCCGTTCTCATTGCCATGTGATCCTGTTGTTTTCAGTCCAGGAGAGAACGTATGAGGTATGTACCCTGTGAGTGCTGATTGATTGGCACGTGCCCAGGGAATTCACATGGCACTGTGCATCACAGGAGTAACCATGGTGGCTTTGCAGAGAAGCGGGCCAGAGAAAATAGCATGTCCTGCAATGGCCTAGACCTTGGAGGACCTGCAAACATCCAGGTACAATTTTGGCTCCCACAACGATGATCGTGAGCAGGCGGTTTTCATGGTCCTAGTGGAAATGCTGTGTCCATAGACACATTGGTCACATATGTGGTTTTAGGTTCCCGTGGAAAGGTCACAGGAAACCTCTTCGTGCTTGAGCGGAGGACTGTGCCTGTATTTAGGTGGGTGATGGCGTGGGCCTAAGCAGGCCACGGACTATCCGATCTTCCCATACACAGGTAAATGCAGATGGCTTTCTGGCTCTTGTCCCTGTCCTGCCATGGGTTCCTCGGCTCATTTTCTGTTCTTTATTTTCTGCAGTTATTCAGTTAAGAAACGATGCTTTGCCAACCAAGACTGGTAAGCATTAGTCCTTGCTATGTTCAACTTTAGGAAAATGTGCCTTGAACCTGAGTCCGTGTTGACTGAGGGAGATGTGGGTGTCCAGGTAAATTATCCTACTCTACCAGACCACAGGATGGAATGATAGTTCTGACACATCCTCAGTCCAGAGTCAATAATGGTGCCAGCAGTGGGGTGGAAGTTGGAGTTCTGCCAGGATCTAGGTAAGGCCGATGGTTCCCAGATGATGGCAGTGACCAGGCTGTGTAGTGCATATCTTTTTCGTCTTTCAGGTACGCCAAGTGGCATCCCGGAAAACACCTGTCAGATGCATTTCTTCTGCTGCTGCTAGTCATGAGATCAAGGCCAGCCTGAGAACGGCCATTCAGGGGCCCTGGATTGTAACTGGTTAATTGATCACATGAGTCCTATGCCAGTACAGACCACCTGAACTTCAGATTTCCTGGACAAAGAGGGCACTCTCCTTGACACACTGTTTTTCCCATGGTTTCCTGCAGGAGTCCCGTAAAGTTCTCTTCCTGTAGAGAGGTAGGAGATGTTGTGACATTATCTCGTGAAAGACATTTTGTGTTTCCTGCATGTAGATAAAATTAATGACGGTTTTGAGTCTGGTAGAGTAACCTTGTGTTTGGCATATGTGTCATTGGGAAAAAATAATTAGTGATTCCCAATGCCAGTAAGCATGAGATTTTACTGTTTGCTTATTCAGAGGTAAGGCTTTGTTTGTTTGTTTTTTGCAAATTTCACACTCCACGCAATAGACAGATATGCCAATGCCCAGGTAGTTGATCATATTGTCTGTCACCCAGATGTGGACTGTGGTGTTTCTGCAGGTATCCCTTGTAGACTGTAGCCTCAGAGTTCTTCTGTTATCCAGGTAGCCTTGATGAGTCGTGAAATGATGCCAGTGAACAAGAGTATTTGTGATTGTCCTTGTAGCATAGGTTGTGGACCAAGCAGTTTCCATAATATGTCTTTCAGATGTGTGTCAGGGCATCACAGCAGGCCTTTCAATCCTAGGTAATGTGGGACATTGCTGGGTGAGGTAAGTGCCACAGCCTGCAGTGTGGGACTGTTACAGAGACCTAGTTCTGTGATGATGTGTCCCTACATGTCTTCCCATCGTGATTTCTTTCCCAGGTATTTGGGAGAGAAATGATTGAGTCCTTACCAATCCCAGGTAGGCCGAGTTTTCACATTTTCTGTTTCACCAAAAGTATATGCTGAACCCTGAGAGTGTTGAGGGATTGCAGGTAACCAGCCAGGTATTTATCACTGTGTTCCCCACCCCTGTTCTGCCAATAGGATTTCTCCTGGTGTCCAGTCAAGAAATAATGGATTTCTGCATAGATTTTGACCGTGTATCACTGAAGTTGTGCAGGTAGATTTGATATGTCTCATAATTGTGGAAGTAGCTAAGTTTATCTGCTGTTTTTCTGATGTACAAACTTGTGTCCTGAAACATATTTTTCGTAGTGTGTTTTTGAGATCCTATTACAGAGATGAAGATTAATCTAACCTTGGTTTTCAGTGGCAGATACTTATGTTACTAAGTGCTGATGTGAACCTAAACCAAAAAACAGCCTATGAATATCGTATTTCTTGATAAGAGATGAACATGGCTCTTACACTTGTCATTACTATGATTTCTTTCAGATATTCCGATAAGAAATGTAGAGTCCTGGCTGAGCGCAGTGGCCCACGCCTGTAATCCTGGCACTTTGGGAGGCCGAGGCTGGTGGATCACAAGGTCAGGAGATCGAGACCATCCTGGCTAACACGGTGAAACCTCGTCTCTACTGAAAATACAAAAAATTAGCCAGGCATGGTGGCGGGCGCCTGTAGTCCCAGCTACTCTGGAGGCTAAGGCAGGAGAATGGCATGAACCCGGGAGGCGGAGCTTGCAGTGAGCCAAGATAGCGCCACTGCACTCTAGCCTGGGACAGAGCGAAACTCTGTCTAAAAAAAACCAAAAAAAATGTAGAGTCCTTATCACCTCTCAAAGCCAAGGGTTTTTCCTCTCTCTCTCTCTCTCTCTCTATATATATATATATATATAAATTTTTTTGAAAATTCAGTTATCTTTTATTTAAATTATATTTTAAGTTCTCAGATACATGTGCAGAAAGTGCAGGTTTGTTACATAGGTATGCATGTGCCTTGGTGGTTTGCTGCACCCATCAACCCGTCATCTACATTAGGTATTTCTCCTAATGCTATCCCTCCTGTAGCCCCCCACCCCCTGACAGGCCCCGGTGTGTGATGTTCCCCTCTTTCTGCCCATGTGTTCTCATTGTTCAACTCCCACTTATGAGTGAGAACATGTGGTGTTTGGTTTTATGTTCCTGTGTTAGTTTGCTGAGAATGATGGTTTCCAGATTCATCCATGTCCCTGCAAAGGACATGAACTCATTCTTTTTTATGGCTGCGTAGTATTCCATGGTGCATATGTGCCACATTTTCTTTATCCAGTCTATCATTGATGGGCATTTGGGTTGGTTCCAAGTCTTTGCTATTGTGAATATTGCTGCAATAAACATACGTGTGCATGTGTCTTTATAGTAGAATGATTTATAATCCTTTGGGTATACACCCAGCAATGGGATGGCTGGGTCAAATGGTATTTCTGGTTCTAGATCCTTGAGGAATAATCAAAACCACAATTAGATACCATCTCACGCCAGTTAAATTAGTCCTCTTTATATTTTAAGAAAACATTTGTTTTGCCCTGTGAGTGTTGTTGGATTGCACATATTCAGATTATCATGAGATATTCCCATCTGCTGTAGTAAACGTGGAAATTTTGAAGGTGTCTGACAATAGTTTTGGTCCTGGAGTACTAAAAGTATCCAGATAGAGTTCATGTTTTCCATAGTGATAAATGCAACCAAAGCTATTAGCAAGTTGTACTGCTAGAACATGTTACGTGTTTTTTACACATATGTCATAATATGTTTTTCAGATTCCTGGAAGAAATCCCAATGAACAGGGGTCATTATCAGGCCACATTTCTGGTATCTGTGGTAAGTAATGATGTTCACTTTAACCCCATCACAGACCATTTGATCTTCATATATCTAGGTAAGTGATGTCTGTTTACGTGAACTGTTTATCATGTGCTTTTATAACAGTGATTTTTGTAAGTAATGACAGTATTTCTAGTTCTAGTGACCATGTTATATTGTTTTTAATTTAGAGAAAACTTATGGTTTACGCTGTGAGTATCAAATGATTTGCGTGTACACAGATAACAACGTGGTGTGCTTCATAGTAGTAACTGTGGTATCCTTGCAGATAGGTAGTCAAGAAAAAATGGTGTGTCCTTCAAGGTTGTAGACCTTGGGAATACTGCAAAATTCCATGTAGATTTATGTCTTCTGCAATGATGACAGCCAACAAGTTATTTGCAGGGTTCTGGTGGAAGAGTTGTGTCCACAGACACATTTGTCATAATGTGGTTTCAGGTTCCTCTCAAGGGGTCATGGGAAACCTCATCATGATCAACAATGGGACATTGCTGGTATCCAAGCCAATTATGATGTGGGCCTTAAACACCCTACAAAAATGTGATCTACAGAAATGTAGGTAACTGTAGATGGTTTTCCTAATTTTTGTGTTGCCATATTTTGTGCAGGTATTTAGTTAAGGAATTATATTTTCCCAACCAACGCAGGTAAGCATCAGTCATTATTTTAGAGTTTAGTTATAATGTGTTTAGTCTTATAGTGAGGGAGGGATATGCAGGTATCCAGGTAAGTTTTCCTACTGTTTCCCACCACGTTATTGACCATGAGACTTCAACATCATCAAGAGATGATGGTGCCACTACATTGTTGACATTGAAGTCATGGCAAATCCAAGTAGTGTTGAAGGTTCCCTGCTGATGGAAGTGCCCAGAATTATTTGTGTCTTGTCTTTTTTTATGTAAAACAAATTGTTTCCTTAAACACACTTGAGCAATGTGTTTTTTAGTTTTCTGTAATGAGCTCACAATCAAGCTTAACAATAGTCATTAATGGAACCGTGCTGTAACCTGCTAATTGAGAAAGTGTGTTTCCCACAATCAGACCATTAGATCTTTATATTTCCATGTAAGTGAGGATGGTGTCCTTAACACTTGTCTACCATGTATTCCTGCAGGTATCCTGTTAAGTTCTTTCCTAGTATACAGGTAGAAGATTATGTGATATTAACACATTAGCAACCTTCCTATTTTCAGATATGTAGGTGATTAATGATTTTTTTGAGACTCTTCTTGTAACCTTGTGTTTGTCATGCATGCAGTTAAGAAATTACTTTTTCCCTAACATTACTAGTAAGAGTGAGATTTTACTGTGTTCTTGTTTAGACATAATGTGTATTTATCAATTGTAGTGATATATGGATATGCGAGTATCCAGGTAATTTATCATATTGTCCATCACTGTAATGCTGAGATTTTTGTAGGTATCACTTCAAGAGAGGAAAGTTTCTCTTACGAGTGTTTTCCCTTGGCATTATGCAAGCATCCAGTTACCTTTGATAGGCCCTGAAATGATGAAAGAGACGAAGGGAATTTGCAGGTGTACAGGTAGAATGAGACATTTAGGAAACACATTTTCAACAGTATATTTTTTAGGTTCATTTGAAGAGGTCACAGTGAGCCTATCAGTAATAGTTAACAGGGGTCATTGCTCGTATGGATGTGCATGATAATGTGGGCCTAAAACACAGCCCAGCCCATCTGATCTTCCCTTATATAGGTAAGTGGTGGTGTCCCTAACACTTCTGTTACTATGATTTTGTTGTAGCTGTTCAAGTAAGAAATGATAGAGCTCTTACCAATTTAAAAAAACATTATTTTTCTCACTTTTTATATTTTAGAATAACTTTATGATTAACCTCTGAGTTTTGAGTGATAGTGCCTATCCTGGTTATTGGTGTTTCTTACCACAGCAGTAACCAGGGGATTTTTACAGGTGTCCTGTCAAGAAATGACCGTCTTACCTGACAGTGGTATTGATCTTGCATTATTACAAGTATCCAGGTAGAGTTTATGTGTTCTGTAATGATGGAGTGACGAAGGTTATTTTCAGATGTCTTGGTGGAAATGTTTGTGTCCTTTAACACATATTTCACAATGTGTATTTCAGGTTTCTGTAGTGAGACCCTGATAAACCTAACAATGGTTGGTATGGCAGACATTTCTGGTATGCAGGCAAGTGATGATGTGTTCTTTAACCACATCATAGACCATCAGATCTTCTTATATCTTTTTTTTTTTTTTTTTTGACAGAGTCTCGCTTTGTCACCCAGGCTGGAGTGCAGTGGGGTGATCTCGGCTCACTGCAGCCTCCACCTCCCAGGTTCAAGCGATTCTCGTGCCTCTGCATCCTGAATAGCTGGGATTACAGGTGTGCACCACCACATCCTGCTGATTTTTGTATTTTGAGAGATGGGGTTTTGGCACGTTGGCCAAGCTGGTCTCGAACTCCTGGCTTCAAGCAGTCCACCCACCTTGGCCTCCCAAAGTGCTGGAATTACAGGCGTGCACCACCACGCCCGGCCAGATCTTCATATATCTAAGTAAGTGTTATACATTTACCTAAACTTTTTTACTGTGTGATTTTTTTCCATAGGTACTCAAGTAAGAAATGATAGTCTTTACTAACTACAGCAACCATGTTATCCTGCTGTTTTATATTTTAGAGAAAATTTATGTTTAACTTTGTGATTGGCGAGCTATTTGCTATCCAAGGAATTAACCATGGAGTTGCATGTCATAGTAGCAATTGTGGGTTTGTTTGCAGGTAAGTAGTAGAGAGAAAATGGTATCTGTAACAGTGCTATAGACCTTGCAGTACTGCAAGATTCCAGGTATACTTGATGGTTCTTGGAATGATGGTAGTGAATAAGCTTAATTGTGGGGTTCAAGGAAAAAAGCTGTGTCTACACACATTTGTCATAATGTGTTTTTAGGATCCTGTCAAGAAGACATGGTAAACCTCATCATGATCAAGAATGAGACTTTGCTTGCATCCAGGTAAGTAATGACGTGGGCCTTAAGCAAGCACTCAGAAAACAATCTGATCATCAGATCTATAATTAAGTGTGGATGGTGCTTCTAACTTTTGTGTTACCATGGTTTTTTTGCAGGCATTCAGTTAAGAAATGATGTTTTCCCAACCAAGGCTAGTAAGCATTAGCCCTTATTATTTTACAGTTTAGATATAATGTGTAGTATCTAACCAAGCTGGGCATAGTTGCATGTGCCTATAGTATGAGCTACTCTGGAGGCTGAGGCGGGAGGATCACTTGAGCCCAGGAGGTTGAGGCTGAAGTGAGCTGTGATCACACCACTGCACTCCAACTTGGGTAACAGGACAAAACCCTGTCTCTTAAAAAAATAAAAGAGATATAATGTGTGTTTAACATTAGTCTCTAAGGAGGGCTATGCCGGTATCCAGGTGAGTTATCCTACTCTTCCACATTATAGTATGAACAATGAGATTTCTAAGTCAAGCGATGATGGTATCTCTAACATTAGTGTTGATCTCAAAGTTCTACTAAGATCGAGGTAGTGTTGGTGGTTCCTCTAATGAGGAAAATGACTGATACAAGTTGCAGGTGCCCCGTCCTTTTTTGCAGGTAAAACAGCGTGTTTCATTAAACACATTCATCATTGAATGTGTTTCTTCAGGTACCCATAGTCATGAAATCATAGTGAACCTAACAGTGGTCATTTATGTGTTCTTGGTAGTAACCAGGTCAGTGATAAATTGGGTCTTACCACACTACAGACCACCTGTTCTTCAGATTTTTAGGTAAGCAAGTATGGTCCCTCTAACACAGTGTTACTGTGTTTGTCTTTTTCAGGCTTCCCAAAAGTTGTTTGATAGTATACAGGCATGAGATGGTGTGACTCTAACTCATTAGATGCCTTCGTCTTTTCAGTCATGTAAGTAATGAATGGTGTTTTCAAGGCCGTTACATAAACCTTGTTTATGGCATGTATGCAGTTTAAAAATTAAATTATCCCTACTACTAACAGGAACCATGAGTTTTTAATGTATTTTTCTTTTGAGATAATGTGTATTTAACACTTGTACTGATAGACATATATGCAGGTATCTTGCTATTTTATCATATTGCTCATCACCACATTATTGGCCATGGGATTTTTGGAGGTATCTGTCAAAGAGTAGACGGTGCCTCTTCCTATAGTTTGACTTTGTAGTTCTGCCCTTATCTAGCTTTTGTGGGCCCCAAAAGATTCAAGAAACCAAGGGAATTTGTAGCTGTACAAGTAGAATTAGACTAGTACCAAACCCATTTCCCACAATGTGTTTTCCAGGGTGTGTCAAGAGATCACGGTGAGCCTATCTACGGTAATTAATATGTGATATTGCTGGTTTTGAGGTAAATGATGATGGAGAGACCTAAACCAGAGCACAGATTACCTGATCTTCATATAGATACAAGTGATGGTTGTGTCCCTAACACTTGATGTTACCATGATTTCTTTTTAAATGTTCAGATAGGAAATGATAGAGTCTTTACCAATTCTCAAAACCACGAATTTTCCCTCAGCCTCCCGAGTAGCTGGGACTACAGGCACGCGCCACCATGCCCAGCTAAATTTTTGTATTTTAGTAGAGAAGGGGTTTCACCGTGTTGACCAGGATGGTCTCAATCTCCTGAACTCGTGATCCACCCGCCTCGGCCTCCCAAAGTGCTGGGATTACAGGCGTGAGCCACCACACCCGGCCTCCTATTTTCTTTATTGAAAACCTGAGACCAATTGAAAAGCAATAAAACAAGCGTTCGAGAGCTTCTTTAAATCAATACAAGAGCTTCTTTAAGTGGAAATATATATCCAGTTGGTCAGACTCTCCATCATACACTTTGCTTTTTGTTGAAATTCAAAATAAAACTTTCTTTAAGGAAGCCTGGATCTCAGTCTTAAACCCCTAGCTATAAATGTCTCCAACAAAGGGGAAGGGAAGCAACCTAGTCTGAATTTTAATTCAGCCAAATGGGAAACCCATGACCTTCCATTCTCCTCTGATTTTACCATTCTTCTAGGATCCATTTCACAGCTATTGTTCATCTGGGTATAGAATCACTGCTTTGTATTTCAACACCATTGAAAATATGTCAGACCAAGACCCGTATAGTATAATTCTGCTGGAAAATAGAAGTTAAAGGGGTTAACCTGTAGTAGTAGATTAAGATAGTTATGGAAAAAAGGTTAAAGAAATGAGGGTTTAAAAAGCTTTCAACAAGTTGCTGTCACCTCTGGGCCATCCACATAGTAGGTACTCAATATGTGTTGAAGTAAATGAATGCTTCTTTATGGATTGGCTCATTCAACAACCATTCTTTCTTTCAGCATGTGATGGAAAGAAAGCTATCAACTTCATTCCTGAGACTTCCTGCAACACAGGTGGGTGAGCATGATTTAGGTTCCACCATCAGATGTTCACATGTAACCTCTATTGGAACTGAGCCATGGGTAGAAAGGCAGGAGAGTGGACATATATTTTACTAGCATGGATTGTGGCAGGGGTACCATGGTTCTGGCTACATATGTTTGAGGAGCTTGGAGTTCATAAAACAGAGGCAAGCCAGAGCTAGAGATGTAGCTTAGGGTCAGATATGTTAAAGAAAACATTCTTTCATTTTTCCATTTTTGCCTTTTAGTTTTTGAAAATTTTACAGATAATGTTACAGGGATAAAAGAAATTGAAAAAGAAAGAAAAAACCATTATACCATCACTAAAATATATAAACACTTTATTTTTCCCTGTTATCAGTCATTACCCACATTTATACATATCATATAGGGAACATAAGGTTCATATAATTTTCTGATTTCTTTCTCTTAAAATGACATTGTAAATATATACACTCATATTTAATATATGGAAAAATGCAAAAATGACAAGGAACATTTAAACGTGTAAATCTATGCATATAGAAGTCATTTGTTCATTTAACAGTAGGTACCTACTGGTAGTAGGTACAATTCCCTGCTTTGATGATCAACAGTGAAGAAACCACACAAAGTTCATGCCTAAGGAAGATTACATTCTCTAATGGGTTCAACTCCAATGATCCATACATTCTTGTGTCCCTGGGAGAGTCTCACCTTATTTCATTGTCTCATTATAATTATTAATAGCTCTCACTCTCAAGAGTGTCTCAGTTTGGATAATACATTACATAGTCACCCTGGACATAATAGAGAATATAGAGGTGAGGACATATATTAACTGCAGAGTAATAAGTGCTATAAAAATATCCATTCCAGCTGGACACTGAAGATGAAAAAATAGAAATTTAAATGTTTTTAACTTAAAAATAAATATCCTAAAGTAAGGTGACAGTAATTTGGGGAAAGGACTTCTTTCAATTGGGTGGTCAGGGCAGTTCTTTCTGAGGGGAGCACAGAATGAATGACAAGAAGGAGCCAGTCGGATAAAGAGTGAAGGTGTAAGCATTGTAAGAACAGCAAGGGGAAACGACATATCCAGAGGACAGAGAGAGGCAGTGTGGATGAAGGGCAGTGTGCAGGGATGGAAGTGGCCCAAGGGGAGGCAAGGGCTAGGTTTTTAAGGCCCTGCCTGTCGTGAGGAGGAGCTTGGGTTTCCTTTGAAATGCAATGGACAGTCTTTAAAAGAGAGCAGAGTGACCTCACTTACTTGTCTGTGCCAAATGTCTTCAAACCCATAGGCCAGAAAATCACTCTCTGATGAAGCTCTCATATTTAAAAATACTGTGTCTCCTCCAATAAAGCCACAGACACCAGGATTCTTTGGAAAAATATGTTTTTTACCAACACTGGAATGAAAGATAAATTATTACATGAAACATGAAGCTTAAAGTTCTCAGAAGCAGATATATTTATAACTTTTTCCCCTAACGTATTGAAAGATAAAGTGCTGAACTTTAGAACTTTATAACAGACTCACAAATAAATGCAAGGCTTCATGAGTTTTATCAAGCTCTCCTCTTGTCATCAGTGATGGTAGTGAAGGATTATACAGTTTGAAGGTAGTTGGGACAAGTCTCCCGACAAGGGAGTGGTGACTTGGGACTAACTAACTGAAGAGGGAGGGAAGGGCAAGATGCCAGAAATCTGGTGGAAGACCTTGGTAGTAGGTATTCCAGCAGCTTCCAGATTCTTTCTGAGGCAATTTAAAGAGATGCAGCTCAGAGGTGCAACTCCATCCTGCTAGGCTTGGTCTTCTAAGGCCCAGCACTTGGCCACACAGGTTATGCAGCACACCAGAATGCCAGGCTGTAAAAGCTAGATCGAGGGCCAAATTCCAGGTCACACCCTGCTTACCAAACCATGCCAGCTCGAAGGGACACCTCCTCAATTCAGCTCTGCTTTACCTCTCTGCTTATGAATTCCAAGCTCCTGATACACATCTGGTCAGAACCATGGTACCCCTCCACAATCCACGCCAGGAAATTGGATGTCTACTCCCTGCCTTTCTTCCCATTGTTTGGGGACTTTTCCTTAGTTCAGCTGAAGACGGGGTCCTTGTCACACGGCCACGAAAATTTAGGCTTGCAGATTATTTGAAGGGTGAGTAGGGCACGGTTTTATTGGGTGAAAAGGAAGAAAAGGAGAAAAGAGACACCTAGCAAAGCAAGAGAGTGTGCTTCCTGCCCGTGGGCTTCTCAGGTACCACCGAGGAAGAGGAGGGGCAAGGCTCCTCTCCCCTGCAAAAGCTGGACGTTCTGTGGCTCCACCCCACTGCGCGCTCCTTCCAGTGTGCAGGTCGGTCGGAGGCTCTGCCAGGGAGCCCTTCCCACCTGGCTGTCTCACCATGGCTTTGGGAAAGGGCTGTGCCCAGAGGGGATTCTTTTCTATACAACACAAAGGCTTTGTCTGTGCTCAGCAGCCGTGTGTTTAGGACATTTCCTGGGCCTTATGGCCTCTGACAGTCATCCTTTACTGTCTAAATCTCTTAGCAGATGCACCCTCACCAGCTAGCCAATTCTGTCTCCTGGTTCTCACCCTGGGTATGAGACTATGCTGATTTCTTGTTTCAGCAACATCCCGGGCATAAAACAGCATTTTTTGTTATTTACTCACGTAAATAATCAGTTGCTGGAGGCTGTTCTGGAAAGCAGGACACATACAGCACACATAGGAATGAATCCATCCAGCACTGCTCCTCCTTGGAGCCAGGAGTCCCATTAGGGCTTCATCATCTCCTCTGTCACCATTTGGTACTTTTGGTTCTTTCTGTCTCCCTCAAGACTAGTTAAGACAGCTAATGTGTGGATGCAGTTTCGAAAACAATACTTTTCATAGCAGTGGTTTGAGCTAATGGTGTTTTTCATCTCAAAAATGTTTTACAAACATTAATTAAGCTTATGTAGCTCCCTGGTGGGCTTAGGCAGAAAGAATGCCCAGAGAGAGAGAGTTTCCGCTTTTCCTCCAAGCCACAGAAAGTCCTCAAGGAAACAGAAGGCCTGGGGCTTCAGCCCAGCAGTCCTTTGCTTGAAGAAGACTTAACATACCTTTACAACTTTCCTGATGCTCAGAAAATGAAGTCTTTTGTGATACTTCATAAAATGAAATCTCTTAGAATGCTTTGGGTTTTTTTGGGGGGGGGTGTTGCGGGGGTTTGGTTTTTGTTTTGTTTTGTTTTGTTTTGACAGAGTCTCACTCTGTCGTACCTAGGCTGGAGTGCAGTAGTGCAATCTCGGCTCACTGCAACCTCTGCCTCCTGGGTTCAAGTGATTCTCCTGCCTCAGCCTCCCGAGTAGCTGGGATTATAGCCGCCCACCACCACGCCCAGCTAATTTTTTCTATTTTTAGTAGAACGGGGTTTCATCATGTTGGTCAGGCTGATCTCAAACTCCTGACCTCAGGTGATCCACCCACCTCGGCCTCCCAAAGTGCTGGGATTACAGGCGTGAGCCACCGCGCCCAGCCCCCTTGGAATGCTTTGTAAAATGAAGTCCAGCCTGGACCACCTGTCAGAAAGTATTTTTTCTTTATTGTTGTGGCAAAGTATGTATCTATTGATATATTCTTAGTGAAGCAGGGAAACAGAAACTGCAAACCTAAACCAATTCAATAAAACATTACTTATTTCTCAGTAGGAAGAGGGAAAAAAGCTAGCAAGCATGAGTAAGAAGGAAGGATATGAGAGAATAGGAGATTCTTAAAGGCATTCTTTTCATTTCCTTCTTCTGACGCAGAAATCCAAACAAAAGCTTTAGAAGAAACACCTGGAAAAATAGTATCTCCACTTTGAAAATGCAGAAATACAGGCATAATACAATGGTGAAATTTATTCATGGTCATTCTCATCTCAATCAATGGTTCTCAACCAGGTGCTATTTTGCCCCCCAGGGACATCATTTTACAATGTCTAGACATTTTTGGTTGTCACCACTTGGGGAGGCGGTGTAAGGGTGGGCAAGTGGAGTGATACCGGCATCTAGTGGGTAGAGGATAAGGATGCTGCTACAAACATTGTACAATGCACAGGATAGCTCCCATCACCAAGAATGCTCTGACAGTGGTGCCAATGTTGAGGAACCCTATTCTAAATCATTGCCTTGTCAGAGATGGATCTCCAAATCAAGTTGGAGTTTGTGGTATGTCATCCACACAGTTGACTCCAACCCACCCAACTCCAAGCAGGCTCAACATGGTGATGTTTCCCACTACTTGCTCTAGGATACCTTCATTAGGCCTGAAGACCCAACCTGTGCACAGACTCTAAACTCAAACATGTACCTAGCTGCATTCTTGATTTTCTCACACAATCATGGCCATGCTTATATTTTGAAGTGATCCAGGATCCTTTTACTTTTTCTTCTAGTTCATTAAGGTGTAATTGACAAACAAAATTCATATATATTCAAGCTGTACAATGTGATGATTTGATATAGGCATACACTGTGAAGTGATTATCACAAATTAACACATTCATCGCCATATCTAGTTATCTCTGTGTGTATATGTGTGTGTGTGTGTGTGTGTGTGTGTGGTGAGGACACTTAAGATCTACTCTCTTAGCAGATTTCAAGTAAACAAGAATGTATTATTAACTGTGATCATGCTGTATGTTAGATCACATACAGCTGTATGTTACACCATGCTGTATGTTAGATCACATAAGTTCTGGTGAACTTACTCATTTTATAACCAAAAGTTTGTACCCTTTGACCAACATCTCCCATTTTCCTCACCTCCCAGCCCCTGGCAACCACCATACTACTCTCTGCTTCTATGAGCTTGACTTTGTTTAGATTCCACATATAAGTGAGACTGTAGGAAAGTTTAAATTTTTTCCCCTGAAGTTTCAGTCATTTGAGTTTATAAAACAAACTGATAATAGATTATCGGGAAAAACAGGCATACAAATTTTATTGTGTGCACATGTGTATGGAAGTCATACAAGCTCAAAGAAATGGCTAGAGGGTTGACACTTTTATACCATCTTGAGGTTACAGCAAGAATGAGGACTTGGATTATAGCAAAACAGGTTATGGTGGCAAGACAGGTTATGGGACAGAGAGAAGAGGAGGCCTGGCTAGTAAAGGTGGTCTTGTTATGCAGATGAAATCTCACAGATGAAATCTCTCTGAAATCCCTCAGAGAGAAGAGATGGGAGCCTGTGATAAATGTTTCTGCAGGGCCTTTAAAGTGTCAAGACTCCCAGGTGATCCTTCCTGGATCCAGAGGGAGAGAGTGGGGTGGTGTTTCAAAGAATACATGATAGCATCTGTTGTTTACTTCATTTTACTCCCTCTACAGTTGCAAATCTCCTTCACACAAGATAGCTTTGCAGGCCACTTCTGTTGGCAGGCCCTGTGAACAGCCACCTCAAAATATGTCAAAATATATATTAAAATTTTTTTTTAATTTCAATACCTTTAGGGGTACAAGTAGTTTTCGGCTAAATGGATGAATTGCATGGTGGTAGTCTGGGATTTTAGTGCATTCATCACTCAAGTAGTGTACATTGCATCCAATATGTAGTTTTTCATTCCTCATCCTCCTCCTACCTCCTCCCTTCTGAGTCTCCAATGTCCTTTATACCACTCTGTATGCCTTTGCATACCCATAGCTTAGCTTCCACATATAAGTGAGAAAATACGGTATTTGGTTTTCCATTCCTTAGTTAACCTCTCTTAGAATAATGGTCTCCACTTCCACCCACGTGTGTATATGTGTGTGTGTGTGTATATATATATATATATGTATGTATATGTGTATGTGTGTGTGTGTATATATGTATGCATATTGTATATATATATATGTATATTCCTACCAGCAGTGCATAAGCACTCCCTTTCCACCACATCCATGCCAACATCTATAGTTCTTTGAGTTTTTAATGTCCATTCTGGCTGGGGTAAGGTGTTTTGCCATGTTTCCCAGGCTGGCCTTGAACTCGTGGTCTCAAGCGATCCAGCTACCTCGGCCTCCCAAAGTGCTAGGATTACAGGCATGAGTCACTGCACTGGGTCAAGCTATTAATCCATCTTGAGTTAATTTTCGTATGTGGTGAGCAATAGGGATGCATAATATTTTGGGGTGAGATATTTTGGTTTCTTTCAGATCATACAGTAATTGTGTCTAGTTTATTTCACTTATCATAATGTTTCCCATATGGATAGCAGGATTTTCTTCTTTTTATGATCAAATAGTATTTCAGTGTATTTATTTATGTAATTAATTTATTTTTTGAGACAAAGTCTCACTCTGTCACTCAGGCTGGACTGCAATGGTGCGATCTCGGCTCACTGCAACCTCTGCCTCCCAGGTTCAAGCAATTCTTGTGCCTTAGCCTCCTAAATAGCTGGGATTACAGGTGCCCGCCACCACACCCAGCTAATTTTTGTATTTTTAGTAGAGACAGGGTTTCGCCATGTTGTCCAGGCTGGTCTTGAACTCCTGGCCTCAAATGATCTGCCTGCCTCGACCTCCCAAAGTGCTGGGATTACAGGAATGAGCCACCACACCTGGCCTCATTGTATTTACATACCACATTTTCTTTATTCATTCATCCATCCATTGACAGACACTTAGGTTGTGTCCATATCTTGGCTATTGTGAATAATGCTGCAATGAACATGGAGGCTCAAGTATCTCTTGGAGATACTGATTTTATTGTAATAGCAGAGACATAGATCAGTGGAACAGAATAAAGAGCCCAGAAATAACCCCACACATGTACAGTCAACTAGTCTTTGATAAGGGTGCCAAGAATACATGATGGGAACAGGACAGTCTCTTTAATAAATGGTTTTCGGAAAACTAGATACCCTCATGCAAAGAATAAAATTGGGGTTTTATCTCACGTTATATGCAAAAATTAACTCAAAATGGATTAAAGACGTAAAACCGTAATACTCCTAGAAGAAAACACAGCAAAAGCCTTCCTTGACGTTGGCAGTGATATGTTTAGATATGACCGCTAAAACACAAGCAACATAAGCAATGAACAAGTGAGACTACATCAAACTAAAAAGCTTCTACACAGCAAAGGAAACAATCAGCAAGGTGAAGCGGCTACCTCCAGGCTCCTTTTATTCAGAAAGGCATACACATTTCTGCTCAAATATTTTGCCAGTTCATTTTATTTGAGTAGAAACAGTCAAATGCCACATAAAGGAAAGCCCCCTCTAATGAACCCTCTGAAGCACATCATGTTAACTTTCCCATGCTAACTAATGTTGAGAAAGAGGAAGTTTTGCATTTTTTCCTTTGCCCCCTTGTTACAAAATCATCTGTTGACCTACAACCGGCGTTCTGCTTAAACGATTGTGTGCAGTGATCTTTAGAAAATGCAGTAGAGGAGAGAAAGGGGTCACAAGGGGAAAAAGATAGATTCACTTAAACTGCATGCATAGAAACCCTCCTTTTTTCTTTACAAGTTTTATCATGAAGCAAAAATATTGAGAGATAGTAACGTCAATCAAAATTACAATCAAGTTAAACAATCTGGTGCATTCATCACTTTAGTAGTGTACATCCCTGTTTGTATTTTTCATTTCATTTCTATTAAGATTTAGTACACAACCTAAAATACAAAGACAACTAGGACAAAATTCCTGCCTTTGAGCTCAGTTAACCATGGGAAATAAGTAATAAAACAACTTAGACAGGAAGTATAATGAAGGTTACCAGGGACTGGAAGCGGGGGAAGAGTTATTGCTTAGTAATAGAGTATTTTGGGGTGATGAAAAAGCTTTGGAAACAGATCATGGTGATGGTTTTACAACTTTGTGAATGTAACTAATGCCACTGAGTTGTACACTTAAAAATGGTTAAAATCACAAATTTTATGTTGCACATATTTTATCACAATTTCTAAAATCAGAAAACCCTCAACTATCTGTGAAGTGTGACAACAGCTATAGATGAGATATACGTTAAAGATCTTGAGTAAACAAGAGAAATAATCTTTTAAAAACAAAATGTATTGAGTTTCTACTTTTTCTTAGGCACTCTACTAGGCACTTAATATACAGTGTCTCAGTCTGCCTCCAAGAAGCAGACACCAAGATGAAATTGGAAATTGAACGTGCAGCTGGGCTCAGTGGCTCACACCTGTAATCCCAGCACTATGGGAGGCCGAGGTGGGAGGATCACATGAGCCCAGGAGTTTAAGACTAGCCTGGGCAACATAGCAAAACCCTGTCTCTATTAAAAAAAAAACACACAAAAAATTAGCTGGGTGTGGTGGTGCGTGCCTGTCATTCCAGCTACTCAAGAGGCTAAGATGGGAGGATCGCTTCAGCCCAGGAGATCAAGGCCGCAGTGAGCCATGATTGTACCACTGCACTCCAGCCTGGGCAACAGACTGAGGCCCTGTCTCAAAAAAAGGAAAAAAAAAAAAAAAGAAATTGAATGAGCTAGAGATGTATTGGGAGAAACACCTGTGCAGGATAAAGGGGAGGAAGCAGGGGTGTGCAGGGAGAGTCTCCCAACTGCAGTGCAGGCCTGACACCAGCTTAGAGGAGCAAAGGAAGGGAGAAAGAGGATTGGAGACAGAGCCTCAGACTGCAGTGCTGGTGTCAGAATGTTTAAGCCAGATCAGTGGGAGGCCTTCAAGCCCATGTCTCCTACTAGAGGAGTCTCATCCTCCAGCAATGGGCCTGATTTAGTTTCTCTGCTGGGCTTCATCAATGGCCGGGTGCAGCCTGAGGGAAGCATGGCCTCAGGGCAAGCCTGATGGAGGATCCAGGGGGACAGCACCCAGTGCTGGGATACTTATTTGCCAACTGCACATTCTCTAGAAGGAGCTCTGACTAGTGTACTTCTGTGGTCACCATACACCTAACCTCATTTAAAGCTCACAACGCCTCTTCCAGGCATTTTATTACCTCCAATTAACAAAAAAGGTAAACAGTAAGTTGCCCCAAAGCACACAGCTCTTAAGTGGTTGAGCTAGCTTTCAAAGCCAGGTTCAAAAGACTCCAAAACCAGTGTTGTGTCTCCTATAATGTGGTAGATTAAATTATTGTTCAACAAGTATTTCCTTTCCCACACCTCCTGATCTCCATGGAAGGATCATTCTCTGCCCCACTGCCATGGGGTTAGCTGTGCGTTGTGTTTTAGCCATGGAATATAGGTTTAAAGAACTGTGGGCCAGTTCTTGAGTCTTGGCTTTGAGAGGCATCATGTGTTTGCACTCGTCTCTTTCACAAAGCCATGTCAGAAGGTAATAGGCATAGAATCAGAGTAGCCTAGCTGACCCTCTGCCTGAAGCAAAGCACCATGCCTCTCACCTAGCCAACCTGCAGACTCAGGAGAAAGAAAGGTTTGTAATGGTAAGCTACTGAGATAGGTAGGGATTTTGTATACAGCATTACTTTGGCAAGAGTTGACTGATACATACCATGTTGCCTTTACAGAAGGAGCCAGGAGCCATTGATTCTGCCTGGGGGAAAGGGCAAAAGATTCATGAAAGAAGTAACATTTGAGCAGATTATTATTTTTTATTTTTTTTGAGACAAGGTCTTGCCCTGTTGCCCAGGCTGGAGTGTGGTGGTGTGATCACAGCTCACTGCAGCCTGGACCTCCCGGGCTCAATTGATCCTCCCACATCAGCTGGCCAAGTAGCTGGGACTACAAGCATGGGGCACCATGCCTGGATAGTTTTTGTATTTTTTTGCAGAGACGGGGTTTCACCATGTCGCCTAGGCTGGTCTTGAACTCCTGAGCTCAAACAGTCCTCCCGCCTTGACCTCCCAAATTGCTGGCATTACAGGCATTATAAACATGAGCCACTGTGCCCAGCCAGATTGTTCTTAAAAATATAATTGCATTTTTGAAAAAAAAAGTTGAATCTCCTTTCATTGTCAAAAATTTGGAAACTATGGGAAGTAGTAAAAATAAAGTCAAAGAGATTACATATGTTGATTATATATATATATTAGACTGCTCCATGCATTCTAGGCCTTTATGTGCTCTGGGGTTTTGCCTTTTTCGCCTGACCTATTATCAGCAACAATTTGTGTTCTTACATATGATACAATATTCTTTGAAGGCATGGTTTGTAATGGCTGCAGATTGTTCATAGCAACAATAATTGTTTTAAGGACAAGGTGAAGCACACCAGAAGGAATTCTTTCATTCACTTATTTTAAAGTACTACTTATTGAGTACTTACTACATGTCAGGCACTGTTTGAGGCACTAGGAAAACAACTGTAACAAAATAGATAAAGCCCCAATATCTATCAACAGGTAATTGAATAAGCAAGTTGTAGTATATCCATACAATGGAATACTACTCAGCAATAAAAAAGAACTAATTACTGATACATACTACAATGTGGATGAAACTCAAAAACATTATGCTAAGTGAAAGGAGTGACACCAAAAACTACATGTTGTATGATTGCATTTATATAAAAATCCAGATAATTCAAAGAAGTCTTACAGTGACAGAAAGCAGATCAGTGATTGCCAAGGAGGAGGGCACGGAGAGAGAGAAAAGAAGTATAAGGGGCATGAGAAACCTTTTGTGAGTGATAGATGTGTTCATGAATGTGTACATATGTCAAAACTTTAAATATGTGCAGTTTACTGCATGTCAATGATACCTCCGTAGAGCTGTTTAAAAAGTGATGGGAGTACAGTGAGGGCTGAAGAAGTGGTGGACAAGCATTCTGAGCAGAAGGAAAAGCACATGCAAAGAAATAGAGGCATTTTGTTTAATAAGCCTGTAGGACTTACCATCTGCGAGGCAGTGTTTCAAGAGCTGTATAAATATTAACTCATTTTATCCTAACAACATCCCTCTGAGATAAGTACTATTAATGCCATCCTTATTTTGCAGATAAATTGAGGCACAGAATTACTAAGTAACTTGCCCAAAGGAACAGTAATTGTCAAAGCTGGGCTTTGAATCCAAGAGCCTAGGTCTAGAGTTCATAGTCTTAATTACTACAACATGCTGCCTCTACATGTCTGGGAACATATTTGGTAATATCTGTGTGTATATTTGAAAAGTCACATGACTATAGCCAAAAGTGGAGAGGGAAGAGAGGGAGGGGAAGACCTTGGAAATGTAGGTTGAGGTAAGCTCATTTAAGTATGCGAAGTCCAGGCCATATAATGAGAAGATATATTGGAACCCTCCTGAGTGATATCTTTATTTTGAATGGAAAAATCCATTCATTATCAAAGGCTAGTTATATCCTCAATGGAACACATCTGAAAGCAAAATTTCCACCACCCTTATAAAGGACTTAGTCCTGAATGCACAAATTGATCAGATAGTGTATTATGCTCCCAAAGTAGCTTAAGAATTAGGTGACATTATTCGCAAAAAGATACACGTTCCGTTTCAAAGCATGCATTCACATGCTTCCTTTTTTTTTTTTTTTTTTTTTTTAAGACGGAGTCTCACTCTGTCGCCCAGGCTGAGTACAGTGGCGTGATCTCGGCTCACTGCAACCTCCGCCTCCTGGGTTCAAGCGATTCTCCTGCCTCAGCCTCTCGAGTAGCTGGGACTACAGGCGCATGCCACCACGCCTGGCTAATTTTTTGTATTTTTAGTAGAGACGGGGTTTCTCCGTGTTAGCCAGGATGGTCTCCATCTCCTGACCCT